>NC_000004.12:29947010-30571105 GCF_000001405.40 Homo sapiens | reverse complement strand
CCCCCAGCCTTTGCTAACTGCCATTCTACTCTCTGCTTCTACAAGTTCAACATATTCAGATTCCACATGTAAGTAAGATCATGCAGTATTTGTCTTCTCTGCCTGGCTTATTTAACTTGGTGTAATGTCCTCCAGATTCATCCATGGTGTCACAAATGACAGAATTTCCTTCATTTTTGAGGCTGAATAGTGTTCCACTATGTGTGTGTATATAGAGAGGGCACTCATCCATTGGTGGACACTTAGGTTGCCTTCATGTCTTGGCTATTGTGAATAATGATGAAATGAACACGAGAGAGCAAATATCACTTTGACATACTGATTTCAATCCTTTGGGATATATACCTAGAAGTAGAATTGCTGGATCATAGAGTAATTCTATTTTTAGTTTTTTGGGGGAACCTCCATATTGTTTTCCAAAGTGGCTGTCCTAATTTAAAATCCCACGAACAGTGTCCAGGGATTTTCCTTTCTCTACATAATTGCCAACATTTGTTACCTTTGATCTTTTTGATAATAGTCATTCTAACAGATGTGAGGTGATATTTCCCTGTGATTTTAATTTCATTGTGGTTTTAATTTAATTTGTGTTGAGCATTTCTTCATATATCTGCTGGCCATTTCTATATCTTCTTTTCGGAAATGTCTGTCTAGGTTCTCTGCCCATTTTAAGACCAGGTTATTTGTTTTTTTTGCTATTGGATTTAGTTCCTTCTAATTTTTGGACATTAGCTCCTCATTATCAGATGTATGGTTTGCAAATATTTTCTGCCAGTTCAGGGGGTGTCTCTTCACTCTGTTAATAGTTTCCTTTGCTGCTTAAGCACATACTTAGAGTTCCTATAATGTATTCCATATCTGGTAGGGATTAAAATAAATCTCATATATAAAATACTTAGCAATACATACTTGTTAATATTATGATGCTAATTAATTGTATTATTGTGTGAGGTTTTGTGTAATCTTATAATGATGAAAGGTGAGTATGTTTCCAAATATAATTTGTAGAAATACATCTATTGTGTTAGAGTATAGCTCTATTTTCTAAAGTGTTTTTTTTTTTTTTAAAAAAAACCCTATAATGTTAACAGGCAAAAGAAAGTTACTGTTTAAGTTGTAAATGTGGTAGAAAGATCACCGTTTTAAAATCAAAAGACCTTTTAGAGGTAACAAAGAATAGAAAAGAACTCATGACATTCTTAAGGGTCAAGTCTATCTTGAACCTCATTTTTAAAAATGTAAGTTTATTTTTTCCCTTTAGCTTGGAGATGTGAATATCTTAGTAAAATACAGAAGGGTTATTTCATAAATGTAGAATAATAAGGCATAACATTGATGTGCAAAGTGACTAAAATGCACATTATCCTGCATAAGAAGGAATTAACTGTAGGACAAATGGGAAAGTAATAATTTCAGAATGGCCAAATGCAAGCACCTTTAAAGTAATTTGTTTCATGAAGAAATTTATTTTGCTATAATATTTGCTCAGAAACAGGTGAAAATAGTTTTAACTCAAATTTTCAGGACAAATGTATGGTGTATTTTCTTTTTGTGTGTTCTTTATTTTCATCAAAGCCTTTCTGTTTTAACACTTCTATTTAAATAAACATATTCATTTTTATTTTGATGCTGTATATTTTCATTATCTTTATACTAATTCTTTCATTCAATCATTCATTCACTTTTGGATAAATAATATTGACCATTTACTATAGGCTAGTGATTGGGCTAAGCACTTGAGATACAATGTTAAATATGACTGTCATGGTTCCTATCCTCCCGGATAATAATTTACACAGAAATTTAGAATGTAACATGAGTGGGATTGTGATTGAGGAAGTCCCATGTGCTGTAGTACAACATAAGAGAAGATCCTAATATTATCTCGAATGTATGTGTGTGGAGATAAAGGAAAAGAAAAGAGAAGGGTGTGGCATGCTTCCTGGAGTTGCATCTAAAGTGAGATCTAAAAAAATGAGGATACTTGATCTCTGGAGAAATAGAGGTCCAGATTGAAGAAGGAGAAAGAAATGGCATAAAGGCAAATGAGAGCAAAGAGGTAAATGGTAAGAAGAATGGAATTTGGAAATTCATTAAGGATCAATTTACACCAGGTTATGTAGGATAGTTAGTAAGCTTTGAACTTTATTCTAAGGTCAAGGGACAGCTTTTAAGATGTTTTTGTTAAAATCTTTCAATTAAATGTTAAATTGATTTTTTTAAATGTTATAATCCACAAATGATTTCAAGTTTTTGACAGTAGTTTTAGGGATTAGGTGTTTGCTTCGTTTTGTTTTGCCATTTAAAATATTTTAAAGTACATAGCTTATATAGGGTTAATAAAATTTTGAGTGAAGGTTTCACTCAATGTTCAAGGGAGATTTTGTTCCATTTTCTTGTTTGGAACTATTTCTAAGTTTATGTCTTTGGGTGTTGTAAGGAATAACTTTGCTATAAATGTTAAAAATTACTAGGCTATTTCAGGTCAAATTATTGACATGTACTCCAAAATATGTGCTAGATATTAATACAAATTCTGATGCCTTAGTTCCAACAGTAACAGGTGAAATTAGTTCAATATTTCATATAATCTGTTTTACCCCCTCAACAATCTAGAAGGTAAAGCTAGCCTTAGTGAGGGTTGGAGTAGTCTATTACTTACCTAATTTGATTTAGGGGCTAGAGAACTTAAAAGTTTTAAAATATCCTTTATTAGACTGCTGTGGGAACTGAAATATCTACCCTTGGTGTCAACTTTAGAAGGTTAAATGCAAGTATCCTGCCTGTGCAGAAAAATGTAATACAGTAGGTATGCCACTGCCCTAGGATACCTCTACTTATAACATGTAAAGGGTGGTGTCAGTTGAAGGCATAAAATCAGAAGTAATACAGAAATCTTAAAAGTTTGCAAAGAAATTGTGAGGCCAAATTTAGAATGTAATATACCATAATTATGTTTGAACCTAACTCTCAAATATATTTTTCAATTTTATATATTTTCAGAGAAAAAATGAATTAACTTATATTTTCATTGACACATTGCAATTGTACATATTTATGGGATGCAATTTGAAGTTCTGATATGCATATATGTTGTATAATAATATAATCAAGATAGCTAGTGTATTCATCACCTCATGCATTCATCATCTGTTGATGATGAAGCCACAAAACCCACTCTTCTAGGTATTTCATAATATACAGTACCTTTGAAAGCCTAAAAAACCTCTCTTCTAGCTGTTTTGTAATATACAATACCTTACTGTTAACCATAGTCACCCTACTGTGCAATAGAACACCATAACTTATTTCTCCTATCTAGTTGTAACTTTGTATCTGTTGACCAACCTCTCCCTTTTCTCCCCTCTCTCCTCCCACCTCCCATCCCTAGTCTCTGGTAACAACTGTTCTACTCTGCTTCTATGATATCAATTTTTTTTCTTTAGATTCCACATATGAGTGAGACAATACAATATTTGTCTTTCTGTGTCTGGCTTATTTCACTTAATATGATGTTCCTCAAATTCATTCACGTTATCACAAATGACAGAATTTTCTCTTTTTAAAGGCTGTGTATTAGTCCATTTTCATGCTGCTATGAAGAAATACCTGAGGCTGAGTAATTTCTAAAGGAAAGAGGTTTAATTGACTGTTTGGAAGGGCCTCAGGAAATTTACATTTATGGCTGAAGGGGAAGCAAACACATCGTTCTTTACATGATGGCAGGAAGGATAATGAGTGTCAAGAAAGGGGAAAAAGTCCATTATAAAACCATCAGATCACATGAGAACTCACTCACTATTATGAGAACAGAAGCATGAGGGTAACCATGCCCATGATTCAATTACCTCCCACCTGCACCCTCCCCAAACACATAGTGATTATGGGAACTACAATTCAAGATGAGATTTGTGTAGGGACACAGCCAAACTATATAATTCCAACCCAACCCCTCTGAAATTTCATGTCCTCACATTTCAAAACACAATCATGCCTTTCTAACAGTCCCCCAAAGTCTAAACTCATTCTAGCGTTAACTCAAAATTCCAAATCCAAAGATTCATCTTAGATGAGGTGAGTCTTTCTGCCTATGAGCCTGCAAAATCAAAAGCAATTTAGTTACTTCCCAGATACAATGGGGGTACAGGCATTGGGCAAATATACCTGTTTCAAATGGGAGAAATTGGCCAAAACGTAGGGGCTAAATCCCCACACAAGTCCGAAATCCAACAGGCAGACACCAAACCTTAAATTTCCAAAATGATCTCGTTTGACTCCACGGGACTACTGGATGTCACATCCGGGTCATACTGATGCAAGACATGGGCTCCCATGGCCTTGGGCAGCTCCACCCCTGTGGCTTTGCTGGGTACAGCCCTTCTCCCAGCTGCTTTCACAGGCTGGCGGTGAGTGTCTGTGGTCTTTCCAGGCACACAGTGCAAGCTGTCGATGGATATGCCATTCTGGAGTCTGAAGAAAGGTGACTCTCCTCTCAGAGCTCCACTAGGCAATGCTCCAGTGGGGACTCCATGTGAGGTCTCCAACCCCACATTTCCCTTCTGCACTGCCTTAGCAGAAGTTCTCCTTGAAGGCTCTGCCCCTGCAGCAAACATCTTCCTGTTCATCCAGGTGTTTTCATACATCCTCTGAAATCCAGGTGGAGGTCTTAAACCTCAGTCCTTGACTTCTGTGCACCCACAGTCTCAGTACCACATGTAAGCTGCCCAGGCTTGGGGCTTGCACCTTCTGAAGTAATGGTATTCAAGCTGTACCTTGGCCTCTTTTAGCTTCAGCTGGCGCTGAAGCAGTTGGGATGCAGGGTACCATGTCCAGAGGCTGCACAGAGCATGGAGGCCCTGGACTAGACACAGGAAACCATTTTTCCCTCCTAAGCCTCCAGGCTTGTGATGAGAGGGGCTGCAGTGAAGGTCTCTGAAACACCCTGGAGCCATTTTCCCAATTGTCTTTGTGATTAACATTCTGCTCCTCATTACTTATGCAAATTTCTGCAGCAGGCTTGAATTTCTTCCCAGGAAAGATTTTTTTTTTCTTTTGTATTGCATTGTCAGGGTCCAAACATTCCAAATTTTATGTTCTGCTTCTCCTTGAATGATTTGCCCCATAGACATTTCTTCTGCCAGATACCCTAAGTCATTTCTCTCAAGTTCAAAGTTCCACAGATTTCTAGTGCAGGGCAAAATACTGCTAGTTTCTTTGCTAAAAAAAAAAAAGCAAGAATCACCTTTATTACAGTTCCCAACAAGTTCCTCATCTCCATCTGAGACCACCTCAACCTAGACTTCATTGTCCATATCACTATCAGCATTTTGGTCAAAGCCATTCAACAAGTCTGTAGGAAGTTCCAAACTTTCCCACATTTTCCTGTCTTCTGAGCCCTGAAAACTGTTCCAACCTCTTCCTGTTACCCAGTTCCAAAATCACTTCCACATTTTCATGTATCTTTACAGCAGCTCCCCACTCTACCAGTACCAATTTACTGTATTTGTTTACTCTCATTCTGCTATAAAGAAATACCTGAGACTACATAATTTATATGAAAAAAAGAGGTTTAATTGACTCACAGTTCAGCATGGCTAGGGCGGCCTCAGGAAACTTCTAATCATGACAGAAGGGGAAGCAAACACATCATTCTTTACATGGCAGCAGGAAGGAGATTGAGTGCCAAGCAAAGGGGGAAAAGCCCCTTATAAAACCATTAGACCTGGTGAGAACTCACTCATTATCACGAGAACAGCAGGATGGGGGTAACCACCCCCATGATTCAATTACCTCCTACGGAGTCCCTCCACAACACATGGGGATTATGGGAACTAGAATTCAAGATGACAATTGGTTGGGGACACAGCAAAACCATGTCAGGCTGTATAGTATTCTATTGTGTGTGCCTACCACTTTTTAATATCTACTCATCCACTGGTGAACATTTAGGTTGCTTTCATACCATCATTATTGTGAATAATGCTAAAATGTATATGGAAATTCAGATATCTCTTCAAATACTGATCTTAATTTCTTTGGATATATAGTCGGAAATTGAATTGCTGAATCATATGGTAGTTCTATTTTTAATTATTTTGAGACGTTCTATGCCAATTTTCATATTGACTGTACTAATTTATAATCCCACCAATAGTGTTTAAATGTTTTCTTTTCTCTACATCCCTTGCAACACTTAATTTTGTTCATCTTTTTGATAATAGTCATTCTAACAGATGTGAAGTGATATCTTACTGTGATTTTAATTTGCATTTTCCTTATAGTTAGAGACATTGAGGATATTTTTCATGTATCTCTTAGTCACTTGTATATCTTATTTTGAGAAATATATATTAAGGTCTTTGCTAATTTTTACATTGGATTATTTGAGTTTCTGCTGTTGAGTTGTTTAAGTTCTGTATGTATTCTGGATGTTGACTATTTGTCAGAGGTAAAGTTTACAAATGTTTTCTCTCATTCTGTACGTTGTCTCTTCACTCTCTTAGTAACTTCCTTTGCTGTACAAAAGCTTTTCTTTTTGATGTAATCTCATTTGCCTAGTTTTGCTTTTGTTGCCTGTGCTTTTGAGGTTTTATTAAAAAAAAATCCTTGCTCAACCCGATGTCATGGTGTTATCCAGATGTTTTCTTCCAGTAGTTTTATAGTTTTATGTCTTATGTTTGTTTTTAATCTATCTTGATCTGAATTTTGTTTACGGTGAAAGATGGGAATCTAGTCTTTTTTTTTTTTTGCATATGGATATCCATTTTTTCCAGCACAATTTTTTGAAGAGAATATTGTTTCTCCAGTGTACATTCTTGGTACCTCTGTTTAAAATCAGTTAGCTATAAATATGTGGATTTGTTTCTGGGCTCTCTTTTCTGTTCCATTGACCTATGTATGTGTTTTTCTTCCAGTATGATGCTATTTTGGTTACTATAGATTTGTAGTATAGTTTGAAGTAAGGCAGGGTGATATATTGAGCTCTGTTCCTTTTGCTCAAGACTGCTTGGAGAGTTGAGGTCTTTAGTTCCATATGTATTTTAGGATTGTTTTTCTTCTTTTGTGAAGAATGCCATTGGTGTTTTGACAGAGATTGCATTAAATCCATAGATAGTTTGGGGTAGTATGTTTATTTTGACAATATCAATTCTTTCAATCTGTAAACATGGCCATCTTTTCATTTATTTGTGTTCTCCTAAGTTTCTTTTACTAATATTTCATGGTTTTACTTGTAGGGGTCTTTAAGCTCTGTTTATTCCTATGTATCTTTTTTGGAGCTATTGAAAATGAATTGTTTTCTTGATTTCCTTTTGGATAGTTCACTATTAGTGTACACAAATACTACTAAATTTTGCAGGCTGATTTTTGTATCGTGCAACTTTATTGAATTTATTAGTTCTAACAGCATTTTGGTGGAGACTTCAAGGTTTTCTGTATATAACATCATGCCATCTTCAAACAGGGATGATTTGATGTCTTCTTTTCCAATTTGGATGCCTTTGTTTCTTTCTCTTGCCTAATTGCACTGGCTAGGATTTTCAGTGCTATGTTGAATAAGTGGTGAAAGTGGGCATTCTTGTCTTGTTCTTCATCTTAGAGAAAAAGTTCTCAACTTTTCCCTGTGCAGTATAATGTCAGCTGTGGGATGGTCATATATGGGTTTTATTGTGTGGAGGCACATACCTTGTATACCTAATTCATTGAGAGTTTTTAATCATGAAGGGATATTGAATTTTGTCAAATTTTTTTGTCTGCATCTATTGAGGTGATCATATGCTTTTTGCCTTTCTTTTAATGTGATATATCACATTTATTGATTTCCATATGTTGAACCATCCTTGCCTTCCTAGAATGTCTCCTACTTGATCATAATAAATGATCTTTTTAATATGCTGGTGAATTTTATTTGATAGTGTCTTCTTGAGGATTTTTACGTCTATGTTCATAAGGAATATTGGCCTGTAATTTTATTTTTTGTTGTGTCCTTGTCACAACAAAATGTTTAGAAATCAGGGTAATGCTGGCCTACTAAAATGAGTTTGGAAGTATGCTCTTCTCTTCATTTTTCTGGAATAGTTTGAGGAAAAGCGGCATCAGTTCTTCTTTGCATGTTTGATAGAATTTGGCAATGAAGACAGCAGGTGCTGGTCTTTTCTAAAAAGCCAAATTAAATGCTACATTTATGTTAAAATTCTGTGGTATGTAATTTAAGAAGAAAAAAGCAACTAAGTAAAGAATCCAGGGTTCATTAAATATGGGAAGACTAGTTTTTGAATACTATTTCAGGACAAAATCTTCAGAATGTTATTTTGAAAATCAAAAGTTCTGGAAAATCAACCATAAAGCGGAAACTTTGAAGGCCTATTTGGGAGGAAAGAAGAACATCACCCCTGAGCATTTTCATATCTTCTGATAGAATTTTACACACACACACACACACACACACACACACACACACAACACACACAAAAAAACTAAACAAAAAGAAAAGATTAAGAAAGAAGAGGGGGAAGAGAGAGAGAAACTGACTTTTATCTAAAAGCTCTGAATCAAAGCATAAACTTGAATGGAATTACCAGCATACTTATCATTGAATCTGAATATACTGCAGATGTTCCCTAATTATTTAGCAACTTTCACTTGATGAAAGGCCTATATCATTATTAGTTTATGAATTTTTTAGTACTTTTATTTTTTTGAGGAAAATATATCTATATTTGTATCTCAATCTTTCATAGCTATATGACCAGTTGCCTTGAGTAGAAATATGATGATATTGAGAACATAGTTTTTTAAAACCTAATTGACACTTGTTTCAAGCCAGTGAAACATTGTGGTAAAATTAAATTATAAATAACTTGCTTATAATTAGAATTTAAGAAATTAGAATGCCTGTTTCCTCTAGGCACTAGTTTAACAGCACAGTGAATATCCATGCTACTAAAGCAGGGAGAAAACTGAAAGTGTTACACATGCTTTATTAAATGCCAAGTAAGTATATGCATAGCCTGAAGTGTGTTGGGATATCTCCAATACACTACCCTTGAGAGTAGTTCAACTGAATAGCTAGCTGGTTAAGTCAAGAACAAGGGGCATAGTCTTTTGGATCAGTGGGAGAAGAACAAGAATAATATTAGATTTACGGATACAGTTTAGAGAGCACATATTTCTAAAAACAGAACTATGACAATGAGAGATATTTATTAGTGGAAACATTGCTGCTGGAGGAAGCTGAAAACAGAGGAAGGGCACACAAGGAAAACTGCCTACAGAGGGTAACTGCTCACTATAATTTTGTTGCTGTTGTTCCATGGAAGAATTTATTTACTCATGAATAACACCCTAATATTTCTCTTTGGGTAGATTGCAGTTAATATCATTAGTCTTTCCGAACCTGCTTTCCATTACATACTTGTACTGTTTCCTTCTTCTACGTGTTCATTCATTTTATCATTTTTTTCATTGGTAAATATGCATGGAAGACCTATTACAGATGTAATACGAACATAAACGGGAATCACTTTTTCCCTAGACAAATCTTAACCCCATAGTGCTGCCAAGTAATTCTCTAGGTTGTAGAATTATTATTTATTCAGAACACTAAGCTAGATTCAGTTTTCTGCTAAGCTACAAAATAAGTAAACATGAATTACTTGGATTCCAGGATCCTGGATATAGACTAAAGATGACATTCCATTATATTTAGAAAATGACTGTTAAGTAAGAGAAAATTTCCAGAGTTTTGAAAATACCTTTTTCAATTTGTTCACAAGTTTCTAGGTTCATAGCCAATGTATAATGCTCATGTCAATGATCTTATTTGATTATGATAATAAAAGATTAATTAATCAATCAACTCATGTTTGTTAGTACTTACAAATGCTACTTGTGAACTTATATCCTTAATTAATACACTTTAATTAAAATTAAAATATAGACTAGGTCAGAGATGCAATCACCTTTTAGACAAGTTACCTACAATCAACAATGCTTTCTTTGTGGCTAAGTAAAGATTATTTTCAGTCTTGATCTATGATAATCCTCTGCTTAATTTGAAACTGGTGACTCCTTTCCAAGTGGAATACTTCTCTCCATCGGCTCCCATAGAACAGCATATATTTTTTGACCAACTACTACATTCCTGTTGTAATCTCCTCCTTTCCATCCGTACCATAAAACTCAGTGGTTCTTTGAGGTTCTGTTATGAGCCCTGTTCTGATACTTTTCTATGCATTCTCTCTATTAGTTTTCTATCCATTCTCTCTATGAAACTAACCTACTCCAACTGCTTTTCTTCAGATGACATGTATATGCAGGTGATGGCTCACATATTTTCAAGCTGAACCTGGTTCCTGAGCATGTGTATTCAATTTATCATTAAACATCTTCACTAAAAACATCTTATTATCACTTCAAACCTACTTATCCCAAACCAAACCCATTGTCTTCCTATCCTTCACCCCATAGTCCTCCATTATTCTCTATCTTAATGACATCACTGTCCTCCCAAATCCTTGAAAGTCTTCCTTGATTTCTTTATTCTGTCCTCCCACATGCAACCAATACTTCTATTAATTATTTATTCTCCAATATGTCCTCTTCTTTCCTTTCTCACTTATTCAAAGTCATGATTCAGGCCACATATTCTCTCCCGGATTTTACATTCACCTCTTCAATGGGTAGTAGTTTTGCCCTTTCAATTTATTTATCCAAATACATATTAAGTAATCTTTCTAAAACGTGATCATTTCCCTTGCTTTAAACATGACATCAACTCTGTTTGTTATCTCTGACATGGTGTTAGAGGACTTTCATGATTTGGCCCCTGCTTATAGCAACATCTTCATCTGTTGCTCCTCTCTCTCCTACTCTAGGTCCAGCTAAAGGGAAAAGTTTGAAGTCTCATTAACAGGTATACTCTCTTTGGCTTCCTGGACTTTGTATATGATCTTTTTCTCTAATTGAAACAGCCATTATTCCATTTATCCCCATGGCTAATTCTTACTGAATTTTGAGTTTTGGGCTTGAAGTGTAACTCCTCTAGGAACCTAGATTGCTTCTCTTAATGCCCCTCATGGAATCCAGGAAGTGCTGTAGAATCTTATTATTATCTCTGTTAGCCACTATCACACCATTTGGAAATTGCCTTTTTATTCATTTTTCTTCCTACTGTAAACTTGTGGAGGGCCAGCACTCTTTCTTCTTCGTGGTGGTAATTCCAACACCAAAATATTCTGTAACATACTATGGGTATAATAAATGTTTGTTACATAATATAGGTACTGTGATTCATTATTACAAAACTAAACCCAGCAATTCATGTTAACACAGATGAAACTTATATGAACTGTTAAAACAAAAACTTCAGCCAAATTAAATTTAAAAGAGTTTAGTTGAGCAATGAACGATTTGCAAATCAGACAGCCTCCTGAGCCAGAGTAGGTTCAGGGAGACTCCAGCACAGCCATGTGGTGGAAGAAGATTTATGGGCAGAAAAAGGAAAGTGGCATACAGAAAACAGAAGTGAGGTACAGAAACAGCTGGATTGGCTACAGCTCAGCGTTTGATTAGTTCGAACATTTGGTTGGCCAAAACTCGGTGATTGGCTAAGTGTAGGCTACAGCCTGTTTACACTGCCACTTGTTACAGTTCATGATGTACAGAAAAACCTTTAGGGTGAACTTAAAATACGTAAGGAGGCAGCTTTAGGCTAAACTTGATTTGACAGAATATTAGAGGAAAGACTTTGCATCCTTGGGGCCTAGGTAAGGCTGTGCCAGGGAGTATAGATATGAGAGCAAAGTATGAGATAGACTTCAGTCCCTATTCCTTACCTCTCCCCATGGGTAGAGTGTGGGGAATAGCTCAGGGCACAAATGGTACAACAAACCACATGTTTTAGACCTTCTAATTTTGTCTAGAACTAGTTGAACTCATGAAGATATCAGTGCACAGCTGGCATAAAATGCACATTTAATGAGATGATAGAGCAACTAAGGTTAGCTAAAGGATCAGCCTAATTTTGAAACTGGCGGTGAGTAGGTTCGTTATACATTTTACTTATTTTTGAAGTGATCTGAGTTACTTTTATTGTCATTTCAGGTTACCTTTGGTGTTTCTTCTATCAGATTCTACTAATAAGAAATAATCTGAACTTTAACTCAACTAAGATCTATATAACCAATAATCTCATTTATTTTAAAATGTTACTGCCCCATCAATATTCCTGTTGATGGAATGTATCTTCTACCTTCCTAGTATTATTGAGTGTTAGAAACCCTGTGAATGAGGAGGTATTAAAACAAAATAGGCCAGGTGTGGTGGCTCACGCCTGTAATCCCAGCACTTTCGGAGGCCAAGGTGGGCCGATCACGAGGTCAGGTGTTCGAGACCAGCCTGGCCAATATGGTGAAACCCAGTCTTTACTAAAAATACAAAATTAGCCAGGCATGGTGGTGCATGCCTGTAATCTCAGCTACTCGGGAGGCTGAGGCAGGAGAATTGCTTGAATCCAGGAGGGGGAGGTTGCAGTGAGCCAAGAAACAATAACCAAAACATCTTTACAACATTTTTGAAACAATGTCATTGCGTTAGTTTCCAAGGACTATTTAACAATGTTCCACAAACTGGATGTCTTAAAACAACATAATTTACTCTCTCACAGTTTGGAGGCCAGAAGTCCAAAATCAACTGTCAGTAGGCCATGTGAGGGGACAAAATTCTCTTGCCTCTTCCAGCTTCTGGAAGTTGCTGGTAATTCTTTGCTCATGGGCTGCATAACTCTCATCTCTGCCTCCTTCATTACATGAACTTCTTTCCTCTGTCTGAGTCTGTGCCTTCACATGATCTTTTATAAGGACACCAGTCATTGGACTTACAGCACACCCTAATTCAGTATGACCTTACCTTAACTTGATTAGTTCTGCAAAGACTCTGTTTCCAAATAAGTTCAGTTTCACAAATATGAGGCAGGGTTAAGGATTTAAACATATCCTTTTGGAGAACGCAAGTTAACCCACAACAACCACAGGTACTAGAGTGTACTCTATCAATCTACACTATTCACTCTGCAATCATACTCCTCCTTCTAAAAATAAAATATTTGTATTGGAGGACAATGGGTCTGGAAAAGTATGATTCTTTTACTCCACAATGTGCTTTGCTTCATTTCTCAGCAAACTTCCCCACTTATAATGTTATGTATACATAAAAAATAATCTCTTTTCTCTCTGAGTAATCTCTCCTCAATCCCCTTTTCAGCTTCCCATCACGGCTTTTCTCTCTTTCATAATTTCCAGTCTCCTTTTTCGTTAGAACCTGAAATATGTTGTTGTTTTCACTCATTGTTTCCAGTTTCTTTTAAACCAATTTTTGTCAGGTTTTTGTCCCCTACAACTGTAATTGGTGGTCTTGTCTCAAGGTCATGAATGACCTTTATTTTGTTATTTCCAGTAGTGAATTCTCTATACTCAATGTCTACTTCCCCTTAGAAGGATTCGTCATAATTAATTGCATGTCTTGTTTTCTCTCCTACCTCAATGGGCACTCTTTAAAATCTCTTTTCCTGTTTTATTCCTTGCCTTTAATGTTAGAGGGTTTAGACACTGGTCTTTTTCCCTCTCTATCTACTTCACTCACATGGTGGGTTTTTTCCTTCAGATTTATGGCTTTAAATACCAGTTACATGCTAATAACTCTCAAATGTGTATAACCAAATTAGACATCTCTTCTGAACCCTAGACTTGTTTATTCAACTGATATTTTCATTTGAATATGTGTTAAATATCTCAAGCACAGTATTTCTGAACTCTCAGGTTGCGCCTATTCTTCTCTCTCACTTCCCTCTCCTTAAAATAAGAATCCACAAATCAGCCTGCTCTCACTGCATTTATCCAGGGTCTAGTTTATGGCAAGTTTTTACAAGTGGTCAAGTCAAAGTATTCTGAGTCAGTGGAGACTCTTCTATTTCTCTCACAACACACATACTGTCTGGTAGGCAACGCTGTTTAATTTACATTCAAAGCATATCTCAAATCTGACCCTGTCTTTCCTTGCTATCACCCTGGTTGGGCCATCAGTGTTTCTCTCCCAGAGTACTTCAGTAGCCTCCTAACTGAAGCCCCTTGCTTCTTACGCCTTAGTTTGTTCACAGCACAGCATGCAGAGTTATCATTTAAAAGCAAATATAACCATCTCACTCCTCTGCACAAAACCCTCAAAGTTTTATTTGTTTTACTGAGAGTAAAATCCAAGGACTTTACAATGGCAGACAAGGTGGTAGCTGATCCTGGCTTCTTACCTTCCTGTTATCCTGTTCTCATCTCATATTTTTCTTTGCTTTGCTAGTTCGGCTGTAGCTGCACCTGTCTCTTTGCTGCCTTAGGGTTTTTGTATTAGCTATTCCTGATAGGAGTTGCTCAGGCCCACACTTCCTTCAATCCTTTGCTCATAATTCACCTTTTCAAGTAGATGTACACCTTATTTAAAATACGCACCATTCCGCATTCCCTGTCCCCTTCATCCTGATCTTTTAATATTTTTCCATATCATCTCTCCTTCCAATATGATTTATTATTTATTAAATTATGGTCTTGATTTAATAGTATCTGGTGGAAGGGTAGTTCCATGAGAAAGAAATCTGTTTTAATTACTTGTGTACTCCAAGTACCTAAATTAGTGTCTAGCACATAATAGGTGCTCAAGTTCATATTTTTTCAATGAACGAATAAATAAATGATAATGTAGTTTAGTAGTAGTTTCACAGTATATGCATGGAATAATGATATTTATTCATTTTACATTTACTAATGAATAAGATTTCAGAGAACAAATGTCATCACAATAATCTGCACCACTATTGTTTGTAGGGTTTTTCTATGTGCCTAGAGATTCTACATAATTCAATCCTACATAATTCAATTTGGTCCTACATAATTCAATTTGATATTCTTCCATATTAAAGACATCTATAAGTAAGACAACTGAGGCTTTGCAAGATTAAGTGACATTATCATGTCTAAACAGCATGTACAGAGTCAACAACAGCTCTGTGTAGACTGAAATTCCACTTTAACCATTCTGCTCTATTTCCACTTTCATAAACACTCAGGGAGCAGGAAGGAAAATTCTCTTTTTCCTGAAACACATATGCACTCTCATATGTTGCTGACAGGCATTTATATGTGCACAGGCAGCTGCTGCTCATCCAGCCCTGAATTTCTTAGTCCAGAATTGCTAAAACTATCACTGATATTGTTATTGCTGTTTTTTCTATTGTCATCGGCTTCTTTTTTAAAGCAATCTGTGACACATTGAGAGATGCTTCTAGGAAATAGCTTTGCAACTCAAGAATCGCACTTCAGAACTAAGTAATTTAATATTTCACAGAGAAATGTACTGAATGCATCAATTTCCTCAGGGCTTTGGTTGGACTTACAAAAGTGACAATGTGCTACTCTGTAATAGATCTTAAGCTTTCTTTACAATAGGAGTTTTATGGAGGTGGCCAAGAAATCATTGTGACATTCACCTAAATAGGGATTCACTAACTGTGCCTTATTTATCTGTTGCCTTTTTGGCTTTTTTAATCACTTGCTTTATTGTTACTTGCAGCTGGCTTTGTTAACTAAATAATTTTCTTTTCTATACGTTGGGATGGTATTACTTTCTGAAATAAATAATTTCCTTTCCCATAAATGGCTACAGTCATACTTCTTATGACTTTGGACTCTGATTCAGTTTCACATTCCATTAACAAACTTTATTTTAGATGTGTCTACATGGCTTCAAATTCTTGGATAGAAAAGAAAAGCCTAGTATTAATCTAATACAATACCATATACCAAACACAATAAAAAATAGGTAGAAATTCCCTGCAGCAAGACCAGAATTAATAAGAAAGATTGAAGAAATGATAACATCAATATGATTTTATTTCAAATGTTTATATTTTGAACTCCTCAAATTAAAAAATCATTTTAGATGATGACATATGCTAATTATACCTTTCAACAATAAAGAGAAAATGATAGCTCAGTTTGAGCATTTACCTGTTTGAAGGATATTGCATAAGGAATGAAGGTTGGATAAATACACAACTACTTTCCATAGTGGAACTGTTTACCAATGATTTATTATGATGGTGATTGAGAAATCTTTATATTAAGTTTAATTATCCAAATCTGAATCTGAATGTATGTGCCAGTGTCAAATGAAAGGCAAGAACTGAGGTTGAAAACATAGATAAATGATATTTTTTCTCAGGTGAAACCAAAGTTTGGAAGTTGTTAAAATATTTTTATCAATTAAGGTTCACATATGAAGAGCTGTGATTTTTTATAAATAAAATTATATTACTTTAAAAAATTTATAATGAGAGTTCTCTTACTGCCCAGGAAACTTGAGTCTCTTAGGCATACAATGTTTGGGCTCTGATATCTGAAGACATTGGAGATAGACTTAATTTATACATGCATAATTTATTCTTTAATTAAGGATTCTGTTATTTGGAATAAAGTTGTATGGTTGGTAAAGAGTAATTTGTGTGGAATACCTGTATCTGTCTATTGACTCATATCTCACATGCAACAATAAAATAAGAAATTAAACACTAAAATTATACATATTTATAGAACAAACTGAAAACTGTAGATCCCTACATATTTGTTATCTTCCTCACCCCCAAAACTTCCCCACATAAATAAGTAGTTTTCAATGAATATAACTATTTTATTTACTAGGATTTTCCAATTATTTATTATACCAGTAAACGTAAGGATTGCTGAATGTGGAAATATTTGATTCTTATGCTGAAGCTACACACACCTGTATTCCTGTAAGTCTTAAGGCTTCAGTCTAGTTATTCTGTAGTAAAAAAAAAAATGGTTAAGATAACATTTCTGGATATTTTAAACCCAGAGATCAATGTAAAAACTTATGATAGTTTTAAATAGAAATTTTGTTAAAGTAAACACAAAGTTATTAATTGGGTGAAACGTAGTTTGAAAAGTTGGGTTGTGATCACTACTAAGGAAAGAAAGAAGGCAGGTGAGTTAGCATAATCTTCTTGTAAACATCTTAATAACTGAACCTTGTAGTAGTAGACAAATGATACTTGCTAGAAGGCTAGTGCTTATCTCTGGAATGCTTTTAGCAGGATGTTTCTGATTTGCTTGTGGTAAAGAATGCATATTGTAAGAATTTTTGAGTCACAGTTTCTTAGAAAAGGTCATATAAATCAGCAGTCCCCAGCCTTTTTGGCATCAGGGACTGGTTTTGTGAAAGAAAATTTTGCCGAGGACCAGAATGTGGGGGATGGTTTCAGGATGATCAAGTGCATTACATTTATCATTAGAGTCCCATAAGGAGTGCACAACCTAGATCCCTTGCATGCACAGTTCACAATAGTGTTCGTGCTCCTATGAGAACCTAATGCCATTGCTGATCTGGCAGGAGGTGGAGCTCAGGCAGTAATGCTGGCCCGCCTCACACCTCCCGTGGTGAGGCCCAGTTCCTAACAGGCCATGGATGAGTACTGGGGGTTGTGGACCCCTGATATAAGCCATAGAACTATCTGTGACTATAAAATTGAGATGCTTCATAAGCTAAAGTCTCCCCACTGTTGGAGGTGTCCTGTAAACCTCACAGGAAACCTCTTATATTACTCTGGACCAGAGAGGAATTGCCAACGCTGACCAAAAAGTCATGGAGAGCCACACAAAATGCTCCTGATCCCTCCCTAATTGACTCATGCATCTTGATTGCTTATATCTTTGAAATTACCAGTAATAATTGCTCCTGAGTAAGAACTGTGATTTGTGTGAGTCTGACATTCAGCAATGTGGTACTAAACATTAGATAATTTATCTTCAGCATCCATTTCTTCATTTAGTACTAGTTCATGTTTTCTATTGCAGATACATGGTATTTTTAAATACAATGCTGAAGTCATAAGAATTCCAAGAAAAAATAATGTAATACAAGTCTTTAATAGACCTAGTGCCTTCTGTTCTTACTATATATTTAGGTATCCAATGTATCATAATAGAAAATGTTTCTTGGGTAGAAATGAGACACTTCATAAAGGGGTTTAAGGTCCACACAAAATTAGTACGTTATTTTGATGATCATTTAATATTTAACAATAGAATAGTGATTTGAATAAGCTAAAAGTCTGAGAAATTTGTTCCTAATAATACCATTACAGCTTATTTTTAGATATTTTAATTGCATTTTCTATCTGCCTAATTTTGTATCTTCAAAGCGTCTAAAAGGAATTGAAACCCCAAAATTTTAATTTCCAACTCATTAAACATTTTGGTACATTCTCTTACAGGTTTTGGCTAGTTTATTTGTTGGAGCCAAGGCTAACCAGAGGGATATAGGCACCTACATGACAAATAAAGAGAGAGATTTTCAACTCTTTTTCAAAATTCCAGTGAACTCTACAACCCAAGGAAGAAAGAGAAAGGCCCAAGAAATACAACTTCAGTTTACCCCCAAAGAGGAAATATTTAACTACAGACTGTATATTAGTCTGTTTTCATGCTGCTGATAAAGATATACCTGAGACTGGGAAGAAAAACAGGTTTATTTGGACTTATAATTCCAATGGCTGGGGAAGCTTCAGAATCATGGCGGGAGGTGAAAAGCACGTCTTACATGGTGGCAGCAAGGGAAAAATGAGGAGGAAGCAAAAGCAGAAACCCCTGATAAACCCATCAGATCTTGTGAGACTTATTCACTATCGCAAGATTACCACAGGAAAGACTGGCTTCCATGATTCAATTACCTCCCACTAGTTCCCTCCCACAACACTTGGGAATTCTGAGAGATACAATTCAAGTTGAGATTTGGGTGGGGACACAGAGCCAAATAATATCATTTTGCCCCTGGCCCCTCCAAATCTCATGTCCTTACATTTCAGAACCAACCAGGCCCCCAACAGTCCCCCAAAGTCTTAACTCTGTTTCAGAATTAACCCAAAAGTCCACAGTACAAAGTCTCATCTGAGACAAGTCAAGTCCCTTCTGCCTATGAACCTGTAAAATGGAAAGCAAGCTAGTTACTTTCTAGATACAATGGGGGTACAGGTATTGGGTAAATACAGCCATTCCAATGAGAGAAATTGGCCAAAACAAAGGAGTTACAGGGCCCATGCAAGTCTGAAATCCAGCAGGGCAGTCAAATTTTAAAACTCCAAAATGATCTTTGACTCCATGTCTCACATCCAGGTCACGCTGATACCAAAGGTCGGTTCCCATGGTCTTGGGCAGCTCTGCCCCTGTGGCTTGCAGGATACAGCCTCCTTCCTGGCTGCTTTCACAGGCTGGCCTTGAGTGTCTGTGGCTTTTCCAGGTGCATAATGCAACCTGCCAGTGGATCTACCATCCTGGGGTCTGGAGGATGGTGGCCCTCTTCCCACAGCCCCAGTAGGCAGTGCCCCAGTAGGGACTCTGTGTGTGTGTGGGGGTCCCATCCCACATTTCCCTTCCACACTGCCCTAGCAGAGGTTCCCCATGAGGGCCCCACTCCTGCAGCAACTTTTGTCTGGGCATCTGGGAGTTTCCATACATCCTCTGAAATCTAGATGGAGGTTCCCAAACCTCAATTCTTAACTTCTGTGCACCCACAGGCCAAACACCACATAGAAGCTGTCAAGGCTTAGGGCTTCCATCCTCTGAAGCAACACCCAAGCTCTATGTTGGCCCCTTTCAGCCATGACTGGAGCAGCTGGGACACAGGGCATCAAGTCCCTAGGGTGCACACAGCATGAGGACCCCAGGCCTGGCCCATGAAACCACTTTTTCCTCCCGGACCTTTGGGCCTGTGATGGGAGGGGCTGCTGTGAAGGTCTCTGGCATGGCCTGGAGACTTTTGCCCTATGGTCTGGTGGATTAACATTAGGCTCCTTGCCACTTATGCAAATTTCTGCAGCTGGCTTGAATTTCTCTTCAAAAAATGGGTTTTTCTTTTCTGCTGCATCATCAGCCTGAAAATTTTCTGAACTTTTATGCTCTGTTTTCTTTCAAAAACAGCATGCTTTTAACAGCACCCAAGTCATCTTTCCAATGCTTTGCTGCTTAGAAATTTCTTCTGCCAGATACCCAAAATAATCTCTCTCAAGTTCGAAGTTCCACAAATCTCTAGGGCGGAGCAAAATGCTGCCAGTTTCTTTGCTAAAACATAAGGGTCACCTTTGCACCAGTTCCCAACAAGTTTCTCATCTCCACCTGAAACCACCTCCGCCTGGACCTTATTGTTCATATTACTATCAGCATTTTTGTCAAATCCATTCAACAAGTCTTTAGGAGGTTCCAAACTTTCCCACATTTTCCTGTCTTTTTCTAAGCCCTCCAAACTGTTCCAACCTCTGCCTGTTACCCAGTTCCAAAGTCACTTCCACATTTTCAGGTATCTTTTCAGCAATGCCCCACACTACTGGTACCAATTTACTGTATTCATTCATTTTCATGCTGCTGATAAAGACCTACCTGATGGTTGGTGAGGCCTCAAAATCAAGGTGGGAAGTGAAAAGCACTTCTTACATGGAGGCAGCAAGAGAAAAATGAGGAAGAAGCAAAAGTAGAAACTCCTGATAAACCCATCAGATCTCATGAGACTTATTCACTATCACAAGAATAGCATGGGAAAGACCTGCCACCATGATTCAATTACCTCCCCCTGGGTCCCTCACACAACATGTGGGAATCCTGGGAGATACAATTCAAGTGGAGATTTGTTTGGGGACACAGCCAAACCATATCAGACTGTATATACTAAACATGAAATTAATGGGAATGAAATTTCATGCAGTGTAGACAGTAAGAAATAGGAGTTGGGAGGGAGCATTAAAGAATACTATTCTCACAGCTAGAATTCTAACGAGTCCGATCCCTCTAATCTGTAATTTACTTTATTGAACTCTGTTGATTAGAAGACAAGTCTTTTGAACTCAGGGTCTGAGAGTATGGACTCAAAACTGTAATCTAATTCCTTCACTGGGTAAGACATTAAGTTGGAAAAACTTACGTTCTTTACAACTGCTAGAAACTCATCTAGTAGTCATTAATATAATTTCTGTTATCATTACACACACTAGCTTATTGTTATACTAATAAACACTGATAAGATGCAGACTAGCTTCTAGCTGATATAACAAGAATGTATTAATCAGATATATGATTTATTTTACTAAACTGACTTTTTGTATTATAATTGCTAGAGGGATTTCTTGGCAAAATGTCTCATATGCGAATTTAAAGACTGAATGAAATCAGACTTGTGCTTTATAAAAATGGGAAGAGGACATGAAATTTGGAAGAAATACAAGTAAATTAATTTTACCAAAAAATTTAAAGGAATAAACAGAAATATTTTATTCTATAAATTACCAACATGATGACCAGTGCTATGGTATGAATGTTTGTGTCCCTTCCAAAATTCACACTGAAACTTAACCCCCAATGCAACAGTATTAAGAGGTAGTACATTTAAAAAGTCACTAGCCCATAAGGGCTCCGCTTTCATGGATGAGATTAGCAACCTTATAAAAGGGCTGGAATTAGCTAGCTAGGTCCTTTGCTTTTCTACCCCATTTGCCCTTCATTCTCTTCTGTCATGTAAGGACACAGCATTTATCCCCTCCAGAGGACACAGCATTCAAGGTGCTATATTGGAAACAGAGAATAGGCACAAACCTATTGTGTTGGGCACAAACCCAACTTGTATAACTGTGAACAATGAATTTATAAATTACCCACTCTCAGGCATTTTGTTATAGCAGAATTAATGGACTAAGACAGCCAGGGACTAAACAAATCTAGACAAATATTCGTAACTGTACTAAATAATAGCATACGCAGTTATGGACTTTAAAGGGAAAATCCAAATGTTAACTGCAACAAAAATTTTAAAAAATCTATGCAAGAAATGTAACAATAACAAACATTATGGGCACTATAAAGATAAAAGAACAAATTTTTTCCAGTGATATAATGAACACTTGTTAGGGAAATAGCTCTTGGATGGAAATTTTGATTATTCTGAAGATTTTAGATCTTCTTCAATTAATCCATATTTAATATATTTCCAACCATAAGCCCAATAAAAGTTTGTGGTGGCTTAATAAAGACATAGATAGTAAAGTTAATGTGGAAGTATAAATATTTTAGATGTGTTGAGGGGCATTTATGCTACTAAATATTAAAATGTATTTATAAAGTTACAATAACTTAAAGAGTATAATAAAGACTAAAAATTGACCAAAAATCAATGGACTAAAAATATCAATGTCTGAGACCCACACACACGAACAAATATATTTTCATTGAGTATATGATGATGAAGGTGGCCATCATATCAGTGGAGAAAAAGGAGTTAGTTGGTAATTGAAGCTTGGAATTATAATAAATATATATTTTTAAAATCACATTAGGTCCATATCTCACCACACATGCAGCTATAAACTGCAAAAGCATTAAAACCGAAATGTAAAATTTGGAGACACGGAATTTCTAATCTAAAATATTGATGACTATTTTGTCGTCTTGGAACATGAGAGGACTTTCCAAGAATAAAAGCAGTGAAAGAAAGCACAAATAACAACGATCACAGCAAAAGAGGTAACTTCAACTTAAAATTTTTAAAAATAATTTCATCAGTATGCATAAATAAGCTAGAAGGTCAAACATCAAAGCTAGGAAAAAATATCTGCTCAAATAAATCAAGGAAAAGTTTAAAATTCTTTCTAAATAAAATGTAATTACAGTGCAATAAGAAAGGCGTTACATCCCCAATAGAAAAATGGTGAAAACATACAATATATTCATAGAAAGGGAAGTGCTACTTTCTGTTTATAAAAAATGGCAATATGTGCACATTTTTAAAAATAAACTTTTTATATTTTTCTTAAATTTCTTTAATGAGAATGAACATTATCAGTGTAAAAATTATGAATTATAAATAAAATATAAAATTGATGTTAATTTTGAATTATTTCACTTTGACTCAGTAAAATACATTGCTTTCTTTATCCTTGATATTCACATTGTTTTCTTTTTGAAGCTTATAAACCAATAAAATTCATTTGGCATGTTTTTCCTGTCAGCAGTATGTTTTACTTTAGAAAACAAACAAATACATTCTTTGTAGCTGTAATAAGCTTTAAAAAATTGCAAAATGGCACTAGTAAGAACTTTGATGGAAATTTTTATCTCAATCAGCACAAGCTTGCCCTATCTTTAATTGATTTGATAAAATCAGTATATCCAAATCATGTTTGCATATTTATATACTATGCTTGAAAACTTTAAATGTATGTAAAGTTTATAATGCTAATTAGTTATACACACTTGTTACAGAGACAGGTATTAGTCGAGAGTCTGGCTCCTCTTTAGGACACTACATTAATATTCTTAACTATTTTGCAGGGTGAAAATAACTATGGATTTATATGAAGTGTACATGTAAAAAGTACAAGTACAGTTTAATCTGCAACGTCTCTACACTGCCTGCAACATATATGACCCTCTACCTTTCAAAATACAAATAAGTCATAAGTATATATGTTTTCTCTCCAAGAAAATACTAAGTTGACATAGAAACCTTCATAATTATTCTTCTCCTTTGTATTACGTGTAGCATTGGTGACCTTCCTAATGATTAACCTCCAGTATACGTGATTTATGAGGTACAATTTCTCTAGTTAACAGATGAAAATAATAACATGAAAGTTATTTTATAATAAGTTCGGAAGTAACACAATTTGTTCTAAGTCACAAGACTCCTGGGTAGTAGAGCTAAAACTCAAGCCTCCTTATTCTTAGTTTGGTGTTTGAGTCTGTCTTAGTCTATTCAGGCTGCTATAACTAGATAACATCAGCCAAGTAGCTTACAAAAAAAAAAAAAAAAAAAAAAAGAAATGTATTTCTCATAATTCTGGAAGCTGAGAAGTCCAAGATCAAGGCGCTGGCAGATTTGGTATCTACTGAGGCCCTGCTTCCTCAGAGATGGTGCCTTCTAGCTATGTCCTTACCTGCTGAAAAGAAAACGAGTAATTCTCTTGGGCCTCTTTTATAAAGACACTAATCCCATCCCTGAGGGCGCCAAACTTATGCCCTGATCCCGCTATTTCCCTACTCCACCAAAGGCCCATTTCCTGATACCATCACCTTGGCAGTTAGGATCTTATGTTATAAACTTTGGGGAAACAAAAACATTCAGACGATAGCAGAGTCTTTAGCCAATTTTAAATGAAAGTTATTGGTTAATAATCTTGTCACTCAATGTTGGCCTTGATAGAAGGAAACTTAGAAAGACTGAACATTACTGAACTGCAAATTGTTATTTTTTTCATTTTTCTTGAGTATGCTTATGATATAGTTTGATTTTGTGTCCCCAGCCAAATCTCATCTGGAATTGTAATCCCCTCATGTTGAGGGAGGGACATGCAATCGCCACCTGTGGAGGGAAGGGGGTGATTGGATCATGGGGTCAGTGTCCTCCATGCTGTTCTCATGATAGTGAGTGAATTCTCACGAGATCTGATGGTTTTTAAAGTGGCAGTTTCTTCCTGTCTTCTCACTTCTCTCTCTTGCCACCTTATGAAGAAGGTGCCTGCTTTCCCTTTGCCATCTGCCACAATTTTAAGTTTCCTGAGGCCTCCCCAGACATGTAGAACTGTGAATCAATTAAACCTCTTTTCTTTATAAATACTAGGTCTCAAGTAATATCTTTATGGCATGTGAAAATGAACTAATACAGCTAACATACTGACAAATGTTGTCATCAAGATTCTGTGGGGTACACCCAGAAGTCTTTCTATAGGTTTTTATTTATATGTGAGGGGAAAATATTTCTCACATTATTTATACTTTTAAGGAGTTTTTGTTGCATACCTACTGTTAGTGTGGCACTGTTTAGGCACAAACGATGGTGACGAACAATTCTCTATATTCTTAGATGTTAAATGTTGTCACCCATTCAGGCTTTAAGCAAAGAGTCACATACGAAATATTGACTGTAATTATTACCAGTGATATTGAGGAGAAATACAGGATGTTATAAGAACATGTAATGAAAAGACTAGGTTCGTTTTATGATAAAAACTGAAAGTTGGTTGGATGTAGTCTAAAACAATGGGGTTTGGAGCTGGGGATGGTGTGCAAGAGATGGAATATTCTATGCTGAAGAAACATGTATAAAGTCCCTAAGATGGAGTTTAAGTCACTGGAGAACAGTGACTTAAAGAAGCTGAGAAGCCAGCATGGCTTGGAATAATGAACGAGGGGAAATTTATGACAAAATAATGCAAGAGTTGTAGTCAAGGACAATGTCACTTCACTAATTATACCCTTTGATATGGGCAGAAAAAAATTTGAATAAAATTCAACCATTTGTTCAATGTAAGGGTTAGGCTGAATTATTCCATGACCTGGCAGGGCACAAAGTTGACAGTTACTATGAAAGTATTCTAAATGCACACCAAGTTCGTCGGGGATCATCTAGTTCTAAGTCAGATAGTGATTATAGGACATTTAAGAAACAAGGGCTCTGCCACAGTCAACAGGTAAGAGAAGAATGTGCTGGATGTCTCGCTCTTGCTTTATTGCAAATGACCTTGAACTTTAGCAGTGACCAGACTTTGGATATTCCCATAGATTTGTGTCAATCTCAAATTACCTGGAGATTATAAAAAAATCGGCTGGGCACCGTAGCTCACGCCTGTAATCCTAGCACTTTGGGAGGCTGAGGTGAGAGGATCACCTGAGGTCAGGAGTTCGAGACCAGCCTGACCAGCATGGAGAAACCCTGTCTCTACTAAAAATACAAAATTAGCCCAGCATGGTGGCGCATGCCTGTAATCCCAGCTACTCGGGAGGCTGAGGCAGGAGAATCACTTCAACCCGGGAGGTAGAGGTTGTGGTGAGATTGCGTCGTTGCACTCTAGCCTGGGCAACAAGAATGAAACTCCATCTCAAAAAAAAAAAAAAAAAAAATTCTATACTTACTTTGTGTGCCTGGTATTTAAAATCCTCTTCCTGGTGTTATGGCTCTTACCTCACTTGTTAGGTTATGAATTCCTTTCCTCCACACCCTAGTTTAGGGTTGAAAAATAAATAGGAATCTCAGAGCAGTGCTTAATTCGAAGGACTCTGTTCAATAATTCTGAATTACTTGTTGTACATTGGCCATGCACTAGAATTTCACCCTGTCATATAGATGTTTTCTCTTGGACATCTAATTCCCCAGATACTCAATGTAGATCACAAAAGTGAAACATTTATTATTTGAAAGGTTTGAAAGGAGAATGGCAGTGAGAAATGTTTGTCAGCTCTTTTAAAGCTGTGAGAAATAGCAGTTGCTATTTCCCCCACTTGACTCTTTGTGTCATATGTAATATGTGCAAGATATGTAATCTTGTAGCTTTTGTCTTCACTTCATTCCTCAGTTCCCTTGGGTCTTCCTCTTATAACACACAAGACCAATAGTTTCCAAGTCATTTAATATTTTAAAGGAAATTAATATTTTAGTTAGTGATAGATCAAACTACTAAATTGAATCTTGGCTTTTAGACTGATGGATTGAATAAATGTCCAGAGGAACAGTAACCAGAGTTATTGCTCTCTTGGAAAACAAAACAAAATGAAACAGGTAGAAGCTTCTATGTAAGTTGAATCCCTGGGTATGATCTCTGTCACGCAGGCTAGAGTGCCGTGCCAAAATCATGGCTCCTTGTATCCTTGAATATCTGGGCTCAAGCAAGCCTCCTGCCTCAGCCTCCTGCATAACTAGGAGTACAGGTGCATGCCACCATGCCTGGTTAATTTAAAAAACAATTTTTAATATAGATATGGCATCTTGCTATGTTGCACCAGCTCCTCTCAAACTCAGCCTCAAGCAATTTTGCAGCCTCAGCTTCCCAAACTGCTGGGATTAAAGGCATGAGCCACCACACCACACCCTCATTTTCCTTTTTAAAAGGATCATTTATAACCATTCTTTTCCATGATAATATGTTTATTTGGAAAAGGAATCCATTTGTTTCTATGATTATTCTTTTGTGATAATCAGGGACATTTGTGAGATGGTGTTAACTGTACTCAAGACAGGTGTTATTTGTAGACACTTTCTTAACATATCTTGTATCTTAATTACTTCTTTTCTTTTCCAACTTCAGGCTACAAAAGAGTCAGTAAAGCTAGAGTGAACAACAACAACATCAATAAACTAGTGTTTTTCAGAAGATTGAATCAATTTCCTTGACATATTTCTATATATTTCTCCAATAACCACAATGTAATTGTTTTCTAAAAGGGAGTCAGTTCCGGTGGCTCTATTTGATCACTAATTTGTTCCTTTTATGGTTGTTTTTTTATTGTGTTTACATGTTGTTCTTTTTTTTTAAAATTTTCTTTTTCCTTTGTTTTGCAACTTGTTCATTTTTTTGATTCTGTCAACCACTGTTTTTAGTCTGTTTAGTTATTGGTGATTCTTCTTTTTAAAAATTTTAAGCTACTTTAAATATCATAATTACAACAGTGATGCCAGAAAATTTCTCTGTTTTTTAATGATTTATTTTATTCCCAACAGCTTTCTGTATAAGGTGATCACATGTGTCAGTTTGCCTGAAATAATTTCTGCTTATGCCTGTTTCCCTCAAAAGCATCCCAGTTTGGAAAAGTAGGGAGCTCACCAAACATCTGAAAGTTCTAGACTTTCAGACTTGGCTGTGATGTCTAAAGACACTATTAACAACTAAGACAATGTAACAAAGACCCCACTGCCACCACAACTGGGTAAATCCATTGTTCCTGACTTGCTGAAGCTGAGAATCAGACACTGTTGCTAGCACCTATTCTGCTGCAGTCACTAAAAGCCTGAGTGTCTTACTAAGCGCTCTTTTCAGAATGGTTTCCCTGCTATGCCTGTTTCATTATGCTTCTAATCCAACTCTCACTTCTGACTGACAGAGACTAGGGACAAGGAAGGCTGGGAAAGTGAGTTTTAACTACATGAAAGATGTTCAAGAGCCACATGAAAGGTGTTCAACAATCACAATAGTTTACCATTAGAATTACTCTACCTTCATGTTTGTTTTTATATGTAGACAAAAACGTATGAAGACAAACATGAATTTACCATAATAAAGAGTGTTTACTATCTATGAAGTTTAATTTCTTTAAAAGCAAGTTGGAAAACAGAAATAAACAAAAACCACTAAAAACTCAGTAATAAATAAAATAAGCAAAACTCAGAATTTGAGAACCCATAGAGCCCAGATCTAATTTAAAGATGTAGATTTAAATTTTGTATTACAAAGACTGCTATTCTTAGGAAAATTCAGAGAAAACCATGAACTATTCAATGGAGCTCCTTAGAGTAATTGATTATATCATGTACCTAAAAATTTCTAAAACTGCCCTTGCAAATTGTTCGTCATGAAAAGAAGGAGACCATTAAGACTGATACTATGAAGATTTTAAAGTAGACTTTCCCCTTAACTGTTGTTGACAAGTCTCACTGGCTTTTCTAATTATTTTTCCAGGTTGAATGGCTGGAGAAATTTTTTTTTCATTTAGCACTTTTTCTTTGTGAAACATGTAGATAATGAATAAAATATTAATAATATTAGCTAATGATTACTGAGACAGACACTGCCAGATGCCTACCCAATATCCATTTCTTCTTCTTTTCAGTATCAGAAGCTAATTATTATTTGAGATGGCTATCTACACATCTTTAAGAAATCCATGGCCGGGCGCAGTGGCTCAAGCCTGTAATCCCAGCACTTTGGGAGGCCGAGACGGGTGGATCACAGGGTCAGAACATCGAGACCATCCTGGCTAACATGGTGAAACCCCGTCTCTACTAAAAATACAAAAAATTAGCCAGGCATGGTGGCGGGCACCTGTAGTCCCAGCTACTCGGGAGGCTGAGGCAGGAGAATGGCATGAACCCGGGAGGCGGAGCTTGCAGTGAGGGGAGATTGCACCACTGCACTCCAGCGTGGGCGACAGAGTGAGACTCTGTCTCAAAAAAAATAAAAAATAAAAATAAATAAAAATAAATCCATTTCCCTGTCTCCCTTTCCATTAGGCTAGTCATGTGACACAGTCTTGACTTATGGGAAATAAGTGGAAGAGGGCTTTTATCCTTCATGCCCAACAGGTACTAAAGTAGAGCAGCTCTGACTTCTTGTTTCAAAATTAAATAAATTGCTCACTACAATACTTGAAATTTAGAGAGAAGCTGATGAGAAGATGAAGAAGCAAATATACAGATCTGAACTGCAGAGTCAAATAGTGTCTTATACTGTCTATATAGAAGGAAGTAATATTAAATGAGTAACATTTAGGAATCATAAAGGTTTGTCTAAGCTATTTTTGATTAATTAAATCTTACTTAAAGCTCAAGCTATAAACTAATTTACCTTGCTCAGTTAAAAATATGAATATCGTATTCAAAACATTTGTTCAAAGAATGAATATTGAAAAATGAAGCTAGCTGAGTGGTCTCTCATGCCTGTAATCCCAGCATTTTGGGAAGCCAAGGCAGGTGGATTGCTTGAGGTCGGGAGTTCAAGACCAGCCTGAGCAACATGGTGAAACCCCGTCTCTATTAAAAATACAAAAAAAAAAAAAAAAATTAGCTGGGCATGGTGGTGGGCACCTGTAATCCCAGCTATTCAAGAGTCCAAGGCAGGAGAATCCCTTGAACCCAGGCGGTGGAGGTTGCAGTGAGCCGAGATCGTACCACTGCACTCCAGTCTGGGCAACAGAGTGAGACTCCATCTCAAAAAAAAAAAAAAAAAAAGGAAAAAGTAAGTTAACATTGCACTATAAATTTTTGCATCTCCTTTATAACAAATATTGGCAACAACTATTTGAGATCTGCAAACAGTAATGGCTTGGGGAATTTGCCAGCAGTTCTCAATATCAATTGCAGCTTTAATCTGGCTTAAACCATGAATTATTTTTCAGGTTTCAGCAGCTTCTAAATTATTGCTCCATTAAGGTTGTAAAGTTAATCCCGCAGACATACTTTCACATCCAATAAATATGCTGTCCTGTGCATCATATAAGACATTACCAGAAGCATTTTCTATTGATACAGTAACAGAGAAAATACTTCATCAATATAAAGCAATATCTTCCTAACATCTCTGGAAAGTGTTTAGAAACAAAGAGAGCATATTGTTTATTGCTAGAATGCACTATCATGGTGCTATATAAATCATTTTCTCTCCAAACACAGTCAATATTCCTACAGAATAAAAATTGTTATTTTCTTAAGTAAATTTGAATAATTCTAGATCATAGATTTACATATACAAGCTAAGCTTATAAAATTTATGGATTAAACCTAACAGAAAATCCTTGAAATCTTGAGATAAACTAAGTTTTCTTAGTACAAAAAAAAAAAAAAAGTAAAAGCACTAACCTAGAAAGAAATAATAAAAATATATGGATGGGCTTCCAGTCTGTAGAAATGTGACTCCTGACAGCTGTCTTCTTGCACTGCACATGGCTGAAATATTTACCTCATGTGGAGAAACTTGGAAGACTCAAATGCACATCTTCCTGTTGATACTGACAGGAGACATGGAAATACTGAGTAGAAGAGGGTGGTTCCCCTTCAAAGGCCCCACCCTCAAGCCTGGAAACCCACAGCCTTAAATGGGAACAGGAATCCCTGTTTTCAAGCCCCAAAGTTGCCTTTTGGCCTGCCACGCCTCCCATCCTGTGCCCATATAAGCCCCAAACCCCAGGCTCCAGGAGGAGATGAAGAGAATGAGCAGAAGAATGGCAGGACGGCCTGGCAGAGAGAAGAGAAGGAGTGTCTGAACACGGAGAGGAATTCGGCTGGGGGCAGTCAGAGTGGAGATCCGCTGCTGGACAGCCAAACTCCAGGGGAAGATTATCTTACTACTCCATCCCCTTTCCAGATCCCCATCCATCCCACTGACAGCCACCTCCAGCACTCAATAAAACCCCCACATTCACCATCTTTCAAGTCTGTGTGCAACCTAATTCTTCTGTACGATGAACAAGGACCTGGGTACCAAACGGGAACTGCACTGAGCAGGTTAGCACTTAAGCGGTCTGCAGACCATTTGGCTTCAGGAGTTGCAGGCATCCACCCCTAGACGCTACTGTAGTGCCAGAGCCCAGAAAGCACTCACCATGGCTCCTGAACGTGTCCATCTGCGTGTTCCCACTCCTGTAAGGGGTTTGAGTGCACCTGGTGGCTGAACAGATGAGCCACACCCCTGTCGCATGTCCTGCGAGGCGGGTCAGGGAGGTCTCCCATTTCACTGATTCTGGACCCAGATCCAGTCAGCCTGTACCCGCATTCTCAGCTTACTCCTCTGTGTGCCTATTCCTCTTCAGAGCCGCAGAGGTGCTATCGTGTTTTTGAGCAGCGCTAATTCTTTTTATTCTTATTTTCTGATATCTTAGTGTTTGAAGTGAAAGAGGAAAAATAATGTATGAGCTTACAAAGCCATCTTGACTGGAAGTCTCAGCAGTGTTTTTAGACAAATTACATGACAAAATCCTAAATGAAACAGGAAGAGGGTGCATTCTTTTCTGTGGATAAAAGCACAAAAGTGGCCGGGCGTGGTGGCTCATGCCTGTAATCCCAGCACTTTGGGAGGCCGGCGCAGGCGGATCACCTGAGATCAGGAGTTCGAGACCAGTCTGGCCAACATGGTGAAACCTCATCTCTACTAAAAATACAAAAGTTAGCCAGTCGTGGAGGGCAGGCACCTGTAATCCCTGCTAATCTGGAGGCTGAGGCAGGAGAATCGCTTGAATCTGGGAGACGGAGGTTGCAGTAAGCCGAGATCATGCCATTGCACTCCAGCCTGGGCGACAGAGCAAGACTCTGTCTCAAATAAATAAATAAATAAATAAACCACAAAAGCTATTTGTGGAATAATGGCGTGGGTCGTAGAGGAGCCACAGAAGCAGTGATGTGAGAGCTGTAGTCCTTGGGCTGCTTAGAAATAGCTAGATCAAGGGGGACATGAGGAGGAGCAAAACCAAGTTGTCAGCTTTGTAAATTGGTCCTTGGCTGTCTTTGGCCTTTTGGTCATTTAAGGCACTTTGCATGACTCAGCACGTTGGATAACATCCCCATCAGCTGTCCTAACTTTGAATATACAAAATGAAAGCACAAATTATAAGGTAAAAACAAGCGGTAATAACCACCCCAAACTGGTGGATTCTTAACATCACTTTATACCAATCATTTTTAGTTACTCGAAAATTACATTTCTTAATTTTAAAATGTTTGACTTAGCCCAAAAGTAGAATTTCTTTCACACCGTTAACTTGTAATCGATGGAGTGATTTTTGAAAAAACATATACAAAATATACTTTCTCCCACTTCAACAAGTCAACATGCTGTTTCTGCACTCTGTCAGCCTGAAACCAGTAGAAAGAAAAAATCTGTAAGCTTTCCGTGATCATAGGTTTTGGAGAAGAATGCTTCTAAACAACTATGTTTTTGAAGTAGGCTAAAAATATTTCTACTTACTTACAATGAAATTTACATATCATGGTGAAGACAAATGTTACCAAATCACAAACTCACGCCTTTGTGTTTTTTAAAAAGCAGGTAATGAACCATATTTATACTTGGCAGGACTGAGAGCAAATTATACTCATTTGTTTCCCTTATCATTTTTATTCAAGCTAAAAATAATGATTAAAATGAGCTACGAAGGCAAGGTGGAAGGGAAAAGCTTTGCTAATGTTTGCGGTGTTCTAGAGTGTTCCTATGTATGTCTCAGTAGTGAAATTTTTCTTGTTGTTGGGGTGGTTCAATACCATTTCCAGAATACCTTTGTATAAATCTAGGTATGAATACTAGAAGCCCTTAAGATAAAAGGATTAAAAGTTTGTACTTAAACATCAAAGAAAACCTGATTTTGATATATCTGTCTCTCTCTCTCTCAACGTGTGTGTGTGTGTGTGTGTGTGTGTGTGTGTGTCTGTGTGGGTTTTGAGACAGAGTCTCGCTCTGTCGCCCAGGCTGAAGTGCAGTGGTGTGATCTCGGCTCACTGCAACCTCAGCCTCCGAGGCTCAAGCGATTCTCCTGCCTCAGCCTACCGAGTAGCTGGGATTACGGGAGTCTGCCACCATGCCTGGCAAATTTTTGTATTTTTAGTAGAGAGACAGGGTTTCACCATGTTGGCGAGGCTGGTCTCAAACTTCTGACCTCAGGTGATCCGCCCACCTCAGCTTCCCTAAGTGCTAGGATTATAGATGTGAGCCACCACACCTGGCCCTGTGTGTGTTTTTTTATGAAACATTGCATGGTGCTAAATATCCTCTTCCTTTGTTTTAACTTTTATAAGACAGGGCGTATACATTTCCTGTTGCTGAGGCAACAGACTACCACCAATTTAGTGGCTTAAAAACCACAAGTTTATTATCTTACATTTCTGGAAGTCAGAGGTCTAGTATGAGTCAGCCGGGCTACATTCCTTCTGGGAGCGCTAGGAGAGAATCAATTTCCTTGCTTTTTCCAGCTTCTAGGAACCACCCATGTTTCTTGGCTCATGCTCCCACATCTCTCCAAACTCTTTTTTTGCCATCACATCTTCTTCTCTCATTCTGACCATCAAGCCTCCCTACTATAAGGAATCCTGTGATTTCACTGGATCCACCCAGATAATCCAGGATAATCTTCCTATCTCAGTATTCTTAACTAATTATATTTACAATGTCTCTTTTGCCATAAGATATAATATCTTTACAGATTCCTGGCATTAGGACATGGACATCTTTGAGGGGTCATTTTTCTGTCACATAGAGGATTCAATATTATAAATTTTTGACTTTTTTAAAAAAACATAAAAATTATGTTTTTTTTGAGGAAACCAATGAAGTATAGATACATGTCAATAAAATAAAGGAAATTTAAAAATATCCTACAATTTGACTCTCTATAAATAATCACGATTGATGTATTTTAGGGTAGATAGATGCCCACAATTATCAAATTAATTAAAGCAAGATTATCAAGGTAGTCTTTCAATTTTTATACTTTATTATAATGCCTTTTGACTTAATAATGGATACATCTAACTTTTATGTTAATAAGTATTTGCCTCTAGGATTATTTTTACTAATGAAATAAGTTTCCCTTTGTATGTCTCTATACTTATTAATCCAGTGGACTAATGCTAAACTTTTGAGTTTGGCACATATTCATATAATTTTCTTAGGCTAAATATCTAAACAGAATTACTGGGACAAAGGTATGACATTCTATTACAAATTTATCTGTAGATATGTGTAACTAAATAATTATTTGCTATCCATATTTAAAGTAGCTACTTTCCCAAACCTTCCTGCATATTGGTAATATGATTTTATTTTGTCCTAAGCAATTTGTTAGGAAATTATCCCTCACTATGATTTTAACCTTGTCACAACATGACACAAATTTTAATAAGTAAAAAGTATCAAAAAATTCATAACAGTGACTTTGATGTCAATTGTCTAATTCCCTTGAATAGAAAAGAGAGAATGCAAATTCCATCCACCTATTATTTCATATATCTTCGTTCATACATTTACTTTTTAGTCATTACAGATTCCTCAGTACTGTTAAGAGGCAGGAGAATTGGCAATAAACCACACTGTGAAGGTCACTATTCTCATTCCTGTGGTTTTTTATTTGTGTATGTGAAGGAAGGTCACAGACAAACAAGTATATATCTGAGTGAATGAGATAATTTCATAAAGTGAAATGTGCTAAGAAGATGACACAACAGAATGGTGTGGAGTACACTCTACGTGAAATGGAAATAGATTGAATTTAAAGTAGCCAGGTATGTGGAGATCAGGAGACTGAACTTTGGGCAAAGGGATTACCCTAACTTAGAAACGAGGGAACTGAAATGAGGTCAGTATGGCTGGAGTATATTGCCTTGAACAGGTTGACACTGAAGTTGAGCATGGTTTGATGTGGAACATTCCAGACCATTTTATTAAAAAGTTAATTGTCATTAACTGCAATAAGAAATAACTGTAGGATTTTAAGCAGGAAATTATATCTTGTAATTTAGGGTGAAGTCAGTTTACCTTGGTTGATATGTAAAAAATGGTGCATATGGTTTAAGGGAGGAAATGGGAAGACCGGTTATGAGGCTATTTCAAAGGGCTACTGGATTGGTTCAGGGTGGTAGCAGTAAAGATGGAAAGAAACGGATATTTGGACATATTTTGGGTATATTTTGGTGCTCCTTTCTAGACCATGAATAGTATAATGATGAACAGATATAGGATTTTGTCGCTCCTTCCACATCTTTCATATCCTCATCTCCAGTCTCAAGCTGGCCTTCAGTACTCATCTGACACTCATTTTAAGGATATGGAAACAGCTATTCCCTGATCCAGTGGCAGTCTTGGTAAGGGCTAATAAACTGAGTTAGGACCAAATAATGAAACGCAAAGACTAAGGATAACTGTGTCCTATAAAATATTTATAAGAAAGCACTTTTCTTCGTCCGTTTTGTGCTGCTATAACAGAATACCTGAGAGTGTGTAATTTATAAAGAACAGAGATTGATTTCTTACATTTCTGGAGGCTGGGAAGTTTAGGATCAAGGGGTCAGCATCTGACAGAGGCCTTCTTGCTGAGTCATCTCATGGTGGAAAAAAAGTCAAGAGAGGGGAAGAGAGAGAGGAGACAGAGAGAGAGAGAGAGAGAGACAGAGATAGAAAGAGTGCAAGAGATAAGACTCACAGCCTCAAGCCCATTTATAATTGGCATTAATCTATTCATGAGGGTGGAGCCCTCATCACCTGAACACTTCTCCTTAGGCCCCACCTAACAACACTGTTGCACTGGGGATTAAGTTTACACATGCTTTTGGGGGGATACATTCAAACCATAGAAACACCCTTCATTATTACTTTTTCTATTTTAGCCTACTTGCTCTGGGTGCCAAAAATGAGCACCAATTTCTTTCATATTGAAGCTTTGTCATCAGAATCCTCCTGTAAAAACAAAAATAACTTATTTGACAGCAGTAACCCATTAGCATTCTCATACTTTACCACAAATTAGATCATAAGGATGACTTAATTTATAGCTGAAAGGATCCTTGAAATATATGTTCTGTGAAACATGGGCCGTACAGAAGATCAAGGCCTTTTTTATGGGTTAAGTGAAGGTTGCCTGGGGGAGACTGTTAGGAGGAAGGTATAAGTGGAAATGCTATATAAAATGTATTCTTTTTGCAAGTCAAGAGTTTCTCCTGTTCAGCCTGCCTGCCACTGGACCTCCCTATTTGTATGTTTCATGCCCAGTAAAACCCTATGTCTCTTTTGCTGGCTCTGGGTCTCTTCTTTGCTCTCTAAAACATGGCACCATTCCTACTCAGGTTAATAGGGGTCCAGAAGGATGGTCCACTGATAAAGATCGACAGATACAGGTTGTTGGAAAAGAAAGCACACCAGAAACTGTGTGCACTAAAATGGCCAGATGATGTGGAACATTGATAACATCCAGCTAGTGGGGCCAGGAAATACTTTGACTACCTGAGGCCCACAGAGCTGACTCTGTGGAAGGTATATTGTAGGAAGACCCCAAGGGAGTCATGCTCTGTCTCATCTCTTATTCTTGAATGTGGGCAGGACCCATATATGTGATAGATTAGATTATGTTCTACAGTCAAGGTGGGGATTTTACAGCTGTCATCAAAGTCCTCAGACAATTGACCTTAATAAAAAAAGGTAATCTTAGATGGCCCTGACTTAATCAGACAAGCCCTTGAATTCACAGCAGATGCTAAAGCCAGGCTTAAAGAAGCAAATTTCCATATTGTGGAGATGGCCAAATGGCAGAAAACTGTGGGCAGCTGCTAGTAGTTGAGGATCTCACTCCTGTAACTGCAAGGACCTACATTCAGCCAAGAACCAGTGAGTCTGGAAAAAGATTCAAAGCCTCAGATGAGATTGCAGCTCTCTATTAGTCCACTTTCATGCTGCTGATAAAGACATACCCAAGACTGGGTAATTTATAAAAAGAAAAAGAGGTTTAATGGGCTCACAGTTCCATGTAGCTGGCGGGGGGTGGACTCACAATCACGGAGGCAGGGGAAAGGCCCTTCTTACATGGTAGCTGTAAGAGAGAGAATGAGAACCAAGTGAAAGGAGTTTCACCTTATAAAACCATCAGGTCTTGTGAGACTTATTCACCACCAGGAGAACAGTATGGTGGAATCAGCTCCCATGATTCAATTATCCCAAACTGAGTCCCTCCCACAAATCATGGGAATGATGGGAGCTACAATTCAAGATGAGATTTGGGTGGGGGCACAGTCACGCCATATCAAGCTCCCTCCCACAGCCTTATAAGATCCTGACTTCAGGACCGTATTGTGCTGTATCCAGATTCCTGGCCTATGAAAACTGTGAAATAATAAACGTGTGATTTATTAAGCTGCTAAGTTTTTGGTAACTTGTTAAACAGCATACAAGCTAATATATAAAATGACGAATAACTCAATTAATAATGAGCAAAAGATCTGAGCAGACACCTCACCAAAGATGATATACAGATGACAAATAAGCATTTGAAAAGATGCTCCAAACATATGTTCCCAGGGAAGTGCAAATTCAGACAGCAATGACATACCATTTACACATCAATTAGAATAATGAAAATCTGAAGCATTGATAATATCAAATACCGGTGAGGATGTGCAGCAACACAAACTGTCATCCCATGCAAAATGGTACAGCCACTTTGGAGAGATTTTGGCAGTTTCCTACAAAATTAAACGTATTCTTACGATATGAATCAGCAGTTGTGCTCATTGGTATTTACCCAAATGAGCTGAAAACTCATGTCCAAACAGAACTTGCATACGGATGTTTATAGTAGCTTTATTCATAATTGCCAAAACTTGAAAGCAACCAAGATATATTTCAATAGGTGACTGGATAAACCAACTATGGTACATTCATATGAAGAAACATTTTTCTGCCGGGCATGGTGCCTCATGCCTGTAATCCCAGCATTTTGGGAGGCCGAGGTGGGCAGATCACGAGGTCAGGAGATCAAGACCATCTTGGCTAACACAGTGAAACCCCGTCTCTACTAAAAATACCAAAAATTAGCACGGCATTGTGGCATGTGCCTATAGTCCCAGCTACTCAGGAGGCTGAGGCAGGAGGACCACTTGAACCCAGGAGGCAGAGGTTTCAGTGAGCCAAGATCACACCACTGTACTCCAGCCTGGGCAACAGAGTGAGACTATGTCTCAAAAAAAAAAAAAAAAGAAAAAAGAAAAAAGAAAAAGAAAAAGAAAAAAGAAATATTTCTCAGTGATACAAGTAAAATGAGCTATGAAACCAGGAGAAGACATAGAGATAACTTAAATGTGTATTTCTAAGTAAAAGATGCCAATCTGAAAAGGCTATATACTATTTGAATCCAACTATATGGCTTCTTGAAAAGATAAAACAATGTAGACAGTAAAAAGATCAGTGGTTACCAGGGCTCAGGATGGGGGTGCAGGAGAGGGAGGAATGAATAGGTGGGATACAGGGAATTTTGGGGACAGTGAAACTATTCCTTATTCTACCAGGACACTGTAATGGCAGACACAAGTAACTGTACATTAGTCAAAACCCAAACAGAATATATAGCACAAAGAGTGAACTCTGATGTAAACTATAGACATTGGTGAGGCTCATCAATAAAATGAGTCAATGGGAACATATGTTGTGGAGCATATTTTTGTTTTAATTGTGGAGCATATTTTTAAATACTTATTTGTCATCTGCATATCATCTTTGGTGAGGTGTCTGCTCAGATCTTTTACTCATTATTAATTACTTGTTGTTTTATGTATTAGATTTGTATGCTGTTTAACAAGTTACCAAAAACTTAGCAGCTTAATACACCACATATTTATTATTTCACAGTTTCCATTTTATTGATGTAGTACAAAAAAAAGTACTACATTAATGCAAGATGTTAATAGTAGGTGAAATTTGGCAGTGGGGAGGAGGGATGAGGCGTATATGGAAACTCTGTACTTTACATTCAATTCTTATGTACTGTTAAACTGTTCAAAAAATAGTCTATTAATTACAAAAGAAAAAAAGAAAAACAAAATCAAAGTTAGGATTAGTACCCAGGCCATTCTATTTTAATGTTATTTTTCCCTCACCAAATTTTGTTGAGATTCAATTTGTGTCCATAGCCTAACATGTGAGTTAATTTGAAATAAGTTGTATTATCATATTCTGCCTTTGCCTATATAAGAGATACGTTCCCAACCTTATTAATTGTATAATTCAGATCCCTTCTACTGTTTATTATGTTTGGCCAATTTCCCCCCTGGATTGAGAGAACTGAGGTAAAATCTGTAATTTTGCTACCCTAATATTCTGCTTGTATTTCTTAACATTTTGGCTGCAGTATTTTGATGCTACATGACTTGTATACATAATGTAAAAGCATTATATGATTATATTTGAACTTGAGGGAAGGCTAACTCCACTGGCTTGAACAGCTCACTAACTTTCCCTTGTACCCTGCTTTTGCTCCCTTTCCTATTTTTGTAGTTTAACTAGAACTCTTCCGAGTTAGCGTAACGGGGGTGCAGTCTGATTCCAGCCACTGTGCTCCAGAGGCTCCTTGTTTATGATAAGACAATTTTCTAGACCAAGAATCTCTCATTATTAAGTAGTTCCCTATAAATGTGTAGTGTTTTAGAATGAGGAATCTGTCCTGTAACCTTAGAGCCTGCATATAACTTATGTATTCAACCTAAAGTGTTAGTCCCATTCTTTTTTCATTTAGTATCATACATGTATTTTCCATGTGTCATCTTATTATATATGAATTATATCTATACACATGCATATGTATATGATATATAGTTATGTGTTTTTAGTGTATTAACACCTATGCTGCTTGTATTTGTGTTTACATACATGTAGTGAGATATATATATATATAGGTATATGTTTAAATAAATATATAGAATCTCTTCTGATAATCTATAAGTTTTAAAATCTGGTTTTGATTACAGTAATTATTACATCCATAACACTAAATCATATTATTCATCCATATCTCAATTTATTAACTTCAGTGTCCAAATAGTAGTGCTGCGAAAACGATCTCCAATTTGGGTGCTTTTGACTTCTCTGCATTTTTCTGCCCCCTTTTGAATCTCACATATTGAAGGGTAGGGTCAATCAAGCCATTTTTAGTTCCTTTATCTCTCCTTTCTCCATTCTACTCTATCGCATATCCAGGCATAATGTTTAAATCATTGCTCTGGTGTTTATTTTAGGTTGGGAGGCTGCACACTTCTCGTTTATGAGCCTTCAGTTAATCCTGTGTTTCAGCGGAACCAGAGGGTAAGTCGGATTGCTGTTCTCCTATGCCCTGTTGAATCCTACTCTTTTTCCCAAAGGCAGAAGAGGTTAAAGGGAGTCTACAGATGAACATTATTTCCTCACTTTAGATTGAGTATATCACCTGGCAGGAGTCTGGGTCAATATAAAGTTTCTTGGGTCAGAAGGCTCTTTCTTGATGGATCATTTTTTATTTCATCTGTCTTGTATTTGGTCAGTTGCTCCGTGTCAAGTTCTCAGCTTAATGATTTCTGCATCTGATTTCCCCCTCACCATTAGGAAATGGTTGAGAAATACAATTTACGTATTTTTACCCTGTCTTCCAATGTTGTAGAAATGGTCCCCAACTTTGGTACTTTTCACTTCTCCTGTATCTTTTGTTCTGTCCTTTATTTGCTCCTCTTTTTTGCCCTTTTGTTTTTTCGCTCCTTTCCTTTTTCCCTTTAAGTTAAAAGTTGTTGATGAGGACTTCATAATTATTCTATTTCCTGAAGTGTATTGTTCTCCCAACAGGAGCGAGGCGTGGCAGACCATGAAGTATCTCCTGGTTGATTTCTAGAAGTCATTGTTTCTGTCACTTGCATTTTAGAGTTTACTTTATTATGTTGCTTTAAAAAAAAGTAGTAGAGGTTTTCTTCTTAATTGGAGTTTTTTGTGTTGTTATTTATTGCCGTTAATCTCATGTAGGGGAGTAGGACAAATATCCGTTCATCATTCCACCTTCAGTGGGAAACTTACATAGACTATGCAATGGAAGCCCCTGGGCAAGAGAAGTTAGTATGAGAGCAACAGCAATCCCGAAAGGCAGAAGTCAGGGAGGATTGGAAATTACTCAATTATTTATTGGGACCCAAATTCTAACATACATTTTACTATTCCACTTTTATCCCTTTTTCTGTGGACATATGGGAAAAAAATGGAATACTTTCTGAACCTTCTGCTGCCCCCCTAAAAAGAAAGAAGTGGGATCTGTTTATACATTCTTGTACTTGGGCTAACTGAACTTATATTGTTTGAACACAAACTTTGCTTCATATACTGTGCTAGGTAGTTTTGCTTATCTGATGGGAATTTTAACCTTGAATAATCTTTTTTGTTGAACATGATTATCTTGGTATGCATTACATGAGGGATACATACCATGGTGCCAAATGACCTAATTTGGATGCTAGGGAAGATGAGTTCTAGCTTTGGTTCTGGGTTAATCAATTGCAATACAAAGCATGTTAGAAGTGATGTAATTTTTAGAGAGCTTAACTATATCCATGTTCTCTAACTATTGAATATTGGTGCCTTGTTAAAAGGCATAGAATTATTATTATGGGTCTGGGAATTTGTATATGTTTATTTTTTAAATCTGTTTATTGTTTTATATCCTGAACCAATAGAATGCAAGCTTCAGGATGATATATGTTCCGTGGCACATAGAATTATACTTAAACTAACAAATATCTATTTAATTTAACTAATATAGTTAAATTTAAAATCTTATACCAAGATGCCTGCAGATGCAACAGAAAATCTCTCCCTACACATAAATATTACAAGAATATAATTTTTATTGAGATGAAATAGTTGGGCACATTTTGGGGGAACATGTGATATTTTAATACATGTATACAATATGTAATGATCAAATCAGGGTAATTGGGACATCCATCAAAACACAGACTTTTAATGGGTATTTATGGTGTGACAGGCACCATAGGAAACATTGGGGGTTCAATAATGAGCAAAAAATAGCATGCGCCTTAGTTTAAATAAACACAGAAACAAATTTGAAATTAAAACTGTGAGAAGTGCTAAGGAGTCCTTTTCCCAATTAATATTTACTGAAGCATATATATGTGCTTATTTGTTTATCATCTAACCTATATTGCCTCCTTCAACTATGCAGAAAGAGCTTCAATCGATTGTGTTTACTGCTAGACATATTCCAACATATAGAACAGATTCTGACACATATGTTCAATGAAAAAGTGACAGCCAATGAAAGAATTCTTTGAGCTATTCAAGGCAATCAGCACAGGGGATTCGAGGATAGCTATGCTAAACTGAGTTCTGAAGAATGGGTAGGCCTTATTTAGATGCAAAGGAGATGAAAGAGTGTGTCAGGCAAAGGGAAATGCTATGAAAAAATTAGGAATAAGCACAGTGAATATGAAGGATTTAAAAAGGCCAGTGCAGACATGAAGGGAGGAGAGCAGGCACGCTGCTGGAGACAAAGGTGACAATAGATCTTCTCCAAGCCTTTTGCAGACAATGCTAATCAAATTTTTCTTTTTTCTTAGAGCATTGAAAATAACTGAATAAACGTAAGCAGTGGTGTGAGATAATCAGATTTGTGCTTAAAAAAGATATCTCTGTTGGTAATTGTTCATAATGAAAGTGGCACAAACACTCATAGAGAAAATATAGATAAAAAAGAGAGGCCCTAGTATAAAGCTTAGATAATTTTATCATTTATGTCCATGAAAGGAACATGAGCTAGCAAAGGAGCCAGAATGTGCAACCAGTGAGATTGGAAAAAAAAATCAGTGTAGTATCATAATGAAAGAGAGGTCAAGAAAGTGTTTTAAGGAGGGGACAGTCCACATTATTCCATGCTTCAGAAAGGTTAGTTGAATTGTAGAATTCATCAAATATCTACTGGATATAAAGATATGGAGAATATTGTTGATTTTAACAAAAGAAGATTAAGCAACTATGTATTACACACATGTGCACACACACACAATCCTACAGCTACTGGATAACAACAATAAGCCTTCTTTCTAAAATATATAACAGTCCAGAGAAAAGTAAGACTACTGCTAGGAACCAAATTTAAGTGGGACCAGCAAACCTTAAAATCAAAATGGTCAGCATGAGTTAATGATGGTAGTTTTGTCAGATAATTTGTCTTTTACGAATTTAAAGCTTCGGGTTTTAGCAGCTCTGATCGCTAAAGGAGACAAAGCATTGTGTCCGTGCAAAGTGGTGAATTAGAACTGAGATCCTTTTATAAAGGCTAGACCGCCAAATAAGTATGCCTACTGAGAAAGAATGAACAAAACAAATACCAAGCAAAATTTTTACTCTACAGAAAAGAGAGACCACAAGTTTATTGCCCAGTCATATTCTGCTGTTACTGGGAAAATAAGTATACGCTAAAAATCAGAAACCAGAGTTCCGCTATCATTTATGTATATACGTATTTATGTATGTATATATGAATGTATGTATGTATGTATGTATGTATGTATGTATGTATGTATTGGAGACAGGGCCTAGCTCTGTTGCCCAGGCTGGAATGCAGTGGCACAGTCATGGCTCACTGCAGCTTTAAACTTCTGGGCTCAAGTGAGCCTCCCACCTCAGCCTCCCAAAGTGCTGTGGTTACAGGTGTGAGCCACTCTGCTCAACATCTGCCATCATTTATATAAGGAATGTAAATATTCACTCCTTTTGGAGCCTGGAAAAACCCCAGCCAAGAAATTCTATTTAATGTCATCACAATCATCTTGGGACAATAGATAGCATCAATGCAAATCCTTTTTGGAGAACAAAACCCCCTAGGTTCTCAGAATTTTCAGAAATCATGAACATCAAATATGGGCATAATAATAAATTAAACGACATATGAAGAAAGAAGCTGCTATGAATTACAGCAAAATAACAAATAGCAGTATCAAATTTTGAAGGGTGAAAGATATTGGAACGATTAGAGACACTAAAATAATTATGTGAAATGTTTAATGACTTAAAGGAAAAAGAGGGAGGTAAAAACATAACAAGGCAATAATAGACTACCAAAATTCAATAGGCAACTTTAATCACCTTGATATGGTTTGGATCCATGTCCCTGCCCAAATCCCATGTCAGATTATAATCTCCAGTATTGAAGGTGGGGCTTGGTGGGAGGTAATTGGATCGTAAGAGCGTAGTCCCCATGAATGGGCTAGCACCATACCCTTGGTGCTACTCTTATGACAGTGAGTGAGTTATCCAGATATTTGGTTGTTTAAAACTGTGTAGCCCTGCCCCACCTCTCTTGTTCCTGCTCCTGCTCCTGCTGTGTAAGATGTGTTTGCATCTCCTTCTCCTTCTGCCGTGATTGTAAGTTTCTTAAGGTCCCCTCAAGAAGCAGAAACCTCCAGGCTTTATGTATAGCCTGCAGAACCATGAGCCAATTAAACCTCTTTTATTTATAAATTATCCAGTCTCGGGTGTTTCTTTATAGCAATGTAAGAAGGGGCTAATACATAAAATTGATACTGAGTAGTGGGGCATTGCTATATAGATACTTGAAAATGTAGAAGAAGCTTTGGAGCTGGATAAGAGGCAGAGGTTAGAACAGTTTGGAGGGCTCAGAAGAAGACAGGAAAGTTTGGCACTTCCTAGACAGTTGTTGAATAGTTGTGACCAGAATGCTGATAGTGATATGGAAAATGAAGGCCAGGCTAATGAGGTCTCAGATGGAAATGAGAAACTTATTGGGAACTGGAGCAAAGGTGACTTTTGTTACATCTTGGCAAAGAGCTTGGATGGATTGTTTCCCTGCCCTAGGGATCTGTGGAACTTTGAACTTGAGAGAGATGATTTAGTGTAACTGTTGGAAGATATTTCTAAGCAGAAAAGCATTTAAGATTTGGCCTGGCTGCTTTTGACAACCTAACTCATATGCATGAACAAAGAAGTGACATAAAACTGGAACTTATACTTAAAGGGGAAGCAGAGTGTAAAAGTTTGATATATTTGCAGCCTGGCCCTGTGGTGGAAAAGAAAAGTGCATCTCCGGGGAGGAATTCAAGCCAGCCGGAGAAATTTGCGTAACTAAAAGGAAGGTAAGTACTGATAGCCAAGACAATGGGGAAAAAGCCTCAAAGGCGTTTCAGAGATCTTCATGCCAGCCCCTCCATCACAGGCCCAGAGGCCTAAGAAGGAAGAATGGTTTTGTGGGCCAGGCCCAGGGCCTGACTGCCCTATGCAGCCGCAGAACACTGCTCCTTGCATCTCAGTTGCTCCAGCTTCAGCAATGGCTAAAAGAGGCTCAGGTATAGCTAAGGCTGCTGTTTCAGAGGTTGCAAGCTGTAAGCCTTGGTGGCGTCCATGTGGTGCTAAGCCTATGGGTGCACTGAGTGTAAGAGTTGAGGCTTGGGAGCCTCTGCCTAGATTTCAGAGGATATATGGAAATGCCTGGATGTCCAGGTAGAAGCCTGCTGCAGGGGTGGAGTCTTCATGAAGAACTTCTACTAGGACACTGCAACGAGAAAATGTGGGGTAGGAGCCCCCACAGAGTCCCCACTGGGGCACTGCCTAGTGGAGCTATGAGAAGAGGGCCATCGTCCTCCAGACCCTGGAATGATAGAGTCACTGGAAGCTTGCACCTTGCACTTGTAAAAGCTGCAAGCACTCAACACTAGCCCATGAGAGCAGCTGTGGGGGCTGAAACCTTAAAACCACAGCAGCAGAGCTACTCTAGGCCTTGGAAGGCTAACTGTTGTGTCAGTGTGCCCTGGATGTGAAACATGGAGCCAAAAAAGATTATTTTGGAGCTTTAAGATTTAATGACTGCCTTGCTGGGTTTTAGAATTGCATGGGGCCTATGGCTCTATTTTTGGCTGATTTTTCCCTTTTGGAATGAGAGTATTTACCCAATGCTTGTACCTTCATTGTATCTTTGGAGTTACCTAATTGTTTTTCTTTTTTTTTTTAATAGTAGAAGGGACTTGTCTTGTTCTAGGTGAGACTTTAGACTTTGGACTGCAGAGTAACACTGGAAAGAATGAAGATTTTGGGGGACTGTTGGGAAAGCATGCAATGTGAGAAGGACATGAGATTTGAGAGGGGCTGGCCAGAATGATATGGTTTGGATGAGTCTCTGTTTTCTTCTAGTATCTTTATAGATATAAAACTATAAAGATACTTAAAAAAATAGGAAAAACTGGAAAAACTCTTCTGGACTTTGGTCTAGGCAAATAATTCATTACTAAGACTCAAAAGCACAGGCACCAAAACCAAAAGTAGACAAACAGGATTTAATTAAATTAAAAAACTTCTGCACAGAAAAACAAATAATTAATTGAGTGAACAGATAGTTTGCAGAATGGGAGAAAATATTTTCAAAATATGCATCAAGCAAGGGTCTATTATATAGAATAAATAGGGAACTCAAACCAGTCAACACACACACACACACACACACACACACACACACACACACAAACCCACAAATAATCACATTAAGAAGTAGGCAAAGGATATGAATAAACATTTTTCAAAAGAAGATTTACAAATCACCAATAGGTATATAAAAAATACTGAACATCACTAATCATCAGATAAACACAAATTAAAACCACAATGAGATATACTCTTACACCAGTCAGAATGGCTGTTTTTAACATGTCAACAGATAACAGATATTGGTGAGGATATGGAGATAAGGGTACTCTTGGTGGGTATGTAAACCAGCTCAACCTCTATGAAAAGCAGTGTGGAGATTTATCAAAAAGCTACAGAGAACCATCATTTGATTCAGCAGTCCCACTACTGGGTATTTACCTTAAAGAAAGGAAATCATTATATAAAATAATACTGGCACTCATATGTTTATTGCAGAACTATTCAAAATGGCAAGACATGGAAGCAACCTATGTGTCCATCAACAGAAGACTGAAAAAGAAAATGTGGTATTTTGAGATGTAGTACAATGGAATGCTATTCAGCCATAAAAAAAGACTAAAGTCATGTCTTTTGCAGCAACATGGATGAAATTGGAGACCATTATCTTAAGTAAAACAAATCAGACACAGAAAGACAAATAACACATGTTTTCACTTATAAGTGGGAGTTAAATAATGTGTCTGCATGGATATAGTGTGGAATGATAGACAGTGAAGACTGGGAAGGGTAAAGGTATGGAATCGGGGTGGATGATGAGAAATTACTTGGTCGCTAAAATGTACATTATTTGGGTGGTGGTTACCCTAAAATCTCTGACTTCACTGCTATGCAATCCATGCATGTAACAAAACTGCACTTGTGTCTCATAAATTTCCACAAATAAAGAAAAAAATTAAAAAAAAATAGGGGATTTTAGAAATGAGACAAAATTTCTAGAAATGCAAAATAAAATTATTTTAATTAAAAAATCAATAAATGTGTTAAATAATATAAATAACTCAAGGGAGAATGAGCTAAAATACATTATATATGAATTGACAAAGGAACAAAGAAAAACAACATTATAGAGGAATAACCATAGACATGGAAGTAAAATAAGAAAGTCTAAGATATATTTAATTGGAATCCCAGAAGGAGCAATCCAGAGGGTTCGAAGAGGAAACATTTAAGGTAATAATTTAATGGAATTTTCCAGAAGAGACGAAAGATGTAAATATTCAGACTGAACCAAGCACATGCAACAGAAACATGAAGAAATATATATAAATGCAAATTTAATTAAATTTTAATAAAATTTAAAACTTTTGAACACTAAGAAAAAATCCTAAAAGTATCCACAATGAAACAAAAAATTACCTATTAAAAAAAAAAGCAGCCAGTGCAGAGGCTTACGTGTGTAATCCCAGCACTTTGAGAGGCCAAGGTGGGAGGATTACCTGAGACCAGAAATTAGAGATCAGCCTGGGCAACATAGTGAGACCTTTACTCTACAAAAAGTAAAAAAATTAGCCAGACATGGTGGCATGCACCTGTAGTCCTAGCTAATGAAGAGGCTGAGGTGGGAGGCTTGCTTGAGCCCCAGAGGTTGAGGCTGCAATGAGATGTGATTGTGCCACTACACTCCAGACTGAATGGCAGAACAAGACCTTGTCTCTTAAAAAAAAAAAAAAGAAAAGAAAAGGAGAGAAAATAAAACAATACTATCAACAGCAGACTTCTTCTGAGAACCAATGGAATTTAGAAAATTCTTCACAGAGTAATAAAGAAGAGAATCTAAATAATCATCAATGTATGAGTTTTTATGTAGTTTAAATAGCTACATTTATGTAGTTAAATTTAGCCATCTTTCAAGAAAAATGGCAGAATGAAGTCATTTTTACATAAATTTTAGAAAGTTTATCAATAATGGACACTCACTAGCAGAATTTCTTAAAGGTGTATTTTAGAAACAAGTAAATTGGCCACAGAAAAAAGACTTCAAACTAGGAATGAATAGTAAAATAAAATAGTAAACAAATGCAAAAACTAAACAAAATGAAAATGTTGAAACATACAACAATAATAACCTCCTAAGATTATGTCTAGGATTAAAAAAGAATTTTACAGAGTTTAAAATAGTGATTTGCACATGGTAAACATTTATGATTGTTTGTTAAATAATTTTTTAAAAAGTTAAAATGCTAACATAGACCTGAAATATTTGACAAAGAAAATATGGATGTTTGGCATTGTTGGGTACTTTATGATTGTAGTTGAAATATACTATAGTTCTGGATTGTTTTGGGGCAGTGTATGGATACTGCCTCACTTTAGAATTTTAAAAATAGATTTAAATACAAACAACCATTAAAACCATAAATCATTTGATATAAAACCATATGCAATAAATGGAAAAATAATCAATTTTAAAGATGGCATAATGTATACATAGAAAAAAACAGAAAAATCAGTAGTAATAGAAAGCAAAAATTAGCTGAAACAAACACCTGTAGGGACTATAAGATTTATTTTTATGAATCAATTTATGTTTAATTCACGAGAAATTCATATAAAGCTCAAAGAGCTAGGGACATTAAAAGAAAAGGAATATAATCACCAATCAGGCTAGAGTTGAAGCTGAGACAAAATTGAACTTAAAGCTGAAACCATTCTTTGAGATAAAATCTTTCAATTAATATGAGGCATATAGAGAATTCTACATTTTCGTACCTAATAACATATTCAAAGATACCAAAAACAAAAAAACAGATGATAGGGAGAACTTAATAAATCTACCAATGCATGGAGAGGTTTCATTCTAACTATTAAGAGATCTAAAATTAAATTTACTGAATATATGGAAGATATGAACAATACAGTTACTAAGTTTGCTCACATGAACATATATTGAACCTGGAATTGCAAAACTGGAGAACAGGTAATTTATTTTCCAAGCACACATAGTGTATTTATAAAAACTGACTTTGAAATAGACTGTAATACACATCTAATCAAGCTTCAAATAATTGGCAATGTAGCAAATTATACAAATTACTGCAATATTATTAAATTAGAAAAAAATAATTTTAAAATACCAAATAAATATATTCAGAAATCTTATACTTCCAAACAACTAATGGGTTAAAAAATATAACAAAAATTTAAACATGAACCAAACAATAATGAAAGCATTCCATATCAAAATTGAACCAAATACTTATATATAAAAAAGAAAAAGCTAAAAATCAAGGAGGTATCCATCTTAAAAAGTTACAAAAATATAGCAAATGGAGCCCCCCTAAAAAGGAAAGAAAAATAAAGATAAAATGTACATGTAAAAATTAAATATAAAATAAAGAAGATAGACAAAGTTAGAAATCAGTACTTTAAAAGAACAGTAAACAACAAATCTCTATCAAGATTGCTTAATACGGCGGGGCGTGGTGGCTCATGCCTGTTATCCCAGCACTTTGGGAGGCCGAGGCTGGCGGATCACCTGAGGCCAGGAGTTTGCGACCAGCCTGGCCAACATGGTGAAACCCCGTCTCTACTAAAAATACAAAAAGTAGCTGGGTCTGGTGGTGGGCGCCTGTAGTCCCAGCTACTTGGGAGGCTGAGGCACCAGAATTGCTTGAACTTGAGACGGGGAGGTTGCAGTGAACCGAGATCACGCCATGGCACTCCAGACTGGGCCACAGAGCAAAACTCCATCGCAAAAACAAAAACAAACAAACAACAAGAAAAGATGGCTTAAGACAAAAGACGAATAAGAGACACTCAAATATAAATATGGAAATATACAAAGGGTCATAATAATAGAATAGAAATTTAATTTTTTTTTATGAGACAGAGTCTCATTCTGTTGCCCAGACTGAAATGTAGTGATATAATCATGGCTCATTGCAGCTTCAACCTTTCCAGGCCCAGATGATCCTCCCACCTCAGGGCTGGAACTACAGGTGCATGCCACCATACCTGGCTAATTTTTACATTTTTTTTTTGTAGAGATAGGCTTCCCCATGTTGTCAAGGCTTGACTCAAACTCCTGGGCTCAAGCAATCTGTCTGCTCAGCCTCCCAAGAAATTAAAAATTATATCAAAAAAATGTAGTCCCAATTTTACATTAGAAAGCATATAAAATTACTTATAAAAACCATAGCCTACCAAAACTCATTCACATGACACAGAAAGATTAGTAGTACAATAACTTGAAAATTTTGAATCTGCTCAGTAAATAACACCAGGTACAAAAAAGTGTTAGCAGATAATTATTCGAAATATTTAAAGCATAGATAATTTAATTCTATACATTGTTTTTAACAAAAAACAAGAGGACTGTATTTTAAATGATAAGCAAGAAGTTATATTAAAATGACTTGAAGAATGAATGGGGAATGTGAAAATGGACTCAGAGTAGTATCTTGTGGTTTGAATGAGGTTGCTTTGTAGTAGGAGAGACTTGAACAAATTGAAAGGTGAAGACTAACTTTTATACAAAGTTAAGGGACTTTTACACAAAGTTAAGGGGCTTTTTATACAAGGAAAACAAAGAAAAATTCCTGTTATTTATGTTGCCAGATTCTGTAAAATTAGAGAACTGAGACTAAAATGATATCTATTAATAAAACGCAATTGAAGACATACTCAAAATGTATAAATGCATGTCTCTTTTAACTATATTGATGGAATATAGAATGGGTGTAGAGCAGGGTAGGTTTATAGTTTTTCATATTAGTAAAATGAGGTATTTCCTATTTGCATGGTTTCTAATTTCTCCAAAAATTAGAATTTGAGGTCGTATTTTAGAGTCATTGGAAGGAGAAGCAGTGAATGGTTGGAAGTTTTCAGTTGGAGAGTTTGAATGTTTGTGAGACAGGGCAAAGTGAGAGATTCTCATATTTGTAATAGAGATCCTGAGTAGGGTTCAGTACACATTTGAAGTAGGTGATGACCATCAAAGTGAGTCAGCTGGCCCTGTTTTATGACTTGCTGGCTGGGCATCAGTTGACATCTTGGTTCCAAGCGGAAAGAAAATTAAGCTTTGGATTGGGTGCAATGGCTCATGCCTGTAATCCCAGCACTATGGGAGGCCAAGACAGGAGAATTGCTTGAGGCCAGAAGTTGGAAACCAGCCTGGTCAACATAGTGAAAACTTAACTTAATCTCCACAAAAAATAAAAACATCGCCAGCATGGTGGCTTACACTTGTAGTCCTAGTTACTTGGGAGGCTGAGTCAGGAGGATCATTTGAGCCAGAAGTTTGATGTTGTGGTGAGCTATTATCACACCACCGCACTGCAGCCTGGGCAACAGAGTGATACTCTCTCCAAAAATAAAAAATAAAATAAAGATAAAACATAAATTGAAAAAATCAAGCTTTGGATTTATAGTTGTATAATAATTAATAAAATATACATTATTTAAAAGACTTACAAAGCATGTGTTAGTATGAATTTTTTCAGCCTTGGGCAGTTCTTTATAGCAGTATGAAAATGAACAAATATGCATGTGAATGAAGGAATCCTATCTTCCTAACATTATTAGAATTTGCTTTAAGGTATAAATGTTAGCATGATTTGAATAAGCTACTTAGTTTTGCTTAGTAGAATTCAGTAGATGTTGAAGATATAGCAATTCTTTCATTAGAAATATAAATGATAAGATTACATAAAAACGTGTGCTAATCAAACATAAAATTAAACAGATCATCTCTCTTCTATATAAAGTCGCGCAACTGCACTTTCAAAGTTTGTAACTTTACTTAGATTGTTAACTTTCTAGGGAAACACACAACTGTTTTGTGTGTAGTCAGGAACTTAGAAAAAGGATTGTGGAAGATTTTTAACGATGATAATGCAATTGTGATGAAATAATAAACATGTATATTTAGCTCAGTGAATGATGGTATCGATTGAATAGTAAATGGACTACCCATATTGTGTTTCAGATATGGACTTCTTATATATTATAAGCCCAAATGTGCACAGAGTGTTCTGCATCAGTGGAATGGGCAATAAGCCAACTAACCCCAGACTCATCAAACTGTGATAGGGAAAGCGTGTCTCTCTGGCTGGGGAGAAAGAGAATTCCAAGCCATAATGCTCATTCTTTAGTATAAAATGGGCACTAATAAGCTGCATTGAGCTGCTGACAGTTTCTATGAAGAGTCTCTATTCTTTCAAATGCAAATATTTCAGAAACAGTCAGGTTCCCAGCACATAGATTTTAAAACCGACTCATTCTTAACTGTGGACCTACATAATTGCACACTTGGGACATTATATATTTATGCAGATAATGGATACAATTCAAGCAGCTGCCTACTGAAGTTAATGGAAGGCCTATCTTCTGAGAAGAGAATGTGAATATATACACATACACATATATATTTATACATTTTCTTCCTTTTCTTCCCACTCAATCTCTGACTAGCCTTATAGTATAATGCCTTTTTTTCAATAATTTGAATTCCTTGAATTTGAACTTCACATGATCAATCTTGATTTCTATATATTTGTAAAAATTGTTATTTATGGGGAGTAGAAAGAGTTGAAAAATTATACATATGTATCTGAAACTGTAAATCATATCTCTCTAACTAGGGTGAAAATGCTGCAGGGTTACAAGAGTTATGGATATTCCATTAAAGGGAACAGATTTTTGGAGTCAAACACCTTATGTTTTCATCCTGGTTCCACTGATTACTAATACATGTCTTTAGCTTACTTAACTCCTCTCAGGCTCAGTTTCCTTATTTCTAAAATGATATTTTTCTTGCTAAGGACTTATTGCATGCTAGGTACTCAAAAAGTTAGTTTGATTTATTTACTTTTGTTTTCTCAGGGTATGTTAATGAGAGTGTTAAAAATGCAGTTCCTGGTGATAATGCATTATGAGTTTTTCTCTTTTTTGGAAGTTTCACAAAACAGTATTTATTCTTAAAATATATGATGAGTTCTGATATCTAATCTATTTCTTCTTCTTCTTTTTCTTTTTTTATTATACTTTAAGTTCTAGGATATGTGTGCAGAACGTGCAGGTTTGTTACATAGGTATACACGTGCCATGGTGGTTTGCTGCACCCATCAACCCGTCATCTATATTAGGTATTTCTCCTAATGCTAGCCCTCCCCGAGCCCCCCACCTCCCGACAAGCCCTACTGTGTGATGTTTCCCTCCCTGTGTCCCTGTGTTCTCACTGTTCAACTCCCACTCATGAGTGAGAACATGCGGTGTTTGGTTTTCTGTTCCTGTGTTAGTTGCTAAGAATGATGGTTTCCAGCTTCACCCATGTCCCTGCAAAGGACATGAACTCATCATTTTTATGGCTGCATAGTATTCCATGTTGTATATGTGCCACATTTTCTTTATCTAGTCTATCTTTGATGGGCATTTGTGTTGGTTCCAAGTCTTTGCTATTGTGAACAGTGCTGCAGTACATACGTGTACATGTGTCTTCATAATAGAATGATTTACAATCCTTTGGATATATACTCAGTAATGGGATTGCTGGGTCAAATGAAATTTCTGGTTCTAGATCCTTGAGGAATCACCACACTGTCTTCCATAATGGTTGAACTATATGTACAATCCCACCAACAGTGTAAAAGCGTTCCTAATTCTCCACATCGTCTCCAGCATCTGTTGTTTCCTGACTTTTTAATGATTGCCATTCTAACTGGCGTGAGATGGTATCTCATTGTGGTTTTGGTTTGTATTTCTCTAATGACCACTGATGATGAGCGTTTTTTTCTTTATGTTTGTCAGCCGCATAAATGTCTTCATTTGAGAAGTGTCTATTCATATCCTTTGCCCACTTTTTGATGGGGTTGTTTGATTTTTTCTTGTAAATTTGTTTAAGTACTTTGTAGGTTCTGGATATTAGCCTTTTGTCAGGTGGATAGATTGCAAAAATTTTCTCCCATTCTTTAGGTTGTCTGTTCACTCTGATGAGTTTCTTTTGCTGTGCAGAAGCTCTTTAGTATAATTAGATCCCATTTGTCAATTTTGACTTTAGTTGCCGTTTCTATTGGTGTTTTAGTCATGAAGTATTTGCCCATGCCTATGTCCTGAATAGTATTGCCTAGATTTTCTTGTAGGATTTTTATAGTTTCAGGTCTTATGTTTAAGTCTTTAATCCATCTTGAATTAATTTTTGTATAATGTGTAAGGAAGGCATCCAGTTTCAGTTTTCTGCAGATGGCTAGCCAGTTTTCCCAACACCATTTATTAAATGGAGAACCCTTTCCCCATTGCTTGTTTTTGTCGGGTTCATCAAAGATCAGATGGTTGTAGATGTATGGCATTATTTCTGAGGCCTCTGTTCTGTTCCATTCGTCTGTATATCTGTTTTGGTACCAGTACCATGCTGTTTTGGTTACTCTAGCCTTGTAGTATAGTTTGAAGTCAGGTAGCATGATGCCTCCAGCTTTGTTCTTTTTGCTTATGATTTTCTTGGCTATATGGGCTCTTTTTTGGTTCCATATGAAATTTAAAGTAGTTTTTTTTCTAATTCTGTGAAGAAAGTCAATGTTACCTTGATGGGGACAACATGAAGTCTATAAATTAATTTGGGCAATATGGCCATTTTCATGTTGAGTCTTCCTATCTATGAGCATGGAATATTATTCCATTTGTTTGTGTCCTCTCTTATTTCCTTGAGCAGTGGTTTGTAGTTCTCCTTGAAGAAGTCCTTCACATCTCTTGCAAGTTGTATTCCTAGGTATTTTATTCTCTTTGTAGCAATTGTGAATGGGAGTTCACTCATGATTTGGCTATCATTGGTGTATAGGAATGCTTGTGATTTTTGTACATTGATTTTGTGTCCTTAGACTTTGCTGAAGTTTCTTATCAGCTTAAGGAATTTTTGGGCTGAGACAATGGGGTTTTCTAAATATAGGTTCACCATGTTATTACCCACAGAGAATTATCTGCCAGCCTTACTCACCTTACAAGTGTACAGTCAAAGGCATTTTTGCTTTTTGCTATAGAAAGAGTTCTAATGTATGGTGTCTTGTAAATACAGCTAATCGAGTTTGAAAAGATTTAGTTAGGACAATTGAACCTTTAAGCAGACCAGAAACCCTTTTAGCCTCCTTTGAAGTGCTGGGCTCCAGAGGGGGATCCTCTCATAAGCACCATGTCTCTTCTTCATTGAGCTTCTGTGCAATTTGAGAAATAACAGAGAGAATAAGGAGTCTAAACATCACTTTTACTACTGATAAAGTTAGGTAAGGGTACACAACTTTGTGTAAGAGACAGATGGGACTACTATACGAATTTTAGATATAGGGAAAGTTGCTCACTCAATTCTAGGCAATGCTGATCTGGGGCAGGCTCTTGCTGTGGTAGTGGGATAGCGATGGTAGGAGAACATGTGTTCCCTATAGGCAACAAGAGGAGAAAAGGTAGAGGTTTTAAGTGGGTGGAGAAAGTCCTAGGAAAAGAAATCTCTCATCATGGAAATCAAGAAGGGAGTAAAAGGCACTTACTCCCTTCTAATAGTAAGATGACTATATTTTCATCAAGACCAAAATTCTTATTCACACTTGTTCCAAGTGTCTAAAGATGTGAAAATACCTTTTCAAGGCTAACAATACAAAAAAATAAACTTTTCTTTAAAAAGCTTGAAATTCTGCACCACAATGTATATTGTCAAATGCATTTCCAGTTCACAGTGAATTTCTCAAGAAGATATTTCAGTGACTGAGGAAGGGTTAAATGCAAAAAGAAATGATCCAAGGGTGTTTGGATCACTATTTCTTTTCCATTGTCTAACCCTGTTTGTCAGACACTGTGTTAGATGCTATTATTATTTCAAGCTGAAGAACAGCTCTCTGGTGTAAGTAATATAAATTCAATTTTATAAATGAGGAGAATGAGGCACTAGGGGTAAAGTAATTTGAGACCATTTTTCGGTAAGAAATAGCACAAACAAGACATGAGTCTGATTAACTCCAAATCTTTACCACATTCCACTGCACTGTGGTATCTCATTAACATTATATCCATTTAGAAATCCTGATTGCAAGCAACAGAAACTGATTATTGTTATCTTAAATAGAATAGAATGGAAGAAAAGAAGTGGCTTACTGAATAAATAGCTGCTTAGAGAATTAGACTTAGAAGTCTTGCAAGAATCAAAGTAGCTCCACAGGGTCCAGAACAGGAAGGACAATGAACATTTTTTAGCACAAGGATAGACCAGGTAGACGAAGTCACTGCTGCTGGTCACCACCACCACAGGATGTAGCTATCACAAGTTGTCCTCCAGACAGCACTGCTCCACATAGTCTTGCATTACTAAGGGGGAAAGATTCACATTACGGGAAAAATCAAAGATGCCCTCCAAATTGATTTTAAAATGCTTCTTAACAGGCATCTAGCTAACTGTTTTGTCTTCACAAACTTCATCATCTTTGTGTTGCAGTCTCAGACTACATGTTGAAATCTGTGAATTCTGAAAACCTAATTCAGTGCTAGTCATAGAATAGAATGTATTCTACTTGGAAAATGACTCTCTTAAAAGTATTTGATATGTTAGAACAGCAATTTTCTCCCAGAGTTATAATTGGGGAATTAAACTTGTTCCTTAAAATTCAAATGATTTATTAACTAGGAATTAACATTTTTAGCTAAAACAAAACCTTAATTCCAAAGCCAATTGCATTCAGAATAACTATAGATTAGATTTACACAGTATAGAAAAGATAGGAAAGTTTAAAAGTAAGGCATATTATAAATTTTTAATACAACTCAGGTCAGTCCCAAGAAAAAATTCTGAAAACTCAAATTCTTCCATAAAAATACGTGTTTTCAAATGTTGGAACTATGTTGATAATTTAAGTAGAAAATAGCTTTATCAAATAATACCTTCAATTTACAACTTAAGTGTGTAAGTTTTAATTGAATTTAAACCAAATGAAAAACATAGACAATTGTGCTTTTTTTCTTGTAAAAAAATTTGTGTTTTCCAATGAATTGGTCATTTATAACTTCTAATGTTTATTGTATATAATGTTTTATCATGTTAATTTTTTCACATCCTAATTTTTCTATTCTCTTTAAGGTTAAATTAACAGTTGGACATCATATATTCTGAAGAGCTTTATGCAAGAAACTCTGTAACAATGTTGTTCAAAAGCAGAAATAGGAAGCACACACACGACAGGTATTTTTCCAGCCAGAAGTTGTGTTTTGAGAGCATTCAATGAGCTGGGCATATTGGCTTGTGACTATAATCTCAGCTACTTGGGAGATTGAGGCAGAAAGATTTCTTGGGTCTAGGAGTTCAAGATCATCCTGGACAAATAGTGAGATTCTATCTTTAAAAATAAATAAACAAAATTTAAAGGAAATAAAAAAAGAGTTCAAGAGAGTTAGCATATGAAAATGTAAGTGTGATAAATAACAATCCAAGCATGAACTTTTATATATCCAAAGTGTTGGCTAGAGCCTCTATATATTGAATATATGATAGGTAATATGTAAATAATAGCTAACATGTATTGAGGTCGTATATTATAAACCGAACACTAGGTTTTTTACATATGTCTAATTTATTGAACTTTACATATACTTAATTTATTAAACAACTTTATGAGGCAATTCTTCATTATAAAACAAAAGAAACAGGCATAGAGACGTTAAGTAGCTTGCCCAAGGAAACCTTACTATAAGATTTGGGTGCAGGCAGTCTGTTCCAGAGCTCAAGCTTTTAACATCACAGTAAGTTCCCTCTCAGATGAAGAAGACACAATACTGACATTTTCATAAATCAATAAGTAATGAATAGGCAATATGCAATGCATAGACTCACTGATGCTACCATTTATTAATTAATAAATTAAGAACTTTATAACTGTCACTGTATTTTCATGTATATTATCTCACCGAATGAAACACACTTATGAGATAGATTGGCAATATTATGACCATGTAAAAGAAAGGAAGAAAAGAACATGTTCATTGCCTTCTCCAGCTTATTTAATTGATAACAAAGTTGGAACTATAATAAAAAAATGATCTGAGTTTAAAGCTCTCCTCCAGGGCTCCCAGCTGCTACAAATAGCCACTGCCTACGCAAGGCCCAAAACTCATGACCAGGGTGTCTTTCAGATTCATTCATGTTTGATAATTTTTACTTTTAATTTATTCATTCACTTATTCAACACATGATTAAATAAATATTGAGTCTGTGGTCTTTTTCAATGTACCAAGTTATGCTATGTGCTTGGATAAAAAAGAGATTGACATAGTTTTTTCTCTCGTTGAAGTTTGGGTCTAGTGGAAGTATAGTAATTATCAAGTATATTCAGTACTTACTACATATAAAGTGCCGGGCTTACTATTTTTTTTAAATTTATTCCTCGTAATTCTACAATGTAGTAGGTAGAAACTTATACAGGAGAGCTATATTATCATGTCAGATGCAATATATACATCTAATTGTACTAAAACCACTAAAACTAAACAAAGAAAGAAATACAACATTCAAGGGTTGAGAAGTAGAGGAAACCAAAACAATATAAGTAAGTGGATGAGTGAGCTGACTTAGCAGATTGCATCTTGAATGGAGCCTAATCCTTATCCAACAATTCCCATCCCAGGGACCCCCAAGAGGGCATTAGGTCAGGATAAGGAGCTGGGGAAGTTAAAATAAGGAGGACAAAAGGGAAAAACAAGATTCCTGGGTTTCCTCTCCTCTCCATGCCTCTGGATGCTGATTCTCACTTCTTAGAGCAAAAGTCTGAAGACATATTTTTGGTAAGAGTATCCATTCTGAACTCAGAAGTTTAAATTAATTTATGCACATTTATGCTGAATGACAGACTGTCTTCTCTCTTCTCACATTTGCTTCTTACATTTTCTTCCAAGTTTAACATATTGACTTCTACCCTCCAGACAAGAAGCTAGAATGTTTCTGTGATGGAAACCTGAACATATTAAGGAAAAAGATTAAAGATTTTGCTGTCTGGTGTACCCCAATAACTTACCTTCCTGAGTCATGCTATATGGAAGCTCAAATTTGACAACTCTCACCCATTCAAAGCTTCTAAATTATAACTAGCTCCACAACCTCTATCATTAGCAACAACCAACAGACAAGTAGTATAAATTTAAGGTGAAGGTTAGCATACAAAATAAGCAAACGAACAAACAAAAAATTAACTTGGAGGAAAACAAAATAAAAAAAAAACTAAAAGAAAAGTTATTGTTATGAATATTGTCAGAGAGAAATGGGAGAATATTATATATATAAAGTAATATAGGATGTGCTAAGAAAATACACACTCTAGGAATAAAGAAAATGCTGCTTGGAGGTTAAAAACAATAGTAATGGTGAAACATCTGTTGAAACATATAGAATCTATGGGAGGTAATGGAAGGAATCCTTCACAAAAGGAAATGAATGAAATATATACCTTCTGGGAGGTATTTCCCAGAAGGTGCAGCATTTGAATAAGACCCTAGAAAATAACAAATGGAAAGAAAGAATTCATTATTTAAATAATTCAAGAAAATTTCTCAGTTTGTAGTTTAAAAAGGTGCCATCAAATGCCCTGTCCATGAGATGAAAAATCACCCCATTAAATGCCAGACTCTCAAATATAAAAAGAATATTCTGAAACATTTTTAGGTAGAAGAAAATAAAACAAACAAATTACAGATTACATGCAATGGAGTGGAACCAGATGACTTCATATTTATTAACACCAACCCTAGGCACTAAGAGACAATGTAGCAACATCTTCAAAATTCTGAACAAAAATTATTTCTTTCTTAAAATTTTATACCAAGTCACAGTATCATTCAATAAGGAAGACTGAAAAAAAAACCCCACATTTCCTAAACATGCTAATTTTTTTTAATTACCACCCACATTCCCTTTTCCAGAAAGATGTGGAAGAGCATAAAAGACAATGAATGAATTCACATTGTTCCACTTAACATCGGGGCTAATGACAGAACAATGTTCTGTATTTAGTGTCATTCATTCATTGTCCTCTGCATCTAACTGGCAGTAGGGAGAAAAAGAAGATGGAGGAAGCCTGCATACTCCTTAAAAGTACTTCCGCAGAAGAGACATATAACTTATTTTCACATTTTATTGGTAAGACCTAATCACATAACCACTAGATTAAAAAGGGTCTTGGACATATAGTCTCAGGTTGAGCATCTGCTCCCAAGTAATATATCTATACTATGAATGGGAAAGCAAATATTTAGATAGACACCTAGTTATCTGTTATATAGAGAAAATTGGAAAAATATGACATATTTTATTAAGTAGGTACACACAATAAAATAATAGCCAATAAAAAGAGAAGCTTACTACAAACTAGATATGATCTGATTACTAGGCTAAATTCACTGAAAAAAAGTGCAAAGTGTAAGAACCTGCAAAATGCAAACATTCATGCAAAAAAAGAGAAAAATATATATACTTTATATACACAAAATGTCACTGGAAACACAAAGATAAGACTATACTCCATTTGTATATTTATATTAATCAAGGTGTTACTTTTATTTCTGGAATTGTTAGGTTCTATTTACTTTTCAAGTTTTCTTTTTACACTCAAGTGTAATTGGAAGCTTAACTGTTCCATTAACTGTGTTCTCCTTGAAAAATGGTAATGTTTCTTACAATAATAATAATGCGTGTGTATGTATAAGCAATTACGATTTCTAGACTCAGCAAATTATCCAAATAAAGTAATGGTAGTTAAAGAGGATACTATGTGCTTAATGGATCATGAAACACATTAAAAAATGTCTCTTACCACTTCTAATATGTTCCCCAGGGATGGCAGTTGTATCTCAGACTGTCTCCCTCATTCTATATTTTCTACCCAAAAGATCTATTTCTTGTAGGCTACATATGGCCTCTTGTTTCTCCCCTTTTCCATATGTATTAGTCAGGATTCTCTAGAGAAACAGAACCAATAAGAAGTTACATATATGTTAGAAATGCATATATATATATAAAATAAGATACTGGCTTATGCAATTATGGAGCCTAAGAAATCCCACCATATGCCATTTGCAAGCTGGAGACACAGGAAGGCCCGTAGTGTAGTTCTAAGGCCTAAGAGAGAGAGGGCTGATGATATAGACTCCAATCCATATCTGAAGATCTAAGAACCAGGACTGCTAAGGGCAGGAGAATATCAGTGTTCCAGCTCAAGCAGGTAGGCTGAGGACAGCAATTTTGAAGTTTTTCCACTTTTGTTCTGTTCAGGCCCTCAATAAGTTAAAAGATGCCCATTCACATTGAGGAGGGTCATCTGCTTTACTCCCTCCACATCCATTATTTAAGTACTAATCTCTTCTAGAAACACCCTCACAGAAACACCAAGAAATAATGTTTGATCAGATATCTGGATACATTGTAGCCTAGTGAAGTTGACACATACAATTAACCATCACAATTTCACCACTTATGAACTTGGTATCCATACACATATACTTAAACCACACTTAATATCCAAATAAAGGCACTAACAAGGTCATGATTCCACTTAAAATGATATGACTACCCTGCTTACAACAAAAAATGCACTAACCCTTTTCCAAGAAGAGGAGGTAAAGTCTTTGAGTGATGTTTACTCTTCTTAATATCCTGTAACATAAATACTAAATACCATGATGTAAAATAATTAATGACTGTAATATAAAATGCTTAAATAGTTAAATTTGAATACTTAAATAAGTTAATACATTTTATGTTACAAAAATGATAACAGAGTAAAGAAAAAAAAGATATTTCACGCACACCCATACACACACACACACAAAGTATTCATCACAAATGAAGGAAGAAATGCTCTTAACAATTACAATCTTTTTTTCTTTAATTGGTCTTGGTATTACACCTAGTCCTTACAACTATCTTAGTTCACTACTCATTCTATAGTTCCTTTGCCTTCAGCAAGCACCTCAGGCAGTTGTAGTTTGCTACATTTTGGACTCTCCATACTTCTGAATCAACAGCCAAAGAAGGGAATTACTGGGATGGCTGAAGCAATTGATCCTGACTATCAGGAGGAAATTGAACTACTACTCCACAGCAGAGGTAAGGAGAAGTATTTCTGGAATACAGGATACCCTTTAGGGTATCTTTTAGTGAAAACATGCCAGATAGAACTACTGAAACCAGGTAGAAGTACTGAAAACACAGACCTCTAGTTAAATTGAATGATTGTTGTGTCTCCTGGTAGAAACACTCCCTCCTCTGGAGCTAAGACCTCTAGTGTAGCAGAGCATAAGGTTGTTGAAACAGAAAGCAAAAATAGTGAGTGGTGCCACAAAGTAAGAGCCGAGTGGTGCCAATCCCATTACCACTCTTTGATTCCTGGACCTGTGACTCCTAGCTATGGGAGTAACAGCAACATATATTGGATGTTGATTCAGAGCATATGCAGCTTTCTGAAGAACCTTATTCCAACCCTGTAAGGTATTGCTATTTAGCTAGCACTGTAACTGAATCTTCAAAAGGCCATTTGACCTCTTAACAAGGCAGCTGTTTCAGGAAGGTAAGGAACACGGTAAGACCAATGAATGGATGGACATGGATCCATTGTTCACTTCTTTTGCTGTGATATCAGTTTCTTGATCAGAAACAATGCTGTATAGAATATCAGGTTGGTGGATTAAGCATTCTGTAGGTCTACAGGTAGTATTTTTTGGTAGAAGCTCTGCATGCAGGGAATGCAAATTTGTAATCAGAGTAAGGGTCTATTCTCATGTAAACAAAACACTGTTCCTTCTGTGATGGAAATAATCCAATGTAATCTACCTGCCACCAGGTAACTAGCTAATAAACCTAAGGAATGGCATTATATTTAGGGCTAAGTGGTGGTCTCCACTGCTGACAGATTGGGCACTTAACAATGGCCATAGACAACTAGGTCTTAGTGAGTGGAAGTGAATGTTGCTGAGACCATGCTTTTAACCTCCATCCCTGCCATTGTGATGCCTTTGTGCATTAGCCTATTGGGCAATGACAGGAGGGGCTGTGGAAAGAGTGTTGCTTATACCCATAAAATGGGTCATCTTATCAACTTGATTATTAAAATCATCCTCTGCTGATGTCAGCCTTTGGTGTGCCTTCACAGGGGACATAAATATCTTCCTTTTTAAACCCACTCAGAAATATCTATCCACTTACCTATCTCCAAAATTACCTTATTGTCAATTTTTGAATAATGTTTCTTCCAAGTCCACACCCATTCAGCTAAATCACTGGAATAGCCCATAAGTTGGTATAAAATTGCATGTCTGGTCATTTCTCCTCCTAAGGAAAATGAACAACTAGGTACATTACTAAAAATTCTGCTCACTAAGAGGATTTCCTTTTATAACCATCTTTCAAAGGTGTCCCAGAGAGGGTCTATAGTGCTGCACCTGTCTACTTTAAGGTGGTGCCTGCATATAATGCACAGCCATCTGTAAACGAGGCTCAAGTCTTCTCTTCTGTCAGTTGATCATAGAGAACTTGCCATGAAACTACAGGTACAAGCTATGAGAGTTAAAACAGCATAGCAAGAGTTAAAACAGCATAGAGGAACTAGGAGCATTCGAGACCTTCAAGTAACTTACTTGTGCCTTCAGAGCTTCCTCAGGTCTAGTCACATAACCCTTCCATTAGATCAAGAAGGGTTGTTATGCACAGCCAACTTTATGATTTACTGAGTCAAATAATACCCAATTTATGGTAAGTAGCTCAGGTTGCATGGTTACTTGGTAGCCCATGATTGAGCATTCAGTCTCTACTAAGACCTACTAGCAGGCAAAGAGCTGTTTCTAGAAAGGAGAGTGATCGTCTACAGAGAATGGCAGCATCTTGGTCCAAAATCCTAAAAGCCTGCACTGTGATTCACTTACAGAGGTCTGCCCAAGGCTCCATACATTATCCCTATTTATCACTGACACATTAAGCACCATTGGATCTGCTAGATCATATGGTTCAAGAGGCAGAGTAGCATGCACAGCAGCCTGGACCTGTTGTAGAGACTTCGCTTGTAATGGAACCCACTCAAAATTAGTAGTGTTCTGGGCACTTGGAGAATGATCCAGAGTAACCCACTCAAATGGGAAATATGTTGCCTCAAAAATTGAAAGAGACCCACTAGGCATTCTGCATTTTTTTTGGTTGTAGGAGGAGCTAGCTGCAATTAAACCTTCATATTAGAAGGAATATCTAGAAATGCTTGATATCTCTGGATTCCTAAAAATTTCACTGAGATATAGGTCTGTGAACTTTAGTCAGATTTATTCCCCATACCCTGACACAGAAATGTCTTACCAATAAGTCTAGAGTAGTTGCTAATTCTTGCCCACTGGATCCAAACAGTATAAAATCATCAATGTAATGGATCAGTATAATATCTCATGAAAATGAAAGGCAATAAAAATTCCTGCACACTTTTATTGTATAATTGCTTTATATTGCCGGTGGGTTATGTGCTTGAGTGTGTTTTTGTGGTAGCAGGTATCAATCTTTTGTCTCCATGTTTATGACTCCCTTAATGACCTCTTGTAAGGCTTATCTGGTGGCAACAAATTTTCTTAGTGTTTGCTTTTCTGAGAAAGCTTTTATTTCTCCTTTGCTTATGAAGCTTAGTTTAGTGGGACATGAAATGCTTGGTGGGAATTTCATTTCTTTGAGGATGTTGATAAGAGGTCCCCTATCTCTTCTGGCTTTTATGGTTTCTGCTGAGAGGTCAGCTGCTAGTCTGATGGAGCTCCCTTTGTAAGTGACCTGACCTTTCTCTCTAGCTGCCTTTAATATTTATTCATTTGCCTTGACCTTGGTGAATCTTGTTACTGCATGCCTTGGGTTGGTCATCTTGTATAGTATCTTACAAAGGTTTTCTGTATTCCTTGAATTTGCATATCCAGCTCTCTAGCAAGATTGGAAAATTTTCATGGACCGTATCTTCAGATATGTTTTCCAATTTGCTTACTCTCTTTTTCTCTCTCAGGAATGCTGATTAGTCATAGATTTGGTCTCGCTACGCAATCCCATATTTCTCAAAGATTTTGTTTTTTTTTTAATTTTTTATTTTTGTCTGACTGATTTGATTCAAATAACTGGTCTTTGAGCTCTGGGACTCTTTCCTCATCTTGGTTGATTCTGCTGTTAATACTTCCAATTGTATTGTGATATTCTTGTAGAGAATTTCTCAATTTCAGAAGTTCGTTCAGTTCTTTCTTATAATGGATATTTTGACTTTTGCCAGAGCAATCAGACAAGAGAAAGAAATAAAAGGCATCCACATAGAAAAACAAGAATTCAAACTAACTCTGTTGCTAATTATGTGATTCCATATGGAGAAAACACTAAAGACTCTGTGCAATGCAACTTATAGATTCATTGTTATTCAAACTACCAACATCATTATTCACAGAATTAGAAAACACTAGAATAATGTTTTACAATAAAATGCATATGAAACCAAAAAAGAGCCCAAATACCCAAAGTAATCCTAGAGAAAACAAAACAAAACAAAACAAAAAAACAACAACAAAAAACAAAGCTTAAGACATCACACTACCTGACTTCAAAATATATTATTAGGTTATGTAACTAAAACAGCATGGTACTAGTACAAAAACACACACATAGACCAACAAAATAGAATAGATAGAAAACTCAGAAATAAAGCCACACAGTCTTTTATATGGCCAACGGAAACAAGCAATGGGGAAAGGACTCCCTATTCAATAAAAAGTGCTGGATAACTGGCTAACCATATGCAAAGAATGAAAGTGGACCCCTACTTTTCACCATATACAAAAATCAACTCAAACTGGATTACAGATTTAAGTATAATACTTCAAGCTGTAAACATCTTAGAAGAAAACATCTGAAGTACCCTTCTCGACATTGGCCTTGGCAAATAACTTTTGTCAAAGTCCCCAAAAGCAACTGCAACATAAACAATAATTGACAACTGTGATTTAATTAAACTAAAGAGCTTCTGCACAGTAAAAGAAACTATCAACAGAGTAAACAGACAACCTACCAAATGGGAGAAAGTATTTGCAAACTATACATCTGATAAGGCCTAACACCTGGAATCTATAAGAAACAGAAAAATCAACAAGTAAAAAACAAGTAACCTCATTAAAAATTGGCAAAGGATATGTATTAGTCTGTTTTTATGCTGCTGATAAAGATATACCTGAGACTGGGCAATTTAAAAAAGAAAGAGCTTTATTGGACTTACAGTTCCGCATGGGTGGGGAGGCCTCACAATCATGGCAGAAGGCAAGGAGGAGCAAGTCACACCATACATGGATGGGAGCAGGCAAAGAGAGAGCTTGTGCAGAGAAACTCCCATTTTTAAAACCGTCAGATTTCATGAGACACATTCACTATCATGAAAACAGAATGGGAAAGACCCACCCCCATGATTCAATCATCCTCCACCAGGTCCCTACTACAACATGTGAGAATTATGGGAGCTACAAGATGAGATTTGGGTAGGGATACAGAGACAAACCATATCATTCTTCCCCTGGCTTTTCCCAAATCTCATATTTTCACATTTCAAAACCAATCACGCCTTCCAAACAGTCCCCCAAAGTCTCAACTCATTTCATCATTAACTCAAAAGTCCACAGTCCAAAGTCTCATCTTAGACAAGGCAAGTCCCTTCTGCCTTGTGTCCAAAGTGTGTAAAATTAAAAGCAAGTTAATTACCCCCTGGATACAATGGGGGTACAGGCATTGGCTAAATACAGCCATTCCTAATGGGAGAAATTGGCCAAAACAAAGGGGCTATAGGCCCCATGCAAGTCTAAAATCCAGCAGGGCAGTCAGATCTTAAAACTCCAAAATGATCTCCTTTGACTTCATGTCTCACATTCAGGTCACACTGATGCAAGAAGCAGGTTTCCTTGGGCTTGGACAGCTTCGCCCCTGTGGCATTGCAGGGTACAGCCACTCTCCCTGATGCTTTCAAAGGGTGGCATTGAGTGTCTACAGTTTTTCCAGGTGCACAGCGCAAGCTGTTGGTGGATCTACCACTCTGGGTTCTGGAGGTTGATGGTCCTCGTCTCACTGCTCCACTAGGTGGTGCCCAGTAGGGACTCCGTATGGGGGCTCTGACCCCACATTTTCCTTCTGCACTGCCCTAGTGGAGGTTATCCATGAAAGCCCCACCCCTGCAGCAAACTTCCTCCTGGACATCCATGCATTTCCATACATCTTCTGAAATGCTAGGCCGAGGTTCCCAAACCTCAATTCTTGACTTCTGTACACCCACAGGCTCAACCACATGGAAGCTGCCAAAGTTTGGGGCTTGCACCCTCTGAAACCATGGGCCAAGCTGTTCCTTGGCCCCTTTTAACAATGGCTGGAGTGGCTGGAGTGAAGGGCACCAAGTCCCTAGGCTGCACACAGCATAGGGACCCTGGGCCCAGCCCGTGAAACCATTTTTTCCTCCTAGGCTTCTGGGTCTGTGATAGGAGTGGCTGCCATGAAGATCTATGACATGCCCTGGAGACTGCTTCCTCAAAGGGATATGACCTCATCTTCATTCAAAGAGCTCTGAGTTTATAAACTGACTCAAGTCTGAGAATTGAATGAGGGATCATGACTGTTTTTATAATTTAATTTAGACTTTTGTTCACTTGACCTGGAAATTTTGCTTATACAGATCAGGTAAGTGTTTATTAGGTTTCCTATGTATTTCGTTTTAAGGAACACCATAATCGATTAGCCAATGCCATGAGTTTGTAAGAGTCTGACTCTTCTAATTGATACTTTGACTCTATGATGTATTATGGTAACCACATCCAACTTACTATTTGTGTTTGAATGCTACCACTAAGCCCACAGATCCAATTATTTCCATTCCATTTAGGTTTCCTAATTCAGTGACTATAGCTCTCACTGTAAGGTCTGCCCTTCAGGGAAGAGTAATCACAGAGTTCTTCAAGGATACTGGGGCTCCCCTCACTAATTTATTTCTCATATTATTGGTAAAAGATATGTTTTCTAGACCTTCTCAGTATGGATGAGTATGTCCTAAATGACAAATCTACCCTAACATTCCAATCTCCATAAGCTTTTATTTCTCCCTCTATATTAAACAAAGGTATGTCCTGAATATTTGGTTTACTCACTGTTGGCCATCTTTTGGTCCATGTTTCAGCTAACCAACCGACCAACAAATAAAACAACTCCAGCTCTTTGTAACTTCCAAGCTATAACATTAAGTGCAGAACCTGCATAGTGAGCCCATGTCAATAAAGTTAGACCTGATCCAACTTTATGACTTTTTGACCATTACTGCACACATTTAGTATCCATTTCTACAGGTGTTCCCTAGATTTCTATCTATATTAGTTAGAAAACTCAATTTGTTCTTCTGGAGTGTAATACACTTTCTCATGGGTCAAACATCATACCTCCCCTTTAAAGACCTGCTAAGACTTGAGTCTAGTTATAAGTCTAGAAACAAAGTAGTGTGGGGTGTGAGTCCCGAGGAGAATTAGCATTGTCTTGCATGGCAGCTACTTCTGGTGGGAAGGTATTAAATTTTTTCTCAGGCAATGCAGGATTAATTCTTCTCAGATGAGGTGGAAAGGCTGATAGTACTGTGGGTGGAGACTTCTGCTGGGGATGAATAGGGGGGTCAAGTCTGCTGAGGGTGGGAGTGTCACTCCACTGGGGTAGGGAGAATTCTTTACTGGTGAAGAAGACTCATCCAAGTTTGGGGCTCAATGCCCTCAACTTCATCATGGTCTTCCCAAATGTCCCCATTTCAACTGATAGAATCCCATTCCCTTCCAGTAAATGCTCTCATATTAACATTAGACACTCTGAGAGGCTGGAAGTTCCAATCTGCATTGTAATTCAGCCAGTCGCAAGATGATGTTCTGTGTTTCATTTTCAGGAATTCTAGCTCTGCAGCTAGAGGAGATAAAGGTCTCCTTCAGGGCATACATAGAATCTCTTGTGTCATTTATGGGGCTCTTCAGCTGGGAATTTGAATCCCTGAGCCCTTCTTTTTCTTTCCCCACTTTGCCCAGGGACATTAGGAGCAACCAACCAATTCCATTATATTTGTTAGTGTCCCAAAAATGTTTAAAGGCATATGCAGAGTCACCTAGCTCCTTTCTTCTTATAAGTCATTCTTATAAGAAGTTGATTAGGAGGGGCAAGCAATACAGATATTTTGTATATCTCTGTAAACAGTTCATAATACCATGGACTATCAACGCTCTCTTACTACTAGAATTAGGGTCATTAGTGTCTTTAAATCTAATCATATTAGAAAGCCAGTTCCAGAAACCCAAGAACCAATTCAGAAAACATATCCTTAAAGTCTGTTTCTCAAGATCCATTTTTGCTACCAAAATATTTATTAGTAAAGGTTCTCCAGATAAACAGAACCAGTGAAATATATAAATATGAGAAATTGGCTCATGGATTATGGAGGTTGAGAAGATCTTCAGTTTTCAGTCTGTAAGTTGCTAGAGACTCAGGAAAGCTAGTGTTGTAATCTAGTCCTGAGAACCAGAGGAGCCGATGATGTCAAATCAGTCTGAGGGCAGGGGAAGATGAAATGGCATGTCCAAGTTTATGCAGTGAAGCAAGGGTGGGGAGTGGGAGGTAAAATTTCTCTTTTTCCTGCTTTTTACTCTATTCAGGACCTGAAAGGATTGGATGATGCCCAATCACATTGTGTAGGACAATCTAGTTTACTGAGTCTATTGATTCAAATGTGAATCTCATCTGGCATACGCAGAAACAATATTTAATCTCGGTACCCTGTGGCCCTCTCAAATTGACACATGAAATTAACCATCACACTCGGCAAACAAAGGTGACACAGACAGAATATTTATTGAAGGTCAAGAAGAGAAAAAGAAACAGTTGGTATAACAGAATTCCTTTTAAAGGATACAGCAGAGTGTGAGGAAGACAGACTGTTGAAACAACTAACACTTTACCTTAATATCTTCTATCTGTGTTTCTGCTTGGTATGTGCCATTAATCTCAGCTGGACACAGTCTGTGTTCCAAATCTTTGTACATTTGGCTGGAATATTTGGCTGTTTTGCAAAAATTTTACGTGACCTATTTGGGTAAAATTTTATGTCTTAAAATCTCTTAAATAGTTGGAGACACATAATAGAAAAAAAACAAACAAGATTTTGTCAAGCCGCCATGGGTCATAGCTGGTTTTTTATTAGCCCTGTGTCCTTTCCACAGGATTACTGCATCAAAAGTCTCGGCCATGCAAGGGTATATAAGCCCAGTCCTGTCACTCCAACTTGAGACAATTCTACAGGGCCATTACAGCTTCTTCTGCAAGAACAACTGAGGCCTTATTGTGACCGCACTGCAGTTTGACGATCCCATCTGTCAATCTTGCTTGTTGTACCCTCTCCCTCAAGTATTAATCCTGGCAGCAATCTTGCATACTAATTTATGTTTTGGAATTTGCTTCCCAAGGAACTCAAAATGCAACACTATAAAACTCAGATGGTTTCATAAATGTTGTACTACACCAACCTGTATTTTTTGTTTTCAAAATTAAAGTTTTCTCCCTCCTTCATTAGGATTGATTTTGTGGCAAATATTTTGCTAGGTAATGAAATTTTGGAAGCTATGATCTGTACTCTTAAAATATTGGGTATTTTAAAATGTCATTTGTCAGCCTAAGGCTAAAGATACAATTCAGTCTTCTTAGTACTCTTGGGTGCTTCTCATTGGCCATTTAGGCTCATGCACACCACTGTTCCTTCTTATGGCTTGATTTAGGCACCCTTTCTGCCTGTATGATTTTTCTGGTTCCCTGATTTCACAAGTATGAGTCTTGTTTCATATTTATTGCTAATGTCACATTGACTATTTTTTAAATTTAAAAAATTTTGGACTATTCTTATTCTCAAGTTTTAGAGATTGTACAAAGACATTAGTAATAACATAACAGAGAGCCTTGAATTTGGAAGTTGGAAATTATGGAATGGAATTATTCACTAACTAGTTATCACTTCGCTAAAGGCTACTAATCTATAAAATGACAATTATGTGAAACACATGGCTGTGGGAAATGAGATGTGAAATCTTTCTGTTAAGTAGGCATGTACAAAGTGCAAATCATGGTGGGAAGGAGGATAGTGAGTATATTAGTCTCTGAATTCCTGAGGACTTCATTTGTAATAGGTTCTGATGAGCAATAGCATAGGGGAGTAGTGACAACATCTGTAGAGAGAGCCTGGATCAATTCAACCTCAGCCACTCTTATAGCCAAGAAGCCCAGTGCCGAGGGGAGCTGCCGCCAAACCAACGAGGTGGGGCAGACACTGTCAGCCAAGAGGCAGCTGGAGCATTTGCTTTGCTGCCTTGACAAGCAGAGGAGTTACCCAGGGACCCTGGGAAGTAAAGGATCTACCACTGACACCCATATCCAAGTCTACTGTGGAAACTTGGATGACCAAATTATATAAATCTATTAACTGTTCAACAAATATTTAGTGAGATCCTACAATGTGCAGGCCTTACTTAAGGTGGGAGTTATACAATGATGACAAAAAGCAAATGGGAACTTGTCTTAATGAGATTTCCTCCTCATGGGGAAACCACTTATTTTTCTGTTCTTTCCCCTCCGTGAATTGGGTGGGGCTATTGAAGCTACCTAAATAGATAAACAGTGATGGATAATTTCTCTGCAGAGGCCTGGTGACATACTGACTGGCTTGAAAGAGAAACAGGTTTTTGTGCCAGAATGTTTTCCTTTTCCCATTTCTAAACTGCTCCTTTTTATCCAGAGCTAGCGGGGTTAGTGGCAAGCAGGTCATAGTATGTAAAAGCAGCAACAGTCTTTCTAACTACTCTCTTCCCAGCTGAGATTCCAAAGTCTACTACTTTTTCTTTCAAATCTTACTAAGAATCAGTTAAACTTACATAGTACATCAATTTGTGTACCTTTAAATCAAATTTACTTAGGAAGCAATTAATATGCCAATCATTATATTTTATGATTCTGAATTTGATTCCCTTGGATTTGATGACTATAATGTGTGGGTTAAATATTCATGGAAAAAGAGATGCGAATCTTTTAATCTCATTCTCCCTGAAATAATCACTTCTCTTTGCAACTGTTTTTGTTACTTTCTAATTATTTAAATATTTAATCTCTTTAATTACTCCCTTCTGGAAATTGAAGGGATGTCCTGTGTATGCAATTGCCTTTCTAGCCTACCTCTCGACCCAAGAACACACTATCCTCAAATTTCTTCAGTAACAGTTTAGGAAAGAGGATTTATTATTTTTGTACTAGCCATGGAAACACTGTTTCCCTTCTTTCCCTCTCTATTTTCTTATCTTGACGGAAAAACAAAATTTAACAAAACAAAAACAAAATACTGCCTACTGGGTATTCTAGGAACTTTTAGAATAGAGAATTTAGTTGGATATTACATCACTCTATGACAAGATTCACATTTATGCTGAGAGCTCAATTGTTGTAAAGAGCTCCAGAGAGTAGTTACTCAAAAATGCTTATAAGTAGTATTACTTACTGCTGAGGTAGGTTGTAAGGTACAGTCCTATGATTGTTTGCAAAACCAGAAAGCAATTCTCTAGCTCAGCCATTCTGTGATTGGAGCCAGGAACCTTAAAATTAGAAGGCACTTTATTTTCCTGGCACACTCCTCCATGACACTTATCAGTTACAATACAAATTTTCTCAGAAATGGGTGTGGCAGTGGCAGCAGGGCTCCACCTGTCTGCCATTTTACTGAGTGGTGGATTCATAGCCATACCCTGTCAGCTGGAACTGAATTCTGGACAGCTTTTCCCAGACAGCAGGGGTCCTGCTGGAGGGGGTAAGCAAAATTCTGGGTGACACCAGGAAACTGAATATCTGGTTCAGGGGGATTGAGTGGCCTGCTATGAAATGAATATTGATAGCTCCTCAAAATTCATATGTTAAAGCCTAAATCCTCAGTGTGACAGGATTTGTCGGTGGGTACTTTGGGAGGTAATTAATTAATGAGGGTCAAGCCCCCATAAATGGAATTAGTGCCCTTATGATAAGAGACCTGAGAGAGATGCTTGCTCTTTGATCTCCTCATATGAGGATATAATAAGAAGATGGTCATCTGCAAATTAGGAAGTGGCCTGCACAAGACACCACATTTGCTGGCATTTTGATTTGGGACTTCTCGGCTTTCAGAACTGTGAGAAATGAACATTTGTTAAACTACTCAGTTTATGTCATAGTTGTAATACCAGCCCAAACTGACTAATACACAGCCCAAGTAGACTAATACAGTATACATGTGTACATATACATATGTATACACACACACATATATGTGTGTATATGTATATACTCAAACATATACATACATATATAAACACATATATATCTAGAATTTTCAAATACTCAAAATGTTATACATCAAAGTACATCAGCAAAAAATAAATCCCCCTTCCCCACATTTATCCATTCTATTTCCTTATCCAGAGATATGACCAATCTTTTTTTAAAAATTTTTATGTTTTTATTATACTTTAAGTTCTAGGGTACATGTGCACAATGTGCAGGTCTGATACATAGGTATACGTGTGCCATGTTGGCTTGCTGCACCCATCAACTCATCACTAATCCTATAAGTCTTTTCAATGTTCTTTCAGCTATTTTGGAGGTATACTTTTGATTTTATGTTGTTGTTGTTTACGCTACAATGTTAAGTCATGTCAATCAGTATTTTCAGAGAAATACCAAATTCCAAAGAAGAGATTCATTAGAAAGTCCCTTAGAGTAACATGGATGAAAACAATACATTTATTTTCACAATTAAATAAAGGTTACAGGGGTCACTGTGTTATACTCACGGAAGAATTTTAAACCTATCATTCAATTAAGTTCAATATCATATATATTTTGAATCAGGTTGAAGGAAATTCCAGTTAAATTAAATGCCAACATTAGTTTGGAGCAATTCCTTGATACTTGAGAAAAACTTTTCTCAAGTCCAAAGGGAGGAAATAGTTCACACTGGCTTATATCTGGGAGATGAGTGGAATGTATGTTTTGTAGTGAAAGGACAGTAAAGTTATCTATACTTCGTTGTAGAGTTTAATCAGAGGCAAGCCCAAAATGTTCAAGTTTTTATTCACAAAAATATTCTATTGTTCCTTGGTCCACATATCTATTCTTCTCAGGAAGCTCCTGGCAAGGCTTATGTAATTAATTGATAAATAACATTATATTTCTTGGAATAAATCCCCAATCGCATAGTTTAATTTTACTATTCCCTTCCCCCCGTTAATAAATCCTTTTAAACAAAACCTAAGTTATTCCAGTTGGAGTTGGAGAGAGGCAAAATAGAAGCAGCCTGGATGCACAAAGTGGTGATATAAGGAGATTCTGGTCATCTTCAGCTAATAAACTTCAGTTAACTTAATGCCAAGTATTGTGTCAGTTGTTGGACAAAGACCCAGATCTTGCTAGTTCATTTAACAGAAGGGACATTTATTAAACAAATTACAATATAGTAATTAGATTTATAATAAGCTGAGGTGAAGAAGGAGGATAAACAGGGAAAACTGGTACATTTTGAACCATAAAATCAGGGTCCTCGGCCAGGATTAGAAAAATGCTCTTCTTCTGGTCCTCAAATACTCTTTCTGTTCACCTGAGAGTTGGTGGGAGGCAGGATCTGGGAGACAGCAACTCCAGGACTGGCTGTATGACCAGAGTAATGTGGTGAGGATTCATACATAAAAAAGAAAACACTCTTCCTTTTTGTATCTAAACAGATTAATTGATCTTGGAACCTAGTAGTCAGTTTCCTGTCAATATAAAAATGACTGTAGTAAAGATTTTGATTTTTATAGATATTTGACTTATTAACATAATTAAAATATTACATGAGTGTGCCAAATTGTTTATAGCACTATAGTAACAAAAAATTAAAAATGTGAATATAATGCAATTAATAAAAGGCAGGTCAATGAAGTGAGCAAACCCCAGGATAAGATCCCATTCACACTGGGTTCCAGTCATGGCTGCGCGAACTTGAACAGCTGTGGATCCTGAACAAGTTCCTTAATCCTTCTGTGTCTGAATTCCTCCATCTGTGAGAATGGCATGCTCACACCTGTCCATATCTAATTTGGTAATCTTAAGTGGCTCCTACAGTCTGACGGAGTCAATTTCCTCACCCTAGGATGTGGTACATGAAGTTGTTTGGTTTGGTATTTTAAGGTTTAACAGTTTGAATATTTTAGCACTTTAATTTTAAAAGTTTAAAAATATATTATACTTGTTCTCATTTTCCTACAGTATTAAAAATTCAGTTAATCACTAAATTGATCAGTTTAAGACTACCTCTTCATTTGTACTCAAACTCTCACCTTTCAGGACAGTAGCTGTAATCTTCTTACAGATCAATTGGACACATCAATATAACAAGCAAAATCATTCACTAAAATACCTAATTATAATTTATAGCAATTAAAAATCAATTAAGTTAAAGATATATATCTTATTTTTGATGAATATACCTATATATGTATATGTATAAATTTATATATGTGACCATATTAATATTGATGAATACTTACATATACACTTGTGTAAATATATACATGTAATTTTCAATTACACAAAATTTTATACGTCAACAATTAATATCTCCAGATTAATTTAAAACATATGTAAAATATCACAATATCTATTATCTAGCTGCTTGCTTAAAAAGCAAAACCAAAACTAAAAAAACCTCACCTTATCCCAGATGTCTAAGAATTGACCTGTCACATTTATAAATAAATAGCTGTGTGTTGATTGCCGTCTAGGAAAAATATAAGAATGATAGTTATGTAAGAGAAGTCACAAAATCATTTTGTTTTATCATGACCATAAATAAAAAATGCCACATTTATGGAACATTGTAGTTTTCAAGAGAACTGAAAAAAAGCCCTGAAATATGTATTCCTTTACTTTTGCTCAAAACTAGAGCAGAGCAATAGCTTAAGCAAGGTAGGTCACAGTTTGCTTTAATTTTCATGATTTATTGGTAGAAAATCTTTTTGGAATCTAGCTAATAATTAGGTTTGGTTTTGTAGACTTTCACATGCCCTTTACTGAAGAAAGTTTTGCTTTGGAAGAGAAAGAATATATACACTTACACTACGTGTGTGTGTCTGTATATGTGTGTATATATATATATATATATATACCAGTAATTCTTGCATATTTATCAGTGATAAATTTGAAATTGCAGACTGAGGTTTTTCTCAACCTAATATCTGTGTATCACATACAAACCCTTTGGAAAGGCCATGCAAATTGTGATTTGTCCCAAGAAAAGTATATTCAAGAATGCAAATATTCAGAGAAGAGATGGAGTCATTTGTCTTTATTATACTTCAAAAAAATAGTAGAGTAGAAGATACTCAACTTTTATGTTATAGATTCTCTTCTATGGTTTTAAATATAGAAAACACATGGAAAATAAGAATAAAACCAATACTTTTGTTGTTTTAGGTGTGAGAAGAAAACATTGCTTTAAACAAAAATTTTCAAGATTTTTGTATACCAATACTTTTTCTTGTAATGTGTTGATAAACATCTGAAAAAATACCATGGACATTTTCAGATACATTCTGCAAAGACTCTCATTTATTCAACATATAAACTAGGACCTGGGAATAATTGGTTAAAAAAAAAGACCAAGTAATTACTTTCCCCTAGAATTTTAGAATTTTCTTCCTAATAAGACATAGAAACCAAATGGTGAAGATGCAAAGCTCATATGGACACACTTATTAGAGTGACTAAATTCAAAACATTGACAACAGCAAATGTTGAAGATTATATGGGACAACACAAACTCTCATTTATTGCTGGTGGGAATGCAAAAGGATAGAGCCAATTTGGAAGAGAGTTTGATGATTTCTTACAAACTTAAGCATACACTTATCATAAGACCCAGCGATTGCACTCACTGGTATTTTACCCAAATGAGTAAATGCTTATATTTACATAAAAACCTGTACATGTTTGTTTATAGCAGCTTTATTCATAATATCCAGAAGTTAGAAGCAACCCAGATGCTGTCAGTGGGTTGCTGGATAAACCAAGTGTGGAACATCCATATAATGAAATGTTATTCAACCACAAAAATAAGTTTTCAAGCCATAAGAAGATATGGAAGTGCCATAAATCATACTGTTTAGTGAAAATAGCCAGACTGAGAAGGCTACAGACCATGATTTCAACTACATAACATTCTAGAAAAGGCAAAACTATGAAGACAGTAAAAATGTCAGTGGTTGCTGGAGATCTGGAGAGAGGGAGAGAAGGGTGAATAAGTAGGGCACAGGTGATTTTTAAGGCAGTGAAACTATTCTGCGTGATATTAAGATAACGGATATTAGTATACATTTATCAAAACACATAGAGTGTGCAATACAAAAAAAAAACTGTGGACTTTAGTTAAGAATAACGTATCAGTGTTGGCTTACCAATTTTAACAAACATACCACAGGAATGCAAGATGTTACTAATAGAACAAACTGTTCTGGGGAAGAGCAGGTATATGGAAACCTTCTTTTTACTCAATTTTTCCATAAAATTAAAACTGCTAAAAAAAACTCTATTAAATAAAAGTACCATAAATCTTTTTTTTTTTTTTTTTTTTTTTTTTTTTTTGAGACAAAGTCTCTCTCTTCCGCCCAGGCTGGAGTGCAATGGCACGATATTGGCTCACTGCAACCTCCGGCTCCCAGGTTCAAGCGATTCTCCTGCCCCAGCCTCCTCAGTAGCTGGGATTACAGGTGCATGCCACCACGCCCAGCTAATTTTTGTATTCTGTTTAGAAGAGACAGGGTTTCACTATGTTGGTCAGGCTGGTCTCAAACTCCTGACCTCAAGCGATCCATCTGCCTCAGCCTCTCAAAGTGCTGGGATTACAGGCGTGAGCCAACGTGCCTGGCCTGACTATTATTTTGAATTGTCTACTTCTCCTTTTAATTCTATAAATTTTGCTTCACATATTTCGGAATTTTGTAGCTAGGTGTATGTATGTTTATAGTTGTTCAATCTGTCTGATGGACTTATCCTTTTTTCATTATAGATGTTTCTCTTTATCTGTACTAACATATTTTGTTTTAAATTCTATTTTGTTTGATATTGGTGTAGCCACTCCAACGTTATGGTTCCAGTTTGCTTGGTGAATCTTTTGCCATCCATTTACTTTTAAATTAAAAGAATGAGTCATTGTCCTCTTGCTGCTGTCAAGATTTTATGTTCGCCTTTGTCTTTCAACATTTTGACTATGAGGTGGCTGGGTTTGGATCTCCTCATATTTAGCCTACTTGGAGTTGATTGCGCTGTTTGGATGTTTAGACTGAAGTGTTTTTTTAAATCAAATTTGGGAAATTTTTGGCAATTATTTTCAAAAATATATTTTCTATTTATTTTCCTTTCTCTTCTTCTACTAATCCCCTTACATATATGTTTGTGCAGTTAATTGTGTCCCACAATTTTCTGAGTCTTGTTTTTCTTCTTCTTTCTCTGTTTATCATATTGCATCATCTGTATCAACTCTATTTTAAAATTTGCCAATTTTTATCTACCAATTTGAATCCACTGTTGAGCCCCTCTCCTTAGTTTTTCATTTCATTTATTTTACTTTTCATTTCCAGAATTTTACTTGCTTTTATAAATAATTAATTTTATTTTATTCATATTCTTTATGTGATGAGGTCCTATTACTGTACCTCTTTTTAATTTTTAAAACATTATTTCTGTTAGTTATTTGAACACAATTATATTAGCTAATTTGAAGTCTTTATTTGATCAGTTTATACTGGGGTCATCTTAAATTTAGACAGTTTCTGTTGCATGTTTTTCTTCTTGTTTATGGGTTCCTCATTTCTTTTTTACCCCTACGTTTATAATTTCGTTTAAAAATGGACATTTGAGATATTATATCAACTCTGGATATTGGTTCCCCCACTGGGGCTTGAATTTGTTGTTGTTTGTTCACTTTCTTGTCTTTTGTTTAGTGACTTGGCCAGAATTGTTCAGTGCAGTCGATTTCCCCGCCAGTGTGAAGCTTCTGTTTCAGAGAGCATTTCCCTGGGCCTAGACACAGTCAGCCTGACCACCTCTCCTCACCCTCACTCCAACAGAGTGAGAGATTTCAGATGAGCTCTCTGATTTTCTCTTTCTCCTACTTGTCTACTACGTTTGTGGCTTGTCAACCTTAATGGATATTATACACTAATTAATAGCTGATTGCTTTATTGTTTTCAGCAATGAGCTGAGGCATAAATTGCTCCACAATATGATCCAATTAGTCAGGGCCCTTTGCAGGAGTGGACCTTGAGGCTAGTCTTTGAAGCTTTCTCTGACCACAGAAGGTTTGTCTTTAGCTATATCTTTTCCTGCTTCTAGTAAACTTCTTTTTGGGCTACTATTTTTACTTCTTACTATCTTGGAACCAACAACCTCCTCTTAATTGCTCACCACCCAAATCTCCATTGTTTTTGAGAGATCTCTTAGGCTGCAACTTTCCATTCTCTGGTCCAAATGAAGTCAGTCCCCTTGGGAAGGGCTATAAAGTTCTCTGTTCTTACTACTTGTTTCTTTCCATGGAAAGACACTCTGTGCCAATTTTCTAGACCTGGAGGACTGAACAAAGTCCTGCTTTTCTTGGAGTGACAACTGTCACTTTAGGCTGGGAGTGGAGGAGAGGAATCCCCATCTACTTGGCCTCACTGCCCAAAGTAGAACTTTCACCACCCTAAGCTGAGGCGGATGATGGAGGGAGAGAGTAATAGCTCAAACGCTGTGAACTGTCATTATTTCTACAGAGATTAGTAGATTTCTTGAATAAATGTTTCTTTCTTTGCTGTATGCCCTTAGGGTGGTTACTAGAGACTTTAAATTGTTGATTTTTATATTTATCCTGAGTAATGGTTGATTTGCTGGGGAGCAGGTTCATGGAATACTTCACAACATCATGCGGAAGCATTTCACCTATTTAGGTACATATTATAGGCTTTATTAAAGAGAATAAAATGAGGATGTCGCCATGTCTGCAATTTTCTTTAAATTACTTTAGTATATAAAGTAAAATATTATGTGCCTTACTTATGTTAAGTTAAAACTGAGTCCCAATCAAGAAGAAACAGTCAAAGGGTTGCCAGTGGACATCCTATCAGAAAGGCACCAGTTCAACAGCAGTTACTAAAAATCCTCCTGTTATGCATATATCCAACAAGGACTAATACTTCACTATTTTGCATGCTAAATAGCACGTAATATGCTTTCATTGTATTATGGTGTTAAAATTGAGAAAAGTTGGTAATTGTCATTATCTATCTAACACTTCTTTGATAGTTATCTACAAAAACTAAGAGCTATCTTGAATAAATAGGTTCATGTCAGTTTGCAGCAATAGTAAATGAAGACAATAATTAATTTATTAATTTATTCAATGAACCTGTCTACAGGCCTCTGAATATATCATGATACAATGGTGGCTCACGCCGGTAATCCTAGCATTTTGGGAAGCCGAGGCAGGCGAGATCAGGTGTTCGAAACCAGCCTGGCCAACATAGTGAAACCCTGTCTCTACTAAAAATACAAAAAATTTGCCAGGCGTGGTGGCAAATGCTTGTAGTCCCAGCTACTTGGGAGGCTGAGGCAGGAGAATCACTTGAACCCAGGAGGCAGGGGTTGTGGTGAGCCGAGATCACACCACTGTACTCCAGCCTGGGCAACAGAGCGAGATTCTGTCTCAAATAATAGTAGTAATAATAATAATAATAGTAATAATAATTACCTTTGATTACAAAATAAAATAAATATACCCCAAGCCGAAAATAAAACTTCTTTGTGTCAGATTTTATGTAAGTGATAAAGCAATACACTTCAGCAAAACAGTGAATTCATTCTGATCGTTCTATGCTGTGGTGTAAAAAGTTTCATAACCCCATGTGTAATTATATACTGTATTCAATTTATAGTAAGTTCTTAATTATCCTTGAATAGCCTAGCTTTCCATTCTTCGATGTTATGACAGATTATTGAGCAAAAAGTCATCTATGCTGAAAATATAATCTCATTCAATAATCGATTAACCAGTAAGTATATGAAATGTCCCACATAGTGGTAATAAAAAAAAGCTTATAATCTAGCTTGGAATATAAAAGTAATATATTTTATCAGTACAATCATCAAAGAGTTATTAAATATTAAATGTACAGACTCCTATGCATAGAACCTTGTATTCAAGGGATATAGTTTATTGTAGAGATAAGTCTTATAAACTGCCATTCACAATTCAAAAAGCAAAAAGATATTACACGCAGTAAATTTTCCATATATGTGTTCATTTTTTATAGTATTATCCTCCACTAAATATAGTGTCAATAATTTTATTGAATTTCATTACTTTATGTCCAGTTTCTGGAAAAGCACTATGGTGAATCATGTTTGCTAAATTAATAATTACTTAATAAAGAAGTGAACAAATGTTCTCTTTCTCTCTCTCTGTCTCTATTATATGTATATATTTATACATGTAATTTTTATGCACTCTTTTGGCTGGTGCAGTTGTATTCATAAACAGTCTTTGTAGTAGTGAGCAATTACTGCAAACCTAGATGAGTGTTTATGTGTGCTTGACCAGAGAAAGCTATTAATCCCTATTGATCTTTCCATGCTAACAAGCACGCATAGATAGTGACTTTTTAAATTTTTACTGGTATTCTTTAAGAAGTTTTGGTGTTAAATGCTCCAAGACATACTGCGTTGATATTTTGAGGGATTTATTGTTATTATCTTCAAGAAATAACATGGAAATACTGTGTTGCACTGTGGAGAGATGAAATTATCTTTGGACGACATTATCTTATGGTAGGATTTCCAGCATGTCTGGCAATCCATCCTACCCTGTCCCGATCATATTAAACTCAGCAGACTTTTAAAGAAATGGTAGCTCATTTTTTATTAATGGCGAATCGTTTTATATTTTTAAAAGTTCTGCTGGCACGATAGGACCAGTAGTGAAGCTTAGGAAGCTGAGGATTCAGTCGTTCATTTTCACAGAAACCTTTTAAGGACCTCAAAGAAGGCCATGCAGAGTGTTCATAGGGTCATAGTATTTTTCACAATTTGAAAAAGTAAGATACTTTAAGTATAATTAATTCAGAGCCTAGCCTATTTTTATTCCAGCTTTTCTTTCTGCAACACCAGCATTTCTGAGAGCATGTGAATGGGAATTGAGTTAAGCATACATTTAGTTTGTGCTTAGTAGGATATATATTTCTGTGACTCCAGAGTGACTTCAGGTATATAATTAAATTACTGTTGTCTATCTGAGTGAAAGGGTGACATCTGAAATTATCCTACAATTCATTATGTCAGCTCAACTGGTATCTGCACACAGAAATATAGAAACTGGATTCACATTGCCATTTGAACTGGGAGTATGTGAATAGGTGAGAAGACACAAGGTTTGAAAAGCATGAAGCCAAAAGATCACCTTTGGAAAACTCTTCTAAACATTATAGCTCATGTATGAAAGTTGAAAGATTTTCCCCTGGAATTCCTCTTATTATCAATAAATTGCAAAGCTGAAACTTTCTAAACTATTAATAATAAGAAGAAATATTTCTACTAGCCATGTAGAAAGAATTATTCTCTAATTTTCTCTAATAAATGAAATAATAAAGGTTGTTGTTGTGTAAATAGGTGATAAAAAATATGGAGCCAAAAATGCAGTTGTGCCTGGGAGTTAATTGATTAAAGTAATATGTTCTCTTTTTAGACTTATCTGATGTTTGTGATAGTTTTTAGTTTACTAAACTGTGTATCATGCAATTTATTTTTTCACTCTAAATTGACATTCTTTTAGATAATTGTAATTTTATGTTTCTTCTTAAAGAACCAACTAAATTTGAAAAATACATTTTAGAGAGTACAAAACTATGATTTTTTTCACTGGTAAACCAAACTATTGTAGTTTTGGAAGAGATTACTAATTCTTTAAACAGAAAAATATAAAGAACACAACAGGTTAAAATACATTCTTTCTGTAACACATATATTCTAGAAAAATTGTTTGTCACATTTTAGAAGTCCATTTTGTTTTATGGGATGAAGATAAGCCTAACTTTTATGCAAGACTAAAGCTTATTTGATTATAATATCCTTATAGGCAAGGAAAAGATGAAAAGAATACAATTTATCTATTAATTTTTGTTGATATACTCTTGCAAACATAAAATAATCTTAAAGGTTTTGTGAAAATATAATTATGTATTAATGTCTCAATTCTAGTGATTAGGCATCTCATGCAGATTTTACTGTATAATTGAGTTTATTCCCCCTTAATTATATACATTTATTATGTTTATGATATTGTGGTCATTTTGCAATTAAAAAAATACCTTCTTTAAAAGAGAAGTTTAAGCAAATTAGAAAGAAATCAGTGGCTTTTACATTTTTTGTTAAATATTCAACTTTTGGTTAGAAACTATGTTAACTTATCTTCTTTTTAAACAAAAAGCATTTTTTTTTAATTCAAGATTGCCTTACCAATAGCTTTTTTTTAATATGTAAAGGGAAAACTATTATTTTTATGGTTAAATTTTATCTTTTGAAACAAAGAAAAACCATAGCATTTGACGTGTTCAAAAATTCAGGGTATTCAATCAATTCAACAAGAATTAATTAGTTTTTACGTGAAGATCTTAACATTTGTCTCTATTTTACAACATATGGTTTATAAAACCACGAGTCTTGCTTCATGGCTTTCTCTCTTTAACCACTCGTATCCCATTAGTCACCAATAAATGTAAGCAATATTTAATAGGTGCTAGACAAGGATCCATGCACTTTGCATATATTAATTACTTTACTTTCTGTAATGACTACATAAAGTAAATACTTGCACGACTCCCAACATACTGATATAAAGAATATAGAGGTAGATTACTGTGGAAAGTTTTATTGTTTGTACATAGCCTGGTCAAGATTTGAACACAGCTGGAATGGTTCACAGGTCCAGGAACTTAACTATAGTGCTCTGATTTTTAGGTATTATGGATGTTACTCTCAAACATCTCTGCAATCCAATCACCTTTTGCCATCATTATTGTTATAGTCCAGGTTTACAACATATTCTGCTTCAAAAACAATTCTGCTGAAGCTTCCTTATTCAGCTCAGGCTGCTATAACAAACTACAGTAGACTGAGTGACTTAAACAACAGATATTTATTTATCAAAGTTCTGGAGGCAAGGAAGTCCAAGGTCAAGGTGCCAGCAGCTTTAGTTTTTGGTGAGGGCCCTCTTTAGATTTTACAGGGGGGCACCATTTGTTGTGTCCTAATATGATGGAGAGAAATTAACTTCTGGTCTGTCTTCTCTTCTTACCAGGACATTCATCCCATTATAGTGACCCCCTCTTATGACCACATCTCAATTTAATTATGTCCGAAGTACCCCACCTGCTAAAACAATCGAATTGGAGGTTAGGGTTTAAACATAAAAATTTTGGGGAGACACAACCTTCTGTTCATAACACCCTCTTACTGGGTTCTCTTCATCCACTCTTTCTTTCCTTCAATCCATTCCCTATACAGTGGTCAAATAATGTTTAAATAAATTAATCATAACATGTCACTATTTTTCTTAAAATTTAGTATAAAGTCAAGAATCTGTAACATAGTTTGCAAGACATTGCATAACCTGGCCCTTGTACTCCCACACTCTCATCTCCTGCTTTCTCTCTGCTTCCTCTTCTCCATTCACTTGGGACCATATCATAGTCATGATAGGTGGTCTGTTCATTACTTACAGGTCCTGCTCTAGGAGTTTACTATATGTAAATTTCAACAACACACCCTAGCTAGGAATTGGGCATGATTACTTACAGATATGGAACTGGAGATTAGGAGCTGGGTAACTTGACTATGTTTTTATTGACTTCAAATTGTTTCTTGAAACAGACCATTCCTTCTCCCCAGAAATTTTTTCCCCATGCGCTCTCTACATCTTCTGGATCATTTCTCCTGAACCAGTCTCAGAAAGGAACTAAGTTAGCTCTCCTTTTATGTATCCTGGAAATATTTCACACTTGCCAGGCAAAGTTGCTATTTGTCTTTCCCTTTAAGTTAGGCCCCTCCTAGGAAAAGCCTAGGTCTGTATTACTCACCATGTTTTCCTGACATTTAGCATAACATAGATGCTCAAAAAATATTTGTCAAATTATCTACTGAACAGATTAATAAAAATTGTATTAAACCCGGTAATTAACATACATATTTCTTCTTCATTTTTCAGAGAAACAGCAATTCCCATTTTAATGGTGAGTAAAGTTGGTCATGGAGAAAAAGTTGTTGAGGTCAATGGTCAGATATTTATACGACCTGAAAGAGTATGTTCCAATATGATTAACAAGATATTAAGTGGTTTTGTTTTATTAAAATAATGTCACAAAAAATAATTAAAATGAATATAGTGCCCTAAATAGCCAAGGAAATCATGAACAAAAGGACAACAAAGGGAGAAGTGTTATATGATCTGATTTCAAGCTATACCACGAAGCTACAGTAATTAAAACAGCAGGGTGCTGGCATAGAAGTAGACACATTTATTAATAACACAAAATAGAGAGTCCAAAAATGAACCCATATATGTGTGATCAATTGATTTTTGACAAAGGTGCCAAGAATACATCATGGAAAAAAAATAGTGTCTTCAAGAAGTTGTTCTGGAAAAGCTGGATAATCACATACAGAAGAATGAAATTGGACTCATCTCACACCACATACAAAAATCAACTCAAATTGAATTCAAGATTTAAATATAGGACCAGAAACCATAAACGATTAAGAGAAAATGAAGGAAAAAAAAACTACGTGACATTGGTGAGGGCAATGATTTTTTGGATTTGATCCCCAAAGTATAGGCAACAAAAACAAAAATAGACAAAGGGGAATATATTAAACTAAAAAGCTTCTGTGCAATGAAGAAAACAATTAATGTGTAAGGAGTCAACCTACGGATTCGGTGAAAATATTTTCTAGCCATATGTCTCATAAAGTGTTAGTGTTGAAAATATATAAGGAACTCAAATAACTCAATAGCAAGAAAACAGATAACCCAATTTAAAATTGGGCAAGTTTTCTGAATAGACATTTCTCCACAGAAGACAAACAAATGACCAACAGATATATCAAAAAATGCTCAGAACTACTAATCAAGAATGGCTATTATCATCAGAAAGACAAAAGGTAACAAATGTTGGCAAGGATGTGGAAAAAAAAAGAACCCGTGTACACTGTTGGTGGGGTTTTAAATTAGTACAGCTTTTATGAAAGACTGTATAAACGTTCCTCAAAAACTAAAACTAGAATTGCCATGTGATCCTGCAGTCCCCCTTTGGGCTATTTACCCAAAATATTTGAAATCAGTATGTCAAAGAGATGTTTGTACTCTCATGTTCATTGCAGCACTATGGACAATAGTCAAGTTATAGAATTAACCTAGGTGTCTATCAGTGGATGAATGGATAAGTAAATATGGTACCTATATACAATGGGATACTATTCAGCCTTTAAAAGAAGGAAATTCTGTCATTTGTGGCAACATGGATGAGATTAGAGAACTCTATGCTAAGTGAAATGAGCCAGACACAGGAAGACAGATATAGTATGATCTTACCTATATGTTAAGTCAAAAACAGTCAAACTCAAAGAAGCAGAGAGTAAAATGGGGGTTACAGAGGCTAGCAGGGGAGGAATATGGGGACATGATGGCCAAAAATCCAGTTAGACAGGAGAAATAAATTTTTTTTTGAAATCTATTGCACGGCTTGGTGAGTACAGTTAATAACTGCATATTTTACATTTCAAAATTCCTTAGGAAGTATATTTCAAATGGCCTCACCACAAAAAATGCTAAATATTTGAGGTGATGGATATATTAGTTAGTTTGATTTAATTATTTCACATTGTATTCATAACTCAGAACATCATTTTGTACCTTGGTTTCATTTTATTCTTCTTATTAGCAACATGCTATTTTGTGAGATATAAAAAGCTCCTTGGTGAATCTGAAAAGAGAAAAACATAAAGGATTCAACTACTTGCCAATGGTAAATGTCTTTCCATTGATTTGTTCTTATCTCCATTATGGCTGTCACTTTTTGTTATTCTTTTAATAGGCATTGAATGGTATAAAGTTATCTTGTGGAAGGAATCTTGGAATACCAAATGGATTGTTGTTTGAAACCAAAAGAGAAGCACTTCCACAGGTGATAGAATTTATCTATAACAACTGTTCAGTTTGTCAAACAGAACCAAATTTGTGCACATAAATTAAAGAAAGGCATGTAAAACAGAATATTAAAAGTTCCAGTCCACATTATCATGTTTGTGCATTGAAAATATTATTTTCATCACCTCTTTTTCTGTAAAAATCAGATCATGATCCTCACTGAAACATTTACAGATTCTTCTGGCCCACTCTGATAAGACATGTTTACATTAGGAACACTTCTTAAGTTAAAGAAGCTTTACAGAAAAAAACACATCAAGTGAAAACTGTGAGTCACAGTGCTTTTGAGAAATGTTTGTTCAAAATTTTAAAGACACTTACTTATAGACTCTCACTAATTAAACTTGTTTATAGTGAAGTGTTTCAGAAATGTGTGTTCTATTTATTAAAAATTGCATTTGATTAAAAAATTACTTTTAAAAATTTTTTCAAGCATCAGCAATGATCGTTGCTCTAAATAACTTGATTAGAATACTTCAATATGTGTGACTGTTTTATGATTTTTTTATGTTTTTGTCTTTGATGAGAGGGACTCTTGCTGTTACAAGTGTGATAGTGGTATTTAGCTTACATAAAACTGTTTTACTGGCTTCATCCTATCTAATTCTCATTTGTAACATTGGGGCATTCAAAATATCCCAAGTGCCGACATGTGAAATACTTCCAAATTACTCGACATTATTTCCAGTAGTTTTTTTTTTGGCCTTTACCATGAATAAACAGCAAATTTCAGCAGTGTTAGAGATAAAAATTGTTGATTTGTAATCTTCTACAGGAGAACTGATTTGTGAGTAGATCACACAAATAAACAACTTTACATAGCAAAGTCATGGATTGATAGAGCTCACCTACTTGCCTCTTACTGTTGTTGTTGTTGTTGTTGTTGTTGTTGTTGTTGTTGTTGTTTGAGACGAAGAAATCTTGCTCTTTTGCCCAGGCTGGAGTGCAATGGCATGATCTTGGCTCACTGCAACCTCCGCCTCCCGGGTTCAAGTGATTCGCCTGTCTCAGCCTCCCAAGTAGCTGGGATTACAGCCAGGAATCACCACACCCGGCCCCTCTTACTGTTGATTGGTACGCACCCAGATGTGTCCTTTAGTGTGTGTCCTAGGTCCATCCAGGTCAATGGCTGTTGATTTAAACGAGACATGAACACATTAACCTAGCATCTGTGTTTTAAATATGACATTCATTTCTGGCACAAATAACAAATTTAATCCATAGTTAGCAATTGGTTGCAGCTGTGGTAAAGCATATGTGGGAGGTGAAGGTTACAGATCCATATAAAAACCCCTTTAAACCATAGCATCAGTGCTAAGGCTAAGCACTGTTCTGGAACACATGATGCAAACATACACAAAACTATTTTTTATATAATTTCAACTTTTATTATAGATTAAGGGATATATGGGCAGGTTTGTTACATACATGTGCAGGTTTGAGGTGATGGGCATATTAGTTTGATTTAATTATTTCACATTGTATTAATAAGTCAGAACATCATTAAACTAAAAAGCTTCTATACAGCCAAAAAAAAAATACCAACAGTGTAAAAAGACAGCCTGAAGAATGGGGGAAATATTTGCAAATTATGCATCTGACAAAGGTATAACTTCCAGAACTTATAAGAAACTTAAACCAACAAGCAAAAAACAAGTAATTCAATTTAAAACATTGGCAAATGCATGTGAACAGACATTTCTCAAAAGAAGACATTGAAACTAGCCAACAAATATATAAAACAATGCAAAACTTTTTATTGTTTATTTCTTATCTTGTGAAACATTTCCTCCTCTTGGGGTTAGAAAACCCTGAGGTTTGGTGAATATGAAATGAAACTCTTCAGAATACTAATTGTTTACTGCAAACCCAGAGGGAAGGATAGAGAAGGGATAAAAATGATCCCATCACCCTGGTAGTCAGCATAGCTCCCAATAGGTGGTTTTTCAGACCTGTCCCCCTCTCTCCTTCCCCTGACTAGTAGGCCCCAGTGTCTATTGTTCCCATCTTTGTGTCTATGTGCATTCAATATTTGTCTCCCACTTGTAAGTGAGAACATGCAGTATTTGGTTTTCTGTTCTTGCATTAATTCACTTAGGATAATGGCCTCCAGCTCCATCCATGTTGCTGCAAAGGACATGATTTAATTCTTATGGCAGCATCGTATTCTGTGGTGTACATGTACCCTGTTTTCTTTATCCGGTCTACCATTGATAGGCATTGAATTTGATTCCATAACTTAGTTATTGTGTATAGTGCTGCAATTAACATGCACGTGCATATGTCTCTATGGTGGAACATTTTATATTCCTTTGGGTATATACCCAGTAAAGGAGTTGGTAGGTCAAATGGTAGCTCTGACTTAAGTTTTTTTGAGAAATAAGCAAACTGCTTTCTACAGTGGCTGAACTCGTCTGCATTCTCACCAACAGTGTATTGCCTTTTCTTTGCAGTCTTGCCAGCATGTTATTTTTTGACTTTTTAATAATAGTCGTTCTGACTGGTGTGAAATGATATCTCACTGTGGTTTTGATGTGCATTTCTCTGATGATTTGTGCTCATATGGAACCAAAAAAGAGTACAAATAGCCAAAACAATTTTAAGCAAAAAGAACAAATCTGGAAGCTTCACATTATCTGACTTAAGCTATACTACAAGGCTACAGTAACAGAAACAGCATGGTACTGGTACAAAAATAGACACATAGATCAATGGAACATAATGGAGAAAGCCGATGTAAACCCACACACCTAAAACCATTTGATCTTTGACAAAATAGAAAAAAAAAGCTTTGCGGAAAAGGACCCCCTATTCAATAAATGGTACTGGGATAACTGGCTAGCCATATGTAGAAGACTGGAACTGGATCCCTACCTCTTACTATATACAAAAATTAACTCAAGATGGAGTAAATATTTAAATGTAAGACCTCAAACTATAAAAATACTGGAAAAAAACCTAAGAAATACCCTTCTCAATATTAGTTTTGGCAAATAATTTATGGCTAGGTCTCCAAGAGCAATTGCAATGACAACAACAATTAATTAGTGGAACCTGATTAAACTAAAAAGCTTCTGTACAGAAAAAAAATACCAACATTATAAAAAGACAGCCTAAAAAATGGGGGAAAATATTTACATACTATGCATCTGACAAAGGTATAACTTCCAGAATTTATAAGAAACTAAACCAACAAGCAAAAAAAAAAAAAATTCAATTTGAAACATTGGCAAATGCATGTGAACAGACGCTTCTCAAAAGAAGACATTACAAGTAGCCAACAAACGTATGAAACAATGCAAAACTTTTTATTGTTTATTTCTTATCTTGTGAAACATTTCCTCTTCATGGGGTTAGAAAACCCTGATGTTTGGTGAATATAAAATGAAACTCTTCACAATATGAATTGTTTACTGTAAACACAGAGGGAATGATAGAGAAGGGATAAATATGTGGGCTTTGAAGTCAGTTGGAGTAGACTTGTATCCTGGCTTTATTACTTTTTATCTTTGTGATTTTATAATAGGTAAGTTACTTAATCCCTGCAGACTTCTTTCTCTATCTCAAACAGGTGTAAAATAGCTGTAACTTAAAGAGATGTCATAAATATAGATAACGCCTCTAGAATCCAAAAAGCTCTCAAAATTAGAATATATATATATTTTAAGTTACTTGGTGACAAAAACTAAATTCATTCCTTTTAAGTGGCATGACTATTAACATGTCTCATTTCAGAAGTACCATCACATTTAATTACAAGGTGTCACTCCCTACCCTTGCATAAGGCATTGGCATTATAGTTCACACACTCTCTCTCTCTCTCTCTGAGTGTATATACATAGTATATGTGTGGGTGTGAATGTGTATATATATACACACATGCACATATATATATACACATATGCACATATGTGTGTGTGTTTATGTATATGTATGTATCTCCTTTCTAAAATCTAAAATTTCTAAAATCCAGAGCCCTGGAGTTTGGAATAAATTATTGTGAATTTACAATAATCAAATTAATGATCATAAATTAATTAGGCAAAAGTCAAGAAGATACTATTCTAACATTTGCCAAGCACTTATTCTAGGTCAGTCTCCTTTCATGGCAACCTAGCCTATGGGACTCTGGTTTCCATAAATATTCTGAATAGATATGAGAGTGAAGACTAAAATAATGCCCTTTAGATGACATAGTGAGAGAAGAATCCAACATTTGTTTTATTTATACCTAAATTCTAAAGCTTTTTGAGCCCGATGTGGTAAATGGAACACAGACTTACAATTTTCAGAATCAAAATGTGTAAAGCTTTATGATGGTAAAATGGAAACACTCAGGTTAATGGTATTTATTTATTTTTATTTTTTATTTCATAATAATATACTTGCTATAATGATTTACCTCCTTCTCTCCCCCAACATACAATTTTTTTGGCTCAATTACAATGGTGGAAATTGTATAGAAAATCCATTCTCCTCAAAACAATTTTATTATAGTCAGTCTCCAGAAATGATAGAAAGGGAGTACAGTAGAAATTTGGGGATATTTATTAACTTTTTAAGCAAGTTAAAGTGTATCACTATTTTCATTAGCTTCATTTGGCTGCAGCAGTAAATGTCTATCTTAGTAACTTCTTACTGTGATATACAGACACACAATAATTACCACAATAATTTCATGATTATCATCATTGCTTTTAACTCACTTATCATTTAATACTATTGTATTTTAAGACTACATCGCAATAATATTCAAACGATTTTTGTAATAAAGGAAAGGAAAAGTAAATTTTCATACTTAGGACCAAACCTGGAGTAATATAGAAGATACAAAATTATTCATAACCAAGATATGGTATTTGTTAAATATTTCAAACTGGATGTCAGATGTGTTTGCTGTCACTAATAGCATATGTCTCTAGTATAGCAATGTTCTTTCTTCCGCAAAAGAAGTCACCTTTCTGTGATGTGGTAAATGTTGTTTGTTATATCGAATTAAAGGATACAGATTTCAAGCTGTGTGTAGGTGATACATGAATATTTCACTCCTGCTGACAATCACATTGACTACTGTGTAATTCTTTAAATTGATTCAATCAAACCCTGCTGTTTATGCTTTTAATTGATTGAATTAAAATAACATTTTCAACTTTTAATCATTCCATTAGACAGGGCTCCCTTTGCTTGTTCATGCCCAGGCCAATGCAGATGGGTTGTTGCTTTGTAACTTGTGAAATCCTATCAAACTCTAGGGGGCACTTCAACTTATTTGGCAACAAATATAGGCTTCAGTATCATCACGAGTCAAAAGGACACTACTGCTGGTGTATATTTCAACTGTGCAGAAGGAGATGAATGGAGTGTTCACTTTCCCTGACTCTTCCCAATGTACAGATCATCTGATGTCACAGTCCCCTGAAGTAGGGAGCTTCCTACTGGAGTCACAGATAGAAATTACTATTGATCAAACACTGCCACAAGAGACATGTGATCCAACTTAGAGACAATGCAAACATACACAGGATACTTTGGCTGGAACTAGATCTTTAGGTTCTTATTTCAAAGCATGGCAAGGGATATGGATCATAAAGGCCGAAAACACGTAAGTGCATTATCTATAGAGAATTCCTGAACCAGAGTCAAAGTCTCTAAAGGTTTTCCTGCTTTTCATCATCACCATGTACCAGCAATTCTAAATAACATCAGTGATCTGAGTTTTAAACATTGCTTTGGTTATTGTGAACGTTAATATATATATGTAAACATTGAATTAGCCTGTTTAATTACTTACTCTAATCAACATTGCGCCATCCATGGACATTAATTCAGGAAAACTTCAGTTATAGAGTTGGCTCCTGACACACTTGGACCCAGTTACATACATTTATTTGAAAACTAAGTAACAACTTGTAATGCTTCATGCGTGCTTCCAGTACAACTCTTGTCTCTGGTCCCTGTGCTATCCCAAATTCTGTGTTTAAACAGTAAATTCAAAATAAATAGTGATATCACAGTGAATGTTATGATGAAGAAACAGAAGATTATGTCCTTCACTTCTGTTGTTCTATGTGACCATTTGGAGTTTTTATTTGTGTTTCAATTTTAACGCAGAAATGGAGTACAAAATGTGAGGTATAGTATTTTTGTTTGACAGTCAGATTGTAGTTCTTCTATGAATTATTTTATAAAATTTGAATAACATCATTAAATTGGGATTTATATTCTAAAATTATTGTTTACATTAATAAATGAATCAAGAAAATTGTTATTGCTCTTGATTAGTATATTAGAGAAAATAACTTTATTATTTGAAAGAAAGGGATTTTAAAAATGATCTCTGGGTGTCAAATATACAACACACTGTATTGTCTCAAGGCTATGAATGAAATTAAAAAGGTGTGGAGAGAAACACCACTTTATAATGGAATCTTAGTGTTAGTTAAATGCAATTTTTATTTTTAATTTTTTTTATTTTTAGTTGGAGTCTTGCTCTGTCACCCAGGCTGGAGTGCAGTGGTGCGATCTCGGCTCACTACAAGCTCCACCTCCCGGGTTCACGTGCAAATTTTTCATTTTAATCACTATATAATATTTTATACAAAGGTAGAATCTAGATGAATTAAAGATAAGGTGAAAGATAAAATGCTTATTTAATAGAAGAAATGTTACAGAATATCTTTGTGATCTAGGGGTGAAAATATTTTTTAAATTCTCAAATACCATAAAGCAAAAAATGATTAAAGTCTATCTCATAAAATTAAGCATTTTTGCAAAATGAAGAAAATAATGGTCAGAGGTAATAGGTAGATTAAAGAACAAGAAAAAATATTTGCAATGTTTGAAGCCAAGAAAGAGTTAATATCTAAAATCTTTAGTTTATTCCTTCAAATAAAAGGTAAAAATACATCAGCCTCAATGGACAAATAGAAAAGGTTAAGAATAGGCTATTTACAAAAGAGGAAATAAGAAAATCTTAAAAATATTTTAAGAGATAGTCCAAATCAGGCAACTCTTTTCAGATAGGAGTGCAATATTGGAATTAAGATATGATATTATGTATCTATTACATATATTATATTATATATATAAAAAAGTGTGTATACACATAACCATTTTACAATAATGCATACAAATGAAAGACTCATATTAAACAGAAAAACCATTGCCTTTAAGAAGGTGGAGAATGAGAATGGAATATTTTGTATAGCTTATTCAGATAGTGCTTATAATATGCTAGACTATAGATTTTGGTTTAGCTTATCAAGACAGATAAATTAAACTTATACATCTATTTATATAATTTTCATGTAACTCTCAGGTTAAATAACAATTAAAATTACTCAATGTTGCAAGTTTATCACCATATAATACCAAAATTTTTCTCCCACATAAGCATTAAGTAATTGGTGGTGGGATAAGTAGAGAGATTAAGAGACGGCAGAAATTCCACATCTCTGTAACCTTGACCAGGAGATCTTGAATACAAATTACTGAGGGGGACATGCAGAGAGAAACGATCTAGAAATGATCCTTCGTTTATTAGTTTTTAGCAAAATGTCTTAAATTGACTTTTTTTTTTCTCTAATGTCTAAATTTTCTTCAACGTAAGTATGAAGTTAGTGGTGGTTACAGTAGAAGCACAAACCCTGAACAACAGAGTTCTTTGAAAACATACATTTGGGAAATCCCATTAAATCTCTAATATAAATGGATATTTACATTGCATGTAATTGTATTAAAATCTTAATTGTCCTTAGATACTGGAATGTGTTAAGGCCTGTTTAACATTGCATTTCTTTTGTTTTGGTTTGGTTTTGGTTTTGGTTTGAGATGGAGTCTCGCTCTATCACCCAAGGTAGAATGTAGTGGTGAGATCTCAGCTCGGCTCACTGCAACCTCTGACTCCTGGGTTCACACGATTCTCCTGGCTCAGCCTCCTGAGTAGCTGTGACCACAGGCACCCACCAACACACCCAGCTAATTTTTGTATTTTTAGTAGAGATGGGGTTTCACCATGTTGGCCAGGTCTTGAAGTCCTGACCTTAGTGATCTGCCAGCCTGGGCCTCCCAAAGTGCTGGGATTACAGGTGTGAGCCACCAAGCCCAGCTAACATTGTGTTTCTTAAATATTGGTTCATAAAACAATACCTTCCCTTTTTATCTAATTTCATTTTACTTGAAAATTGCATCAATATTCTGAGGAACAAGTGTTTAAGAAAGCACTAATCTAAGTCTTTGAACTCAGTGCTATCCCATCTCAATGAATGGAGCTAGATTAACTCAGTTGCAAAGATTGCACTTACCTCTCTCAACAAAGAGGCTTCTTGACTCCTGTCACCTCAGCGACAATATACTGATAATATTTTAAATTATTATATTTATTTGTTTTCTTTTCTCATGTCCCTGTCAGTGACTGTTCCCCTTGTCAGATGAGGGCATCTGCATTACATCATGAAGAATGAGGATATTACTACAATAGCCTCTTGAATCCCTCTCCAGACACAGAATTGTTTAAAGCCAAAATATTTGCTTTGTATTAAACTTTGAGTGAAAATAAAAGGCTCAAAAAAAAAAAAAAAAAGGCAAAGCCCTCAATGAAGTAGAGAATGGAGTTCATGTCACAAAAAACTACTGCAATCATTGCAATCATATAGAGAAAGATCCAGATTATCTCATCCCCAGAGAAGACTAGAGAGGATGACTTTACCTGGGAAAATAGAGGAAAAGAGTTTAATAGAGCAGTTTTTGGAACCCAAAATTAGTTCACTGGGACCTGACATGAGAAATTTAGTCTTAGGGAACCATATTCAGTCGCCTGGACACAGCGCTGTGCTGTGGACTGTGCCTGTTGCAGTTGATGTTACTACTAGGAATCAGGAAAGGGACCCAGTCAATGCCTCAGGCCATCTGTAGCCTTCTGTGTATACAACGAATACTGCTTGTCCCCTTTTGATGTCATTATCCAGTGGTTTTCTAACAAGAGGGATGTCTATGTCCTATGACTTTGCTGAGGCACAGTCCAGTGTCTACACGGGAACTTCTGTTTACAATACTTAAATCGTATCTCCCTGCAAAAAAGAGGAGGCTATGGAAGAAAGGGAATCTGCTTCTGTGTGAAAAGCGCCCTTCTTAGTCACTCTGTTACACTTACAGTGTATATACAAATACACATCTTCGGAGAGGGCATTATGGGAAAATCCCTCTCCCTAATGCCAAGAAGATTTACACTGATTTATCTACTTCATGTTCTTTTTCTCCCAGAAATTACCCTGTTCCTCATGGTCCTATGAGGGATGAAGGAGACCCAAGATTGAAAAGCATAGAGCTTTAGCAGATAAGGCCAGTGAAATGCTAGCTAAAGAAGATATCAAAAGTCCAGAGACAAAGAAATGACAATTAACTTTTTTTTACCTCTTCCTTTTAAGTTTTCATTTTAAGTATTGAAATTATACCTTTAGTCCTGGACTTCACTTATTAAAGTGATGTAATGAGTCAGAAGTAAGGAATGGGACTAAGATTTCCCTAGAGAGAATACAGTGTGCAACTAACTAACACTGTATTGTTTCAAGACTAGAAATAAAAACCTAGAGAAGACCTAAAATATTTTACTTAAGGCCAAACTGGAAAAAAGAAAAAAAGAAGAGAAGAAATATAAAAGAAATTTCAGAAAAGCAAAGAATGAAATTGCTATTACTAGAGATAAATCTAGCTTTTAAAAAACCAAGATCTAACTGTGAACCATTTTGAGCTTCTGAAAGATACTTTACTATATCTATTGTTGCTGATGTTTCCAAAGCATCCTTTCAGTTTCAGATAGATATCAAAGATAATGGTTGCAAAGTCTGTGAGGAAATAATGCAATCAACACTATCCACACGTTTGCTGATGTCTATCTACTGACGGAAGAAAAAAAACTACTGAAGACAGCTTGGTACATCTGAAATTTTTATTTTTGAGATATAAAAATAAAACTTGTAGAAAGAGGGCAACAATATTTTACAAATCTTAAGTCAGGAAGGAGAAAAAAAATACTGGGCACCCATAGTTGGTTTTAAAATAGTAGTTGCTATGACTACTTAAATCATCACTTAAGGTGGTATCCTTTTCTCTCATGAATTTTTAAGAAGTTCAGTTGCCCTAACAACAGTACCTACACTGTTGGCAACTTTAATGAATTTGTTTTTGTTTACAAGGACTTTCTATGTGTTCTTGCAACCATGAGTAAAATTATATAAAATATATGGATAAAAAGGGATTTGAAATAGTGTCTATGTTTTAGATCAAACAGCAAACTTATGATGGGCACGTTAATTTCCATTTTCCTGTAGAAAAACAAATGGATTTTTTAAAAAATTGGAGCGTCTGAAAGACACATCAAAGAGTTATTGAATGTTATTTGATATACAAACAATAAAATAATTTTTGCATTGGAATTCTTATATTTTTACTTATGTTTCGTTTAAATTTCAGATCAATAGTATGACACAGGTTTTTAAAAGCAACACACATTTTTAATAACTTCACATACCTTATGCATTTTATTCTATTGTCTAGTGTAGACTTTATACTATCAACCAAGAAAAAATATTTCTTATTAAATATGGTGCTAGAAGATTTTATTACTCATTAAAATAAACACTTTTATATGTAATCCCTGAATACATAAGCATGTGTGTCTATATCTACTGATATATCTATATATCTGTTCATAAATAGTTATTAATTAGTCCCACAAAAGAACAATAAGAAACCTACAGTTTTAACTATAAATTGATATGATTGTTTAAGAGAACAATTTATCAATATGCATAATAATGATTTCAAAAGCAATTATACTATTAGGAGTTAGTTGCCCTTTTGGAAAATATTTATCATGGTGTTATTTATGCACAGGAAACCTCTGAAAATAAATTAATTGCAAATCATTTGAGGATTGGTGAAATAAATTACATATATCTGTATTATAGGATATTACATAATAAAGCCTTTATTTTTACTATTGATATTTCATTATTAATGAAAATATATCAATTATATATCGTTTAATGAAAAAAGCAAGTTAATTTAAAAGTGTTCAGAGTACGTTCACATTTATATTTTAAAAGGGACTGTGTGGGTACATTCATGGACTTTTTTTGGATTAAAAATGCAAATAGTTCAGTAATTTAGTTTTAGATGGTGGGGATACGGATTTAAATTTATATTACATTTAAATTTAATAATAATTTCTATATTTTTATAGAATATAATTTCTATATTATAGAAATAATAATTTAGAATAATATTATTAATAATAATAATAAAATAATAAAATAACAATATAGAATAATAATTTCTATATTATTCTCACTGAGAAAATTTTATCTTATAGTCAGAATAAAGGTAAATTATTTGTTTTTAAAAACATACCCAGATATTCTAATTGCTAAAACTTTTGCTTGGCAAATTTATATAAATTATAATGTTTTGTTCACAATATTTATAATTCAAAAAAGAAAAGCAAACAATTACAAATTTCATATATCATGAAATTATCAAAATTTATGTCATAAACCTGTTTATCATAAATATTAAGGCAAATAATAAAAAATAAATATATCATTTGGTTAGAAGGATTTATTAGAGTGATTTTTAAAAAAATAGCCATAAACTTCAATTTAATAGGACAACAAAAAATACCATCAACAGAACAGCAATATCACTATAAACTGCTCTATGAGAGAGGATCAGAAAGCATTTTTATGAATTCAGTGTGAACTCCTTTGAGATGGTTGTTTTATTTTTTTCCTGTTGGTGTTTGTTCGTAACTCACTTTATTTTGCATTGAGTATTTGCAATTAGAAAACAAATATTAACTCCCTTGGGGTATTATAGATGGGGACATGTAGGCTTATACGTTATCAAACAAAACACAGTTTTTAACCCATCTTTTTCTTCCAATGACTTCTAATTCTCTCAAAGTCAAGAATCTCTTCAGTTACTTCTTTGTCACTCCAAATCTAATACAATGCTAGATATACAGTAAATAATCTCTATCTGCTCTGAGTAATATGTTAGTGAATAGATATGTATACGAATAAATATTTGTTAAATGTCAAAACTTTGAAGCTTGAAACATTGTGACAGAGATGGAGATGAGGATATTTATAGTTTAGAGAAGCTTTTATCTTTTAATAATTAAATCAAATTTGCTTCTTGAAATCATCCCTTTGTTATCTGCATCAAGGGCATTCTTTTCCATTGTTCACCATCCTTTCTGGAACATAACCAATAATGAAAACTGGAAATGACTTGGAAAAGAATCAAAGGAATGGCATGAAATTAATTAAATACCCTTATAATGGGAATTGGAGAAAAGATAGAAGTAAGAGGAATTAGAGACTTTGAAAAAGAGAAGGCTGTAGGGTAGTTAATTAATGGTCTTTATGGGTTCAGACGCTAGAATTAGGAAAATAGTTCTTTGTGCTGAGTAGAAAATAGTGTTAGTAGTGTTAATTAAAGTGGCATTTTGAAAGGTATGAAAGTGTTAGCATTTATAAATAAAAGATGGTGGTGAACTTGAGGATTAATAAAACAAAGATATTCAAAGAAATTATTAGTATCTACTTTGTTTTTCCCTCTTTCCACTTTGTGTTTCAGAATTTTCACAAACAACTGCCAAGTATTGGTTTCTGTGTTGGGGATTTTAAAAAAAAGGTGTCTGGATTTGACATCTCTGTATACCCAGGATTGTGTTATCTAACAAAGGAAGTCAGAAATGGATTTTTAATGTGATAATTCAGTGATTAATTCATAAAACATTATTTTGGTGTAACAAAGTAAATGATAATAGCTACTAGTAATTGAGTTATTTAAATATATTTAATTGACATATAAAGATTGTATATATTCAAGGGGTAAAATGTGATGATTCGATATACATATACAATGTGTAATGATATACATATACATTGTATAATGATTATCACAATCAAATTAATTAACACCTCCATTACTACATATGCTGTATGTTAAATACATAGAACTTGTTCATTTTATACACTGAAAGTATGTGCCCTCTGATCAAAATTCCCCTCTCTCCCCGCCCCTACCCTCTGGCAACTACCCTTCTACTCTGTTTCTATGAGTTCAACTATTTTGTATTTCACATATAAGTGAGAGATTATACAATATTTGTCTTTCTGTGTCTGGCTTATTTCGCTTAGCATAATGTCCTTCAGGTTCACCCATTTTGTCACAAACGGCAGGAATTTTTTTTATTTTTCAAAGCTGAATATTGTTTCATTGTACATGTATTCTACACTTAGGACATTTAGGTTTTATTCATATCTTGGTTATTGTGGATAATACTGCACTGACCATGTGGGTGCAGATATCTACATCTATATTCCTTTGGATATATGCCCAGAAGTGGGATCGCTGGATCATATGATAGTTCTATTTCTATTTTTTGAGGAACCTCTATATGATTTTTCATAATGGCTGTACTAATTTATATTCCCCAAAATAGTGTTTAAGTGTTTCCTTTACCTCTATATGATTTTTCATAACGTCTGTACTAATTTATATTCCCCAAAATAGTGTTTACATGTTTCCTTTTCTCTACACCCTCATCAACACCTGTTATCTTTCATCTTTTTGATAATAGTCATCCTAATAGGTGTGAGGTGACACCTTATTGCAGTTTTGATTTGCATTTTCCGAATCATTAGTGATATTGAGCACATTTTCATATGCCTGATGTTCATTTGTATGTCTTCTTTTGAGAAATGTCTATTTGGATCCTTTGCCCATGTTTTGTCTTCCTTTGTTTTGATATTGAGTTGTGTGAGTTCCTTATATATTTTAAATATTAACCTGTTATCAAATATATTATTTACAAATATTTTCTCTCATTCTATAGGTTACTGTTTTATTTTGTTGATTGTTTTCTTTGCTGATCATTGAGTTCTTATTGCCTGGCACCTTAAAGTCAGTACCGATTTTTCTATTTCTTAGTTTTGTAACCTTGGCTAAATTATTTAACTAATCTGTGTCTAGGTTTCTGCAACTGTAAAATGTAAAATGAGAATCATAATTTTATCTATTCCCAGGGCAACACGTACAAAATCCTTAGAATGTTGCTTGGCACAAGTCAGCAGTCTGTATTTGTTAGTGATTTTTATTACTATGTTTCAGGCTTCATCCTAAGTACATTACATATTTAATCTCATGTACTTTAATCTACTCATTTTACAGATGAGGGAATCAAAGCTGAAGCTAGTTAAGTGATTTGGGCAAAGTCACACCATCATTAGAATAGAGGTAGAATCTAAATTCAGATCATAGACTGCCTGATTTCAAATGTGAGCATTTTGGGTTTTGTGACTATACTGTTGAAAAACAATAAGCCCTCACCATTTTCTTTTGAACTCAGTAATGTTCTGATCAATAGAACAAAATGTTTTTTACTGTATTCTAAGATTAAATAATAAATTCACTATATACAATGTTCTGAATTACTCTAAAAGAAGCAAGGAATTAATACTGGGGTGTAACACCCCAGTAAATATTAAATTCCTTCACGCGATATCTATAGTTTAAGGCTTTACTTGATAAGCATTTCTTTCTTTTAGAGGTTTTAGAAAACTGAATTTTTAAAAGAATGCTATTTCCTGAAATGATTTCACCTGATTTCCTAGGGAAACACACTAACTCACATATATCCTGTCAATTTGAAAATCAGCTTGCCACTTGATCACAATAACCTCGATATCTAATTTCTCAAATAATTGACCAAGTTAAACCTCTGACATGCCGTTGATTGTCACTTAACCAACGAGGTGTAGCAGATCAAAGTTATATCATTAGACATGGCATATTAATTAAATTTTGTTCTGTAGTTTAATTGAAAAAATTCTGTAGTTTAACTGAGAAAAAAATGTTTCCTTAGCTGCTAGTGTTTTGAAGAGGAAAAATGATAAAGAACAGATATTGAGGAGGCCTTTCCATTTAAAACCTTTTGTTACTGTAAAGTATATATCATTTTGGTTCAATTTGAAAACTAAAATCTGTAAACCAAAATTTCTCTGAGATTAGCTAAATGTAACCCAATCAAAGACACATTACTGGAATTATTTCTAGAGTCAATTGTTTAAGACTCTAATCTGGGCATATGAAGAGATATTCAACTTTGTATTCTTTGTCATGTGTCATCTTCTGTTACTCCTGTTAATTTAAGTTAGGCACGCAACTTTATGATGAATATGATCAATCAATGTGATTGAACTACATACACATTTGGGTCCTGCAGACCACTTCAGTGACATGATTTATACAAGTAATATATGTAAACAATATGATCGTGTTTAAATTAAAGGTTATCCACAGACACAGTTTGGGAAGGTATTGTTGTGTATGTTTTTCTTTTTGTTTGTTTTTTAGCCTAAATTGTTCCTTGATAACAATGTATGCACTTTAAACAGTGGCACCAGGAACTCAGAATATAATATTTATTTATTGACTGACAGAATGACTGACAGAAGGATTTCTCCTTCACTCTACCCACCATAACTAACACTTGGCCTGTACACAAATACATTTTATTTTGTATCTTGGTTTTTTTCTCCAATTAATTACCTGTCATAGGAATTATCCACTAATAACATATAGAACTATACCTAATTATTTTTAAATTCTAACAGTTTTTCCTATTTGAATATAACATTTTAATTCAAACCATCATTTATCAATGACTACTTCCAAATTTTTTGGTTATTGCAAATACTGTGGTAACAAAACCTTGGTTCATATATCATTATTGAAGAATGCCAGCACTTTTGCTCAGAACTATTTTGCACAATTTTTTTTGACCAGACTTTTACTCCCTTAGCATGTTTGCAATTCAAATGAGCTGATTTTGGTGTAGCTTGCTTCTTTCCACCTCAGAGTCTATGAAGGAGAAATCTGAAGTAGAAACATAGGCAGGAGGCCGGGCGCGGTGGCTCACGCCTGTAATCCCAGCACTTTGGGAGGCCGAGGCGGGCGGATCACGAGGTCAGGAGATCGAGACCATCCCGGCTAAAACGGTGAAACCCCGTCTCTACTAAAAATACAAAAAATTAGCCGGGCGTAGTGGCGGGCGCCTGTAGTCCCAGCTACTTGGGAGGCTGAGGCAGGAGAATGGCGTGAACCCGGGAGGAGGAGCTTGCAGTGAGCCGAGATCCCGCCACTGCACTCCAGCCTGGGCGACAGAGCGAGACTCCGTCTCAAAAAAAAAAAAAAAAAAAAAAAAAAGAAACATAGGCAGGAAAAATATGACTATAAGCACATACTTTAAAGAATGGTGTGTATTGCTGAAGGCTTATTACAAAGAAGGCCACTTTATTATTTTACTTATATCTCCTCCATGTTAGTACATTTGTCTATGATATAAAGCACAATGAGGTGTACATGAAAATGCTCAAGTAACATTTTTTAAAGAATAAAGACCATAGAATACATAAATGCATGAACTACCTGAGTTATGGCAAGCACATTAATATCCTGAGAAACAATTGTTGCTCTCCAGTGGCTCTAGCATGGCATGATTAAAAACCACATGAATATGTACTTCAAATCAAAACTTAAAATCCTCTGGGTTTCTGTTTTTATACAAAAATAAAATGAGATTATGATCCTAGTGCCAACAACTGAATCTGACAGATTAGACACTTGATAAATATTTGTTTTTTAATGAATTTATATAACTAAATAAGATGATTTATTGAGTCAGGAATCCCCAAATCAGATACTTATAAACTATTAGCTGTTACTACATGTGACGGTTAATGTAATGTGTCAATGTGACTGGGCAAAGAAATACTCCTATAGCTGGCAAAACATTATGTCTAAATATATGTGTGAGGCTGTTTCTGGAAGAGGTTAGCTTTTGAATCTGTAGACTGTAAAGCAGATCGCTCTCACCAATGTAGACAGGCATCATTCAACCTGTTAATGGGCTGAATAGAACAAAACATAGAGGAAGGGTAAATTTTCTCTCTGCTTGATCTGGCACCATCTTCTCCTGCCCTTGGACATTGGTGGTCCTGGCTCTTGTACTTTTGGACTTGGGCTGGGACTTACACTGTTGGCTTCCTTGATTGTTCAGGCTTTGGGCTTGGACTGGAATTATACCACCAGCATTCTTGAGCCTCCACCTTGCAGATGGCAGGTTGTGGGACTTCCCAGCCTCCGTAATATTGTGGGCCAATCCCTTATAAGAAATCTCTTTCTATATATCTATCTATATCCCATTGGTTCTACCTCCCTGGAGAACATTGACTAATTATCATAAATTAGCTATTTTCAGTAGTGTAATAATAGTAGTAGAAGCAGTAATTTGTGCCCATCAACTATTTATCTATAATAATAATAATAGAGATGTGATTTAGGATTCACAATTATTAAGCTTTTTATTCGAAAAAATATTAGTTGATATGTAGCATTTTAAAAAATCTTCTATATACTTTGCACTATGCCATAAACAATAGATAAGTGTACAAAGTAAAACACGGTTTTTGCCTCAAACTTTTATTCTTACTGTTTTATTGCTATAGTACTTTCACTCCCTCAGTTATATGACTTCTTGAGAACCCTGTAGCCCACTTGTCTACATTTGCTTCCATATGCCACTTAGATTCCATGATTCATTATTATTTATTCTTTTCCTAATAGTATTCCCTCACTATCCTCTTTCTTCCTATATCACATACACTTGGAAGAACTTAACTCATTTAAAATAAGAGTCTTCTTCTCCATTCCTGAAAGGAAGCGCTAGAAAACTGTTGGAGAAAGTCACACAACTGAGGCTGATGGACTGTACTGAAAATTAGTGAAAATCAACTGCAAATGGAATCTTCTGCCTAGAAAATACACTGTCTTTTATCTGCTAACTTTCCCACTAACCCCAATCTTAAATCTTCACTCTCTTTCTCCTTACATGTGGTTCTGTGTCACACGTACTGACAAATTAGAAGACAAATTCCAGAATTGGAAATTCTCCATCTTTCCATCACCAAATCTATGGTCCAGATTTCATCTGTATCCAACTTTTTCCTCCTTCTTCATCCCACAATATTCTTCTTCCTGTGAAAGACCAATGCCTTTATTTGAGCTTTAAAGTCTTGTTAGTACTTAAAGTGGGTTCAAGAACCAACAATAATGACATGACCTAAGAGATAATTCCATTTGGATTGGAAAGCTGGTTCATACCATTCTTACATGAACATAATTAGTATACTGTGAGCTGCTACTGACTGCCTTGGGGATTTTGCAGAATAAAGACTCAGGACCAAAGTCCTTGAAGTTGCCAGACTTTTAGAATAAATAACAATTGAAAAGAAATTGAACAGAAGAAAGCACTCAACTAGTGGCTTATGGCCTGGTTTCTTTATATTTTAAATTAAATAATTGTATTTGATAATTTCTGATATCACAACTTTTATATTTTTCTGATCTGGAGCCCTAACACCACCTAAGACAGTGTCTTTGGCATAGTGAGCTTTATGCAGTTGCAATTGAAACTATAAGAAAAAACTTCAATGGAAAATAATCTTTGAGTTGTACCTTTAGATACAGAGAAAAGAGTGTTATTAGGGCGAACTATTCTCTTTCTCCACTGATGTCTTTCACCTGATGAAGAGAGAATAAAACATTTTTCAACATTTGACCCACCTATATTTTTATAGTTCATAAAGGAAAAAGTAATGATTTTTTTCTAATTGTTGGAAAACTGACACATTCTTGGCTGTCTTTCTCTACTCAGCTTTGTTTATAAGGGAAAGGTCAGTATTCACGCATTGACAAGCTGTATTGACTTTAACCCTCTACCGCTTTACCCCTGTTTTCTGCTAGACCTGCCTGAGCCCAAGCACTATGAATGCTTGCAAATTCTGTAAAAAGCCCATGAGACAGGTATTATTTCAGCAGGAGAAACTTTCCTGCTTTACCTGGGTACGTAAAATAAGATTGTCTCTTGGATTCCTGGCTGTATTCAGTATAGTGCAAGAGATAAGGGGCTAAGCAGTGTTCTTCCATCCAAACATTTTCAGGGAAGTCTAAATATTGGCTACTAATCGGATGCTATTAATCAGGCTGATATTTTGATTATGTGGCTCTGTATTTGAATTTTACAACTGTTAGATCCTTGAAGAGAAGACATCCAAAGCTTTTAACTTTTTTTTTTTAACGTCTGAGGCCTCAATTTGGAATCATAGCTATGAGAAATATTCACTATATTTCCACAAATGGGGCCACTGGGAAAAGTCAAGTTGCTGTAGTGAATTTTCTTTCTAACTTAAAAATATAGAGATTTCTTCTCTTTTGATTAGAGAAAAGGACTATCAGGAGGACATTGCTTGAAAGACTATTTTCCCTCACTTTCTTCTACTGTATTGTCTCTTCTCTGAAGTCGTATAACAAGGAAAGCTCTATGATCACTTATGGCATCAGAATGGAAAGATAACATTATGTAACCAATATCTATTTTCAAGCCACATCTCTGTACTCTGATTTCATTTGCTTCACTGATAAGTTTTAACATTAAATATGCTTCTAAAATGCAGTAGAAGTAAATTAAATGCCAGGAATAAAAATGTGTTAAAGAAACAAAGATAAAATCCTAGACTAGGGAGTTTTTATTGTACAGCATGAGTTCTGATGACCTGGAAAGAATATTTAATACGAAGAATATTATTAAGGAAATATCTATAGGCAAATGCAAAATGTTCAGTTAAGACAGGATTATCAATGAAAAACCATATCCCTTATGTTTATATACAACAAAGAGCTCCCTCTTTAATGACAGAAAAATTACAAGGATCCTTTGTAATGGGTACAATAAGAAAAATGAATGTCATTAAGTATGCATGTAATTTTGAAGTGACAAAGTTATAGGGACCTAGCCAAGTCTAAATAATAGCAAGCCTCCCAGTATGTCCACATCCAGTTATGTTATCAGTAAGACTGACTCGTTCGACATGAACCTCGTGCAGCAGAGAGAAAATATGCTTAAATGAGAAAGTGAAGGTCAATAAAGTAAATCGAAATAATGTTTATTCAATATCATTGTGTTGAGGATAATCCCAGAAACGTACACTTTAACGTATGTGTATATGAAGAGCTTCCACAGAATAAATAATGTAAATACCCAGAAACAGCTTCAATGATTAGCTGTGACCCAATGCCTTTAATAAACAAACCATCTAATTTCAAATATTTAACAACTGGTGAAGGCCTTGTAGTCCAACAGACATTTGAGCTGTGCAGGATGACAGTATTTAAAGCGAGCAAGGGAATTGCTATAATAAAGCTTCATCATTTGGCATACAGTAAAAGTAAACATGAAGAGACTTCATTAGAAATTCTACACTCCCAATCTGTGCACAGCAGAGAGCAAAAACCCAATCTAGGAATCGACAACTTGTTCCTACTGTGGATTAAAAAGGGAAACCTAAACAAACATTAATGAAAGCACTAACAATAGCAGAAAAAAATAATGTGGCGAGTTGCATAGAAATAAACATTGGGAAAAGACCCCACACAATGTCGCAGAAGTTTCGTAAGCTAACACTACAAGCAAAAATTATGTGAACATCAGCAAAATCATATGGTTTGTATGCTGGTTGCACATAAGGTTGCAAATGAAATAGATCCTATACATCTATGCTATCTTGTATGTATATCCGTGATCATTTTCAGGAAGATCCTACCAACTTTGGGATATTGAAGAGTTTGACAAGAAACATAGGCTGAGGCAAATAGGAACTGAAATTTTTAAGGAGACATCACAATGAAAGGAAGACTAAAGCTGACAGACACCAAAACAATCACCCACAGGTTTGTGCTCCCAGCTTGCAGACATTATTTCTTGGCTTGGCTGTGTGGCATGACAGCAGAAACAAGCTTTCCCACATTGGACTGTCTGGATATTACGGCGTAGTTTTTCTCAACGATAGTAGTCTTAAGCATGGGCTTTGAGTTTTTGGAAGGATAACTGCTAGTGTGTGAGGAAAATGAAGTTTCAACAAGAAATAAATCAGTTCATCAAGGTATTATTCAACCGAAGACATTTACTCTCCAAGTGGAATGTGCATTAGTTATTTTGTGCACAGCATTTATTCTTATGTCTCCCCATCCACCTCATTTTTTTGACCTTCTTTCAATTCTCAACCTTTTAGGAGGAAGTTACTTATCTGCCAGTGTATGTGATATTGATCAGGCTGTGAATCAGACATCTCCCATGAACCCTCCTTAATCAAGGTTTGAAAACCCACTATAATCTTGTATGCAGAATTTTAGTCCCGACCATAGCTCTCCTGATTTAAAATCTACATTTTAACAAGATTCCTAGGTGATTCACAGGCACATTACCATTGACACTGGTCTAGAGTACACCAATATGTTATATTTCTTAAATTATATAACAAATGCGGTGAAGTTCAGGCTGATATTCTCATAATCTTTAAAGAGGTGTGGATTTTCTTTGACTTTAGTCTCTGTCATCAATCTGTCTATCTGGCCCCCTATCCACGTGTGTGTGTGTGTGTGTGTGTGTGTGTGTGTGTGTGTGTGTGTGTGTTATATATATATATATAGTGACCATCCTTCAAAAGCAGTATGGAACCCTACTGAAAACTGGCTTAGATTTTGAGACTGACAACGCCCCCCACCACACACACCTGGAGGGTATGAAAAGTTTTATGAGTCACATAATGAAACTTTCTAGGGAAAGCGGGGGAGTTCCCAGATAGATCTGAAAATAGCTTGAGAGAGCAGGTTTGGGGTTTTCACTGTGGTCGGGGGATGGGCTGGAGTGAGGGACCCCATGCAACAGAAGGAGCTTTTGTGCTTTGAGCCTCCCACTGGCGCCAAAGGAGGGCATACCAGGGCTTTCTCTTATCAGCTTTCCTAAATGTGGGGCAGAAGGGGAAAAGGGAAGGGTGAGGCTTAAAAGCTATCGACAAACAAATGTCAAAAGATGGAGTTACTCTTTATTACAATTTACTTTTCATGTTTGGCGACCTAAGTGTGCCATTTTTTTTTTTCATTTAATTGAATTTGAAGTTAAGTAAGCGATTGTGGTGCTTTATAAGGGAAGCAGCCTGAGGTGAGTAAGAGAAGTGCAAGTTCTGCTGAATACCTTGAGAGAGGGCCCAGTATTGTGTATTCTGAGAAGTGAAATAAATGGTTGCTTTGGTTACTATCAGTGATATCTAGTACTATGAATCAGATAAGGAACGTCTTGATGAAGGCTTATACTGAAGCTTTAGCAGGCCAAGACACATGAACTGAGGCCACTTTAAGGAGGGCCCTATTCTCATATTCTTGTCCCTAAATGCCAACTATTAAAACACAGGTCAGTGATATCTATAAGCAATGCTTAGTAGAATTTAGCAAATGCAGCTCTAAGCTGCACTGTTCAAAGTACAAGCTAACCTGCACACAGCAGGGTCAGTTAGCAAACAAAAGCAAGAAAAGAAAGATTTCTTCTTGGGTGGCGATTATCTTTCAGAGATCCTGCTCACAGTACCAACTGTTGGGGTTACCCTGCAGAGCAGGGTGGACTCCCACCCCAAATTTGACTTAAATGTCAGGACTGATGCTGACACACTCAAACTCCAATAAGGTATGAAAAGATTGATTACTCCTGTAATGAGACTTTCTGGGAAGAGCAGGGAAGCTAGCAAGTAGGTATGAAAATGGCTTGACAGAGCACACACAAAAAAGACATTGCTTGGCATTTTTTATTAGGGTTAAGTGGGGCAGAGGTGAAAGTTCTCACATGTGGGAAGGGGCCTGTGTGATTTGGACCTAACAAACGAGGGATCACCTGGCTTTTCTTATTAGTTTGCCTGGATGTGAGACAGAAGGGAAGAGAGGTGGGACTTAAAAGTTGTCACTAGTAGAAAGTAAAAAAATAGAGCCATGCTCTCTATTACTCTCTCTATTATCTATCTGTTTATCTATCTATCTATCTATCTATCTATCTATCTATCTATCATCTATGTCTCTATCTTTATCATCATCATCATCATCTAATTTATTTATTTTACTAGCTCAGTTTCCATTTTAAAATTGTGTAGGTGGAAACCATAATAAATAACCTTGAAAGATATTTTTATTCGTGAAAGAATCATTTAATTGAATCCTTCTCATCATGTATTTATAAGTAGTCACCCATTTTACTGAAAAAATAGAGTAACACATTTATTGTTGGTGGCCTACTGAAGAATTCCATTTCTAGTAAGACTTGAAATATGAGCTTTCCCTCAGAGGAATCTATGGGACATTTGGAGCCAAAAAGTTTCCTGGGAGCAAATTCAATTTAAACTGATGACCTATTTCTCTTTGAGCTTTAGTGTGATCAGAACCATCCTGATAGTTTGAAATAGTTCTGAATAAAGGCTGTGGCCATGGAAGAATGCGTGCTTCTGAATAATTTCTGAACATATAACTGTAAGCTAAAGAGTACATAGGAAGTTCTTTTGACTGAGTGAGATAATTCTCACAAATTATAATAATAGGTGATTGTACTATCACCAGTGATTAAATAGTTGTAACCGATGGAAGGATTGAAAGTGACAACAGCTGAGAATACCAGGATGAAACCTCTTTGCCTCTCTTCACTATATTCAAAGAGTGTATTACTATTCCAGAAGTAGGCTCATCATTCCAAGAAATAGAAATTATCTGCTTGCAACTTGGAAACCAAGTGAGTGGCAGAAAAAGTGCAGTAGAATGAAAGCCACCTAGTGAAGTTAGCGGATCCTTCATTTTTTTAAATTTTATTTATTTATTTATTTTTGGGGAGAACTTGAAGGCAAAAATGGACATCTTGGATTGAATAATCCAAGTCGTTTTTGGATAACTTATTTGCAGGAGGAGGCAAAATGAGTAGGAGATTCAGAAAGAGATGTATTGGACTTCTGCTACTCCAGACATGTAAAACACGTATGTGAGATATGTAACTGTGTTTCTATATTCCAAATTTGAGTTGCAAGTTGTAAAGTGTGTAAGTGCATGCTTTATCCTCCCTTCTGGAGTGTAAATGCTTCAAAGAAGACCAGCATTTTACCAAAGTCCCATATTTGGCACTTAAAAACACTTGTCAAGAAAGTGACATTGTAAATGATAAATAAAGTAGGAAGTGAGTTCCAAGCTTTTAATCATTATCATTCGGATCTTGCAAATCTTACAAAATGTTTACGTGCTATGAAACTTTAAAGTGATCCTAGGTGATCATTTTCCTCACTAAAATAAAAACTAAGGAGAAAATGTTTAGAAAATAAAAGTTATCTATCACCTAAAACATAATAAATAATAAAATACTATGCAATTTTTGCTGCTCTGTGGATTTATAAAATTTTTCATAAGCACTATACTCATAATGGCGGAGAAGAATCACTCAGGAATTCTTTTGCTCAGTGCAAATTTTGTTCTCTCTTTTCTTTGCCATTTTCGTCTCTTTTCCTCAATCTTTAATATAAAACTTAGAATAACTATAGGGGTATCTCTCTCAGGGAGTCCAGCAGTAAAGTGAAAAACACTTTGTAAACAGATTCTCTGAAAAATTAAAGTCTGTTTTGGCTAAAAGCTTTTATACTATATGCTTTTTTACCTTCTCAGTTTTTGTTGTGAGATGAAACAACTGCTTGTATTATAAAACGTAAATGATTTCAAGTAATAGTTTCTCCTATTATAATTTTGGGTTAACCTAAACTGCAGAAGACATTTTGAATATATTGTATGCACCCTAGTATCTTTGCAATGACTTTCAGCTTCCCTGAGAAAGTCCTGGTTCTCAGATATGATATTCCTCACTTTCAAATTTAACCTTATCTATACCAGTATGACTTTATTTTTCCCTTGACAAAAGAGATAAAAAAAATCCCATTTATTTTTCAAGGATAATGTCTTTGCCTCTGCATAGGTTCTATCTTCTTTATTCTCCTCAGCAACAATGCTCCAACAAAATTAATATCATTCTTCCTGGTGTTTATAATTTCTCACACTTGTGGATAATTCTCCTTAGGAAACAGACATATTCAGTCACTTCTATCTTAAGAATAACGGTAAAAATGATGTTCTAATCCACCAATGCCTCTAGATATTGCCTGTGGTAGCCAATAGGGCAGTTCACCAATGGTAAGATTCTCCTCATTTCAGGCATGCAGTAGTACTGCCAATAAAATATAATGTATCTTTTTATCATTGCACTATAATTATGTAATATGTTACTATTAGGAGAAGTTAGGTAAGGGATATGGAAACTCAGTACTATTTTTGCAACAATTTTATAAATCTAAAATTAATTCAAACAAAAAGTCTTTTTTAAAAAGAAGAAAAATGAGAAATATGATGTATTTCACTTTTGTACAGAAGCCTGTATGCGCCAGCACAAGACTTTCCAATTTTTGATACTGCTGCAATGCAATAGGTAGTCTAAAAAGTAGATGTTTGCTAGCCTGGACCCATTAGCCTTGAAGATATTAAATAGACGTCCCTGCTGACTTGAGATGAAAATAAAGTGATGTGAATGGAAAATAAATCTTTATTTTTAAGCTCTGAAGTTTTGGGTTTGCTTTTACAGACTCTAACTTCTTTCATCCTGTTTAATATAAAAGTGAAGTTTTAGCATTTGGGTGCTAAATAATAAAACTCTAACATACCATATACTCTCTCATTATCCATATGGTCAGCAAAGAGAAAGCTGTTAATTTAAGACTGAAAAGATACGCTCCACATTACATAGTGGCAAAACTTTTGATAAAACATTGCTAGTTGTAACTCGGAAGGCAGACCATATATCTAATGGACGTGTAGTGCTAAAGTAAATGGTTGAAAGCAGAAGGAAATAGACTGTGTTGGTTACTTTTCACTACATTTAGCAAAGTATTACAAAAAGAGTAGGACCTCAAAATACATTGGCCAGTTTTAAAGCACAAATAAAAAGAAATAAACCATATCCAGAAATGTGGAGCTTTGCAATGTTAAAAAGACAACTGTTTTGAGATACTAAACAGTAGGGGAAAATATTGAGAGACTTCAAAAAAAAATGAAATGTAGATAAAAACTAAGAGTTACAGGTTAAAAAAATACTAACCATTTTCAATCCATTGTATTGCCTCAGGACAAAAATAAAATTTTTAGAAATGACATTGACAGTCATACTTCAAATTACTGACTGGATGAAGTACATCATGAAAAAAACAAAGCCTAAGGAAGATTATGACATCCAGTGAATATTTCAAATGGGAATCACGCCTCAGGGCACAGAGAATAAGAATGTGCACGTACAAAGTCTGATAAGCTCAAGGTATTTGTGAATATTAACACATAAATTCGACCGAATCAAATTGATAAGAAGCCAACTAAGTTTGTAAAGAGGACACACTGTCAAAAGAACAATCAGCCTGGACTATAAATGACTATTGCTGTTTGAGATGCACAATCACTCTTGGCCCCAACTATCTATGAATAGAAAGTAATCTGAGAACAATTTTCAGCATCTAAGGAGAGAATATTTTCTGATGCCCATTTCAGTTGTGGCTATGGAAGATAGTGCCAAAGAAGAATTGATTTCTGAGGCATGTTGCATTCTTCCGTTTTCCAAATGAGTTTGTAGTTTATTGTTTATTGTGGTTATTCAAGTCCTCTTCCTCCATTGTTTATTGCGTTATGTTTCTGGGGCAGATAACATGTCTTTGTAAATTCATAGATCTCCAAAACAAGAGTAGACACAGCCATGGCTGATCTAAATGCTCTCATTTACCATTTTAAGAAAAAAGATCTTTCATCCAGAAAACTAGTATTTATTTTGATGCCATGATTAAATTGGACTTGTGAAGGGATTAGGCCTCATAAATTAAGGAAAGAGAGTAAATAAAATATTTTTTCCTACCAGAATAAACCACAATAGTTTCTGTAGTTTTCATAAATGTTCCAATTTTTAATTTCCTTCTCGGAAGTGTGTAAACTGCACTTCCATCTCCTCAAATGCAGGCATGAACATATGACCAACTTTGGTCATGATACAAGAGTAGAAGTGATGTTTGTCACTTCTGGGCAGAAGCCTTTAATATTTAGTACACAGTTTTTATGTTCTTTTTTCTTCCATATAGATTTCCAAATTTTGAAGGTTCTGTTGGTGTGGAGGAAGACAATTCTGAGGGAGGACTATGTGGATCAGAATCCTATGCTGAACTGAGATGGACATGAAACCTAAACAAGAAATAAACTTTAGTTGGTTTTTTTTTTTTTTTTTTTTTTTTGAGGCGGAGTCTTGCTCTTTCACCCAGGCTGGAGTGCAGTGGCGCGATCTCGGCTCACTGCAGGCTCCACCCCCCGGGGTTCACGCCATTCTCCTGCCTCAGCCTCCCACGTAGCTGGGACTACAGGCGGCCGCCACCTCGCCTGGCTAATTTTTTGTATTTTTAGTAGAGACGGGGTTTCACCGTGTTAGCCAGGATGGTCTCGATCTCCTGACCTCGTGATCCTCCTGCCTCAGCTTCCCAAAGTGCTGGGAATACAGGCGTGAGCCACTGCGCCCGGCCACTTTGGTTGTTTTAAGCAGAGTGATATCAGGGTTCTTTGTTATTGCAGCGTAACTCAGCACATTTTGACCGCTATTTTATTATCCTATGCATTTCTTTCCCTGACATGTTTTGAAAAAATGCAATTTATATGTGTTACTTCTAAATATTCACTATTTTTCATAATTCCATTGCAGTCTGGCTTTTAATACTTCCTCAGCAATAAAATTGGTTCATGAACCTCGTCAAAAACTGATTATGGTTAAATTCAATGGAGACATTTTAGCCCATATCTTATTCATTGAGATGCAGCATGATTTTATTGAATGTTTTGACCTGAACTCTTTCTTTCCTTGGATTCTGTGATACCATTATGTTTCAGTCCACATTTTTCTTTAGATCTCTTATACATTTTTTTTCCAATTCACATCTCTTAAATTGTAGCATTCACCAAGGTTCTAAAACGCTTTCATTTCTACCTGCTTCCTCTAATAAAAGCACTTAACTTCAATGATGTCAACAATGAGCAATGTATGGAGGACTCATAAATTATTATCTCTAGTCCACATCGTTTTTTTTGAGTTCCAGAAACTACGGCCACTGTCTACTGAACATTACCACTTGCATCTCAATCTCAGCATGTCCAAAGTAACTTATGTTTTTCTCCCAATATATTCCTTATTGTAATTTTTCTTTCTTTTGGACATTAGCATTACACCTCAACTGGGTTGTCAATGCTATTAACTTAGGGTTATCCATAGCTTTTGTCTCTCCCCTTCCACACGTATCCAAATAATTACTAAATCCTGCCATTCTAATTCTTTCCTGTGAGCAATCATCATATTTCTCTCTATTCCCATTACCACTACTTTAGTCCAGGCTTTGGTGATTTCTCACTTGATTTTCTGAACAGCTGCCTTACTACCCTGTTCCTGTTGTCATCCAGTTCATGTTCTGCACTGTGGCCCAAGTGATCTTACTAATGTAAAAGTTGGCATGAATCACTCTTCCTGAATTTCTTCAAAGGCTCCTTCTTTTACAAACAGGATTAAATCCATGCTCCTTGCTATACTTATAAAGATCTTTCATGTCCTCTTTAATTCCTTCTCAAAATCCATCTTTCACATTTTCCCTGTGTAACACATGCTCAGTTGATTGATGTGTTTATGATTCTTTAAAACGATGTTTACCCTCTTGCTATTCTTGCATATAGCTTTTCCTCTATATGACATTTTTTCTTCACCTGGAAAAAACTAATTGTTATTAAATTAATCAAATAGCTTTTTCCCCTGCTATTCCCCATTGTATTCTTTGCATCCTTATCTCCCTTACCCTGCTGTGCTGTCATAAGTAATGTTTTGCCCCTTTTTCCTAATTTACTCCAAGGTCTCTGGCTGCAGTGACCACTGCTTATATTCCTTCGTATCCCTGGTGTCTAGGAGACCAAATAACTAATAATGATTATTCAACGGTTATTTATTAACAAATAAATAGAATAGGATTCTTTGATGTGAAGACTTTCTTTGTATTTGAACCTACTCAGAACCAAAACTACATATTCTCTGACATGGCTAATAAAAACATAGTTATTCATCTATTGGTGAATTTACTGGACTATCTGAAATTTCAATTTTGAAACAATTTTGATTTGGATTTCAAGAGACCGTTAAAAGTTAAAATATTTCTGTATATATTATTCCTTTGTGGTTTTATTCCCTTAATGAGGGTGCCATAGAAATTAGTCTCCCATACATGTCCTCTGGCAAGTGATTTCGTCTCAGCTTTCTCCAGCGTGATCCTAACTGAGGGGCTTCTCATTATTTTCTGCAATCCTATTCTATCTTATTAGAATGATCTCTGTTCAGTCAAAAGACATGACATTCTAGGCTCATACATTTGATGAAGCATCTTCATTTAACAGGACAGGGAAAGCTTCTTAATAATTTTCTTTTCACATTTTTTGAGGAGGTTTTTGAGGAGGAATAATGTTGATCTTACTTAATTCTGCCTTCCTTCTTACATACCTCCCAGGAAGCAAAGTGTGGCTTACATGATAATATTTAAGACTCTGAATACATTTTATTCAGTATATTTGGTAGACGGGTTATTAATAGTTGTAAATAATTTAGGTAAAGTTTAAGTGATTGTCTTGTAACTGTAGTAAATACAGTTCTTGGCAAACAGAAACAGCCATTTGAATTTCAGATGTGTCTACTTGCTGAACTGCAAAATGCTTATAGGGCTTATGCCATGGTGGATTAATTAACCAAACTAAAGTATAATGTTTATACCATCTATGCAGTAAAATAAAATCGAAATAATTCATTTATAAGATTCTGTAATACAAATAATCTCTATTTATCAAATAGTACCCCCAAATCCCAACACATAATTAAAATAGAGTGACTTCAAATGAACTTTGGAAGAAATAATAGTTTCTTAAGGAAGTTTTAAAATTTAAAAAAATTTAAAAACTGCATATATATTCAAATTCCTTATCAAATGCCATAGAGTAAACATAAAAACAATAAAATGAAAATTTAAGAATTTAATGTTATTAATTCAGTTATAACAGTTATAATAGTGTTACTTATCTTCTATTAAACATTACTGCTTCAATGTAGTTTAAAATATAGATTATACACTCACAGTGCCCTCAACCTAGTAAGAGCTTTAAAAACAAAAAATGCATAAGTATGCATTTAATGAGCTGAATAAATTATGTAATTTGAACCAGAGTTTATTCAAAGGAGAAAATAGTCTTTATTGGGAAAAATACTTCGATAATTTTTGAAAGCTATCCTGATCTTTTGCTCCTAAGAAGCTCCTGGTACAGCAAATTTCAAGAATTGTCTTGAGGGGATATGTCAAAGTGCATGATAGGGAGACAAATTTTTAGAAATGGAGCTTCTGTTGGTAATCTGGACGGGATGATATGGAGAAGAAAGAAATAGTAGAAGGCAATAAGCTGCATTATGTGAAACCGAGATTCTTCAAAACATTAATGTATTAAACATTTGGCTACATTATTATACTTTGGGAAAAGAAAGAAGGTGCTGAGTTACATCAAACTTTTAACTGAAATGGCCTATGAAGATGTCAGTACTTAACAGGGAAGCAGGATCAGAAAACCTTAAGCCTCCTCATAGTGAGCAGAATCAATTCAGAGACTTGACGATTTTCTCAGGTTATAGATATTTACTCTAGAGTTTCAGAGGTCAGGGAGGTCCCTAGAATTTTAATGACATATAAAACCAGAAAATGATGTAAAATTAAAGAAGGGAAATAGTATTTGTCTAAGTGGTGACCTTGATACCTAGGCATAAAAGATACGCCACTTGACATGAGCTTCTGGAACGTAAGGTACATCAGGGTAGCTTTTGTTTCTTTAACCCCTTAAACAATGCTCAGTACATATTTGGAACTTGTACAAGAACAAGTAAATGATAGTAAAAATAGGAAGTGATGAGATCAATATTTATATACAGTCAGACTTCCATGTCCATGGCTTCTGCATCTGGATTCAAACAATGGACGCAAGACCTGCAGATGTGCAACCTGAAGTTATTGTTAGAGAGAGAGAGAGAGAGAGAAAGAGCATGGGAGGAGAAGGGGAAGGAGGGGGAAAGAGCGGAAGCAGGAGAGAGAGGGAGAGGGAGATTTATTGTAAAGATTTGGCTCACACAATTATGGAGGCTGGCAAGTCTGAATCTGCAGTTTTGGCCAACAGGCTCAAGATCAAGAGAGCCAATGGTGCAGATGAAATCTGAATGCAGTCTGATGAAGAATTTCCTCTTTCTCTGGGAGGCTAGATTTTTGTTCTACTTCGGCCTTCAACTGATTGATAAAGCTCACCCCATTATGGAGGGCAATGGTCTTACTTAAAATTCACCAATTTAAATGTTAATATCTTCTAAAAACACCCTCCAAGTTGACATAAATATGTCCTATTACAGTGAACAAGATGGTGAGAGGTAGGAAAAGAATGTTTTCTGAGAAAAGATTGAAGAATCTAAAATTTGCAGTGAAATACACACAAACACTAAAAAAGAACAGAGAGCTGTGCTCAAATACTTGCAGGTCTATTGAAGATACATTTATTCATTCAAAAATATTTATTTAGGACCTACTATATGGCAAAGACTAGGTATTTGGAATATACCAGTGAACATCAATGAAGGAAAATTCTGTAATTTGGAGCTTATCTTTTAACACTGAAAAGGCAGAAATTTAGGGCTCAATGTAGGAAAGAAATTTATAATTACTAATTTTCTGAATTATTAATAGTACTTCCAAAATGGTAAAAATTCTTTTTAGCAGGAATGTTTAAAACAGTTGCTGAATGACTATTAAATATGCCTTAGAAGATAATAGACTAAATTATCACTGTAGTCTCTGTACATTTTATTCCAAGCCATTTTCAAATGATTTTTCTTTGCTACATATTTCTTTAAGAAATACGTACAGAAATGAATTTATTCAACCATCCATCTACCCATCCATCCATCCATCCATCTAAAGAATATATGGAAGATTTGAGTTTCACATTTTGCTGAAGAAAACCTCAGATTCTTCATAAACCCTTAAAAAAATGTGATAGGTAGTCCCAAATAAACCAATATCCAATTTTTGAAGTTCAGTTGACATCATTAACAAGAGTGAACTATGAAAAAGGGGGGTTAATGCTTCCTTCTTTCTCTCTCTTTTTGGCATAAATCGGAAGAAAATAATTAGAACATATTATTTCTAAGTACAAGCATTGAGATAACAGAACTTGTATAATACATGGAAGAAGCTCTTTCAGAAGCATGCTTCATTATTTTTCCCAAGCCACAGATGTTAGCTGTTTCACATCAAAATAATGATAGTAGTCATGAATTTCTTGGAAAAGCATTTTTAAAAAGCTTTTGAGCAGATGAGATGAGAGATGTGTTCTTCAAAGCAAATGAAAAAAGTCATGTTTTCAGGGGAATATCATGAGCAGAAATTCTCTGGCAGTAGCCATTGAACAGATAATTTAAGTGCCTGCTGGAAAGTTGGCAGAAAAAGACTCCAAACTATAAACTATGAGAAGTGGGGTATCAAAAGGTCAAAAGAAGCTGAAAATGACAAATGTTTTAGGAAGCAGGAATCCAGAGAACATTCAAGAGAATAACATGCACTTACATTCACATTTTTACAGTGTTTTTTGTTAAAATGTATCCTGCATATAATAAAATGAATACTATAAAATGCAAAATTTTTAAGTGTACCAAACATGAACACAACCGTGCAACCACTATGCATGCCAAAAATTAGAACAGTGCCAACACCTAGAAGCCCCCTGATATTTCACTCTAAAGGTAATTATGATCCTGAATCCTGTAAAACAGGAATTGTCCCTGTTTTAGAGCTTAAACACACACACACACACACTCAAAAAAAAAAACCAGAATAATACTATTTGCATTTCTTCATGTGTCTGTCTGTCTTCTTTCTTTCACCATTATGTCTATGATTCAAACATGTTTTTGCAGTTGCAAGAGATTAGTGTTTTCTTGTGTATAATTCTATTTTATTAAATATATTAAATATATTAAAATCAATCCACCTTGCTGTTGGATATTTTTAGATGTTCTCAGTTTCTACCTTACAGGGATAACACCGCTATAAATCCTACTGCATGTGTCCCATGATGCAAATATGAGAATTTCTGATTCACAGAAAATGGTTATATCTCCTTTCAGTAAATGCTGCCATATTTTCTTTCTTTCAAAATGGTTAAGCCAATTGGTACTTCCTGTAGAAGTGTATGGGAATCTAGTTGCTTACATTCTCACTATGTCTAGGTGATGCCAGATGTTTTATGTTAACCATTTTGCTGATGCTGATGTGTATTTGTATCACATTGGTTTTAATTTCCATTTCCCTTATCACTAATAAGGTTGAATACCATTTCACTTGCTTGTTGACTATTTGAACATCCTCTTTTACTTGTTGAAGGTATTTCTCCACTTTTTTTTAACTGAGTTATCTTTTTTTTTATTAAGTTGTCTACATATCTTGTCTAAGATACGTTGAATTCTTTTTATGTTCTGGCTATGGCTCTGTCATTGGCAACTGGTCAATGTTTTTCATTGATGTATCGACTGCCTTTTTACTCTATTAGTGTATCCTTTAACACACGGAAGTCTTGGTTAAGAACTCAAATAATTCCAAAGTTAGGAAGATATTCTCCTGTTTCATTGTTTTATCAATGAATATGAAATTGGTATTTTATGCATGTCATGTGGATGCTTCAAATATTATTTTTCCCATATAGATATACCTTAAGTTTTTTTCTTATGTTTTTCATTGCCAGATTTTTAAACTAAACTTCTGCTGGCCTCATAAAATAAGTTGTGACTTTCCCAATTTTTCCTAATAACTGGAAATATTTAAGATTACTGAAATCTTTTTTGCAATGTTTGAACTAATTCACAGGGGAAATTATTTGAGCCAGCAAATTTCTTTCTGACTGGATTTTTAGTTACAAATTTAATTTTTTAAATACATGTAGGAGAATTCAGATTTTTTTATTTATTCTTGAATGTTTTATGAAGTTGTGCTTTTCAAAATCTTTATCCATTTCATCTAAGATTTCAAATCAGTTTTTAAAGTTGTTAGTAATTTTTCTTTGGTATCTTTATACTAGCTATAGGCCCTGAAGTGCTGCTCGTTTACATTCATATTTGTAGTTTGTAATTTTTTTTATTCAGTTATGACAGGTATTTTTTCCTAATCTTTTCAAACAAACAACTTCTAGCTTTATTGATTTTCTGTTTTTTTCCTCTATTTCATTGATTTCCATTCTTACTAATTCCTTTATTATTCTAGTTAATTAAGATGGATACTTAGATCCTTGATTTCCTCCACTCTTCTAACATAGCTTTTTATGGATATAAATTTCCTTGAAAGCACAGCTTTCCTTTCATAGAATATGTCTTGATATCATTTATTTACATTATCATTTAGTACAAAAAAAATCTTGGTTATTTTGACTTTGATTATGGACCACTGAGAAGTGTAATGCTTTATTTTCAAGCATTGAGATTTTTCTACCTATCTTCTTATTATTGGTTTCTAGCTGAGTTCTTCTGTAGGCAAAGAACAAACTCTTAATACTTTTAGTCACTTAACAGTTGTTGGGACTTACTTTGCAACTCAATATACGTTTAATTTGGAAAATGATTTGTGTCTGCTTATAAAGAATATGGGTGAAATATGTATGACTCTCAATTCATCTAAATTGGTTAATCATTCTGTTCAAAATTTCTATGTCTCTACTGATAGCTTTGCTTGTTTTGTCATTGCTGAGAAAATTCTGTTAAAATTTCAGTTTGCACTACAGTTTTGCCTACCTCTTCTTTATATGTCAGTGTTTAAATATTTTGAAGGTATCCGTTTATGTGTATAGAAATTTAGGTTATATGTAACTTCTAGTTAATAAATCAATTTGTATTTTTACAAAATATTCATCTACAATGAGAGTAATAAATCTTGCCTCTAAATCTAGTTTTCAGATATAAATATTTTTATAACTTTGTCTTGATTGCCTTTTGCATGTTACACATTTTTGCTTACCTTTACTTTCAAATTTTCTGTCCTCATATTTAAGTTTTGCCTATTGTAAAGAGTGTATCCTTGACTTTTGCTTAATGTATACAGTTTGCTGATTTTTGCTTCTTACATGAACTATTTAGTTTATTTATACTTGATATTTAATTATTGCTCTAGGTTATTGTAAGTCTTTTGTCTAACTCATGGCTTGCTATCTGTTTTCTTGCTTTTTATTTCTTTTATTCTCTTTACCATTCCCTCAAATTTCTAGGCATGCATACTTTTATTATTCCTTTAGTAATTGTGTGGATATTACAAGATACTTTTTTGAATAATTACCTCTATTCTCACATAGTCTATAAAACATTAATAACCTTATTTATTTTTCTTCACTTTTATTTAATATCATAATGCATTTCAATTTACAGTATATTTCAAATCACAAAATTATTATTATTGGGGTATAATTTAAAAGGTAAATAGTAATTTACATTAAGCAAAATAATTGAGTATTCTGTTATACTTTATTGCTTACAGTTCATCCTTCTGGGATTATTTTCCTTCTGCCTGAAAAGCCCTCCACAACCCTATTACTCACCCCTGCCATTTGTTTATTTGCCAATGGTTACTGTATTTGTTTTTGCTTTTTTTGCAAATGAATACACTTAATTTTATTTTGAAGAATATTTTTTTGGTTGTAGGATTCCAATAACTAGCCATTCCTTTAGTATTTGAAAATGTCATCTCAGTGTCAACTAGCTTCTATGATGTCTCTTGAGAAATCAGTTGCTAGTCTTCTTGTTGTCACTCATTTGAAGGCAAAGTATTTAATAAAATTATTTTTTGTTCATGGTTTTTAGTGACTTTGCTGTGAATTGCCCAGTTGCGGTTTATTTTGTAAAGTTATTCAGTGAGGAGAATTTCTGGAAGGTAAAGAGTACTTTTTACCCTCCTGTGTATGCTTCTTCACAATTCATAATTATAGTCAATGACGATAAAACCTGTGCCATGCTCCAGGTTCTGAGTTAAACAAGTTACTTTAATTTTCTCATGTGATTCTCAAGACAACCCCAAGAAGTTGCTACTATTAATAATTTCATTTTACAGAAAATGAAAGCTTAAATAATTAGTCCAAGGTCAAACATCTAGGTTATAGGGCAAAAAGTAAAATCAGCTTGTTTTACACAAAACCCGAATAGTAAGAATATCCTAAATATAGTGGGAAATTTTAATGTGGTACTTCCAATTCTGTAAAATGATACTAGCTACAGATACTTGAAGTGTGTGGCAAATTGGAAAAAAGGCTTTTATTTTCAAGAATGTGTGTTCTAATATTGGCTCTGACACTGACAAGCTCCAGGGACTAGTTTAGGATGACAACTTCAGACCTGAAGCCTCATTTTTAAATGAGGGTGTTGGATAAGGTGATTCTTATTGTTTCCTTCTGGTTAGAAAATTCTATGAAAACCATCTTATTTTAAGCAAACTTCCTTTTTTTAAAACAAATCAAAAAGCTGTATGCTTATACAGAATCTATGATGACTATACATCTAATCATGTTCCGGAGATGTGAGAAAGAGACTGCTGTGAACATTATCTTATTAAGTATACCCTCTCCAGATCCCTGAACATTATTGTTGGCCTTCTCAGAAATCTGTCTGGCTTTTTATATTTTGTTAGAAATGAGGTGCCTAAAATTGAATGCATTTTTTTTTGCAGTTCAATACAACTAAATTGGATGCAAGGATCTATTGTCTTGCAGCTTCATCATATGATAACTCTGGATATGTAAATCAAAACCACAAAAGTTTCTCACAGTATCTTAGAAAATTTGTATATAATTCTATGCACCTTGATATTAAACATTCTTTAGATTTCGTTTTACACAAAATAATTTTTCTGTTTATCATCCAATAAACCATTTAGTGTGTGTTTAAATACATTTTTTTTTCTTTGGTGGTATTTGTCTTGCCATTCAAGCGTCTTATAAAAATGTTTGCAATATTTTCCTTCTCCATTCCTGACAGCAATTGTATTAGTATTAATTGGATTTTTATAATTTTTATAACTTTTACTTTTTTAAATAAATGCAAATCAAGTGTCTCAACATGCTGCTTATTTCAGCTAAATGTTGCTTTGAGACTAGGAATACAGTATTGTTTTTCATATTCTAAAATGCAAAAGTAGTAAAAATCAACTCAGCATAGCAGTGTAGTCCTAAGAGCAAATGGATGGTTGTGCTGACAGGCTTCTTAGAGCTCAGCAATGTCTTTACTTTTCTTGTGCAAAGTGCTAAATAAAAACAATAAGCAGATTGAAATTATGTATGCATGATTGTAAGTGAAAGCAAAATAATTCATTTTTTTACTGAGAAAATGTGCAGAAATAGTATGTTTTGATTTCATATTGTAGTTGATGAAGTTTAAAAGCTCAAAGACTGCTTTGATTAATTTCTAACTTTCTCTGACAACCTTCCATATTTTGGAAATGAATATATTAAAGTTGGACTTGAATTTCATATCATTAGAATGTCTTCCATCTTTTAGTTTATCTCATAAGGAATAATTTTAATAATTAATATTTTAATACATAGGGCTTTTAAAACATTGTTTCAAAGAATAAGATCTAACTAATTGATAATTAATTCATTACTTTAGTTTTTCCAATGGGAATAATAAGTGTTATATATCTACTATTAAATGTTACATGCATAGAAAATTATTATTTGGTAATATTAAACTTGTTCTCCAACTTGATAAAGCAATAAGTAAGTTTCCAAGGAAATACAACCACAGGGCTTTTGAGAGCCCTGTTTATTGTTAGAGCAAATTGGCATCTATTCTATTATTATTATTATTATTCCACAAATGATAGATGCTGCTTAGAGTCTCATTTGGCCCTAAACTTTAAGCACTGTGTGTCTCAGAACCTATTTACATAATCACAGAGCATGGGAATCTAACTAATAAAATCCAATGGAAAGGGTAATAGTAAGAACAGCTTTAAAAAATGGTGGCAGGAATGTTATATGGTTCTGGAATGTTATCGTTCCTAAATTAGGATTCTGAAGAAAATAATCTTTTTCTTATAAAAGTTAATTAAATAAGTTTATAAAACAAACTCTAAAGCAATAGAGTTGTAATTATTAGATTACTTACTCAGCAGTACTTTTTATTTTTTCAATAGATTTACAGTGATAGTAAATTTTAGCTGTGGTCGATTTTGACTTATGTGAAAAGAATTTTGAATAAACTTCCATTACTTGATGACACTGGCCATTAACATAACCTGCATTTTCTAAGGAATAAGATTGTATGAGACAAGAAAACAATTTTATTTTTTAATTTATTTTTATGAAATTCATTTATTTATTTTCAGACAGTCTCATTCTGTCACACAGGCTGGAGTGCAATGACATGCTCACAGCTCACCGCAACCTCCACCTCCCAGTCTTAGGTGATTCTCCCACCTCATCCTCCCAAGTAGCTGGGACCACAGGCATGCACCATCGAGCCTGGCTAATTTTTAGTATTTTTGGTAGAGATGGGGTTTCACCATGTTAGCCAGACTGGTCCCGAACTCCTGGCCTCTAGTGATCTGCCCACCTCAGCCTCCCAAATTTCTGGGATTATAGGTGTGAGCCATCACACCTGGCCAATAAAACAATTTTAGAAATAGAAGCAACAGTTTTTTGTGCATGTTTAGTTGAAATATGATGAGGAGTAATATAAAGACATGATTTTAATAGCATGTTTGCACACGATTAATATGAATATAATAACAAATTTATGATACAATGTATTTTTTAAAAATGTTTAAATGTTCTTTTAGTCCTCTCAATGATGGTGTAAGGTAGCTTTTATCCAGACTGGAGAAATAAAATATTTTTTGTTAGGATATGTCTGAAAATAATCCTCATCTTTTTTATTTAAAAATCATCCTTACCAACACGGTGAATTGAACTAATTAAAATAAATGCATAAAATATTAAAAATAATTTTTGTTGCCCTGTTTTTAATATAAGCACACAGATTAAAACATTGTTTTAACTTCCAGAAATTAACAACCATTTTCTTAAGTCAGCTATGGTAGAATGACATCAACAAGTTGACAGAATACAAACTTTCTACCATCTTCCTCCTGTAGAAGAATTTACTTTGACAACAATCCATGAACAAGAGTAGTTTTGTGGGAACATAGAAGTCTAGGGAAGAAGTTCCAGCTCATCACTGGAGCAAAATTTTGAGAACACATGCATCAAAGAGGGTGAGAAGAACAGTTTTGCTTTACCTTATTACCCTTTCTCTCACAAGGTGGCACAGCTAAGAAACAAGAGAGGCCACCTTCATCCACACCTTATCTGACATGTGAAAGTGACAATGTAGTAAGTGAATGCCTGGCTCCCCCACCATGCAGGATCCTGCCCAAGGGGCCCACTTGTCTTTTGCTCCACCCAGAAGACTAAGCTGATCACCATGGCTGAGTTATTGGGAGAGCTGGGAACAGAGAAGAGAGGACAGACTATGCTAAATACTCTGCAGACTTCATCAGGAACCCCCTATGAGCTGCATGGAATGTCTTGCCTTTGGATTCCCCACTAACTGATACAATGGTACGTCTAATGCTCCCCATGCTGACACACTCCTTCCCCCATGCTGGCAACCTTTTGTCTTGTGCAAACAGGCAGCTCGACTCTGCAGAAATGAATGAAGGCACACAAACTGTAGCATTTTAGGGCATTACCCTAGGGAAAACAAATGGGAGGCTTTCAGTGTCCAGCCTGGCTTTGTAGGATCAAGGGAATACATAAAATTTTAAAAGCTCCCCCTTCATCCCCGAGGGAAGAAGAATTTGTAGAAAAGAATTCATAGAGAAGAATTCATAGAAAAGAATTCAGATTCCCTAGCTGGGATGATTGGTGAAGGTATTTCTCTCTCAAAGCCAATCGGTAAAGACTGGAGGAGGTGACTGCTTCTTCAAATACAAATAGAGCAATGCAAGAGAATAAGAAACACATGTGTACACACACACACACAAAACAAGGAAAAATGATACCACAAAAAGAACATAATCATATTCCAATAACCAACCCAAAAGAAATGGAGATCTATAAATTAAAAGGGCCATGCAGAAGGATGAGAAGAATTGTATCAAGAAGTTATGTAGATGTGAGAAACTGTGAAGAGGAAAACAACAATATGTACACAGCTTCTTTCCCTCTGATTAATGTAGAATTACTGAGCAGGGATTATTTTATTAATCAAAGCATCATTTAATGTTAGAAATTTTATCACTTTTTTTCCTTCAGACATGTGAGGAGAAAAAAGTAAAAAATTCTATTGGTAGGTTCCAATAAAACATTTGGTAATATCAAAATTAATTCCCAGTGAAAAGTATGAGTGTCAGAGAAATATAAAGAAAATGAATAAAACAATTTACCAAAACCTTGAATAAGCATTATTCTACAGAACAAAATTCTAAAAACCATTTAAAATAGGGAAGTCAATGGAAGCTGAACTCTTACTATATTATGTAACATTTTCTTGGGTAGTTAGCAAATATAGATACTCAAGAAATAAATAAATAATATAAACATTGGAAAAAGGATAAAAGTATTTTTCTTATTGATGGTATGATTTGTAACTACAATCCCCACCTTCTTATCTAAACTACAAATAAGATAACTTGATAAAGTGACTGAAAATAAAAATAACAATTAAAGAAATCAGAAATTGTCTCAAATTTAGTAATAAATGCCTAGAAAAAGCTATAAGAAAATTATCGTATTCAAAATAACAAGCAAGAACAAAATAAAATTAAGAAACTTAATGAAATATGTATACATAAATTTAACAGGAAAGTAGAGACCATATATAATGAAAATGAGAGCACATCAAAGACAAATCAGAATCTGAACTTAAGTAATCCTGTGTTCTTATATGGGAAGGAAATAATACCATAAAATACAAATTATCTGCAAATTAACACATTTAGCACAGTTAATATAATCTAAACAAAGTTAGTTTTGACTCCGAAATATCCTGAACTACTTAAATGGCAAGGTAATTAACAAAAATATAGTATTAAATAAATTTACCTTTTTTACAATTAGAGTTAAAACTCCTTGAAGGCAGGCAGCTCACCTTATATATTTTAGTATCTACTATATTCCTAATCACAGCACAAAATATTTCCAGAACATAGTTTTTGATGCACATATTCCCCCCACAACAATATACGCACATCATAAAAATGCATTTATTGTTTTTCCCAACTTTAGGTTTATTTATTTTTATTTGTATACATTTATGGAGTACAAGTGCAATTGTGTTACGTACGTCGATTTTATAGTGATGAAGTCAGAGATTTTAAGGTATCTATTGTGTGAATCATGTGCATTGTACCCAGCAAGTGATTTCTGGGCCATATTCACCACTCCAATGGAAATGATAATTGCTATTATCTAAATAGCCATACATCCTCCTGTACTTTCCAGCCTCTGCATTCAGAAGAGGCAATGCAGCTTCTTTTGGCCAATGAGCTCTAAGCAGAAAGACCACAGTCATATTTGGACTGCATATAGAACAGTAGGTGTACTATGCCATCTTTTCATTTGCTATAATGAAATAGAAGGTCACAAGGCCACATGGTGTTATCAGATGTTAGAGGCTTCATTAGTCTGATTCCATGAATGACTATATGGTGAGAAACGCTGCCTCCCACCCTGACCAACATTAGCTATGTACTGTAAACAAGACATAAAACACTTTTTTGTGCATTAAATTACTAGAATTCTGGAATTAATTCATAACTGCAGTTTAACAAAGGCTTCTTAACTAAGTCTCTATGTTCAGCCAAAATAGATCACATGATCTTGCCATAAGAATAGCATTTGTACAAACACATTTGTTCTCTTTCTTTTATCTACATTTTGTGGCATGTTCTTTTATCCCCATCATCAGATAACTACAATTTGGCTTATAGTCTCCTCTTGTTAGGGATATATTATCCTTTTGAAAACAATTTCATTTATTCAGCAAGTATTTATTGAGTAATTATTTGGATGAAGACCCTACAAGGATGACACAAGCTGAAGTAAAAACAATCTTTGTCCCTAAGTGGTTGACTATATATTAGCAAGAAACAAAACAAAACAAAACAACAAAACAAAACAAAACGAAGCAGGGACATAACTATGACACAAGTTGGAATTTGGTTAATACCATAACATGCACTAGGCAAATAATTCAATCATGGAGTAGATTTTAAAATGGCATGTTGCTAGAAAGTTGCTAAGGATCCCCATCTTTAAAATACATTTTAATTAATTATCTTCTACATGGACAAGAAAGTGAATACCAAGACATTTCTGAAATTTAAATACAAACATTTGTTTTCAGATATGAAGTCCTACCTCCTTGGGGATGATAAATGCATAAAAATAGACCCACAACTATATAGAAATATATATACACACATACACATACAAGGACATACCAGAACTTATGAAGAGGACTTCATAAACATTTTACTATTAAGAAATTATTATCCACAGTATAAAGAAATTTACATAGGGATCATATTTTTATTTCTGATTAAAAGTCTAGATTCATGTTTTTAAGGTTCAAGAAATTATTGTCTATGTATGTAGCTATACATTGTCAAGCTGTCAAGTAATTATGAAGATAAAGTCAGTCAATTGTGGTCATAAATGTACTCAGAAAGGTTATAACCAGGTCTTCTATTTAAATGCGTTACTAAAGCATATGCTGCTGGAAATTGAAAACCCCATTTGCACCTTCCCATATCTGTACCTTTCTTGTCATGTCCTTTATTATTGCCTGTGTTCTAAGCACATAACTCCACAAGATATTTTTTTTTGCTGTTTTAACAGTGTTCTTTTACATTTACCCGTGTATTTGTTCTTATCAGTGCTCCTGCCTAGTCACATTTTCTTATGTCTTCAAATAGCTTATGTGTTTTTAAATTGCATTTATGCATGAATCTACCATATAGATCGAGATAATGGTTTATTTCACCAGAGAGAATCCCCCTTCCCCATGTGAGTCAGATTATGGATGGCTGTTTAATATCATCGGTTCAACCAAAAGTTGTGCTCAGTTAAGCTGGGATGCAGCTTAGGGATAATCCACTGCTGGTTCTTCCTCGTGCCAGATGTGTGGCCTTCTCATGGATTCGATGGAAAGTTTGGTGGTCCCCTACCGTCTTAGCCCCAGAAGCCTGTGACAAATTTAGTGCTCCCCCCGGGGTGTTTTCATCTTATCTCTTTATCTTTCTTGCATCCCGTCTTTTCAATATTCAGCAAATGATTTGAGGGGAAACTGGCCACATTTTTGAGACATGCCCCAGTATTCCATCAGGACTTTGTTTCATAAGTCACGAGATTGGTTCATTTTAATTCTCCACTTAGAAAATCTCCATCTCCATTGCAGCTCAGAACGAAGCAAATTCTCCATGGACACAACTCTTTGTTTCGGGATTCTCTAGTTTCAACCTATCATTTGAGAATTCACCTCCACTCCACCACCAATCTTCTGCTGATTTCTATTTCTGTCTTAGGGTTTTCCTGGGTCAGTTCTGGTACCCAGTCTCCATACAAAAATCAGCATCTGAATCCAAGAAGGAAATGTCTGACCATCTTTTACTCAAAATAGGAGGATTTTCTTCTTTTTGGAATTTTACTTTATTCTTATTGCTTCCATAGCTATTTCATTTCTTTCAAAATATTTTTCTAGCTATTGTAGAGGAAACGCTGGTCTACTGTGATCTATTACATCTTGTCCATAAGCAAAGTTCTCTCTTTACTACGTGTTAATAAAAATGCTAACAAAATAGTCCAATTTATTATAATAAAATATTGCTTTTGTTTTTATTTATGAGGTTTATTTTACAGTTCTGTCTTGTTTTGTGTTGTTATGCTCAAAATAATTCTAAAGTGAGGTGATGATTCTTTATAATTTCATAGTGATGAGTAGAATTTACTTCTTGTATTAAACACAGTTTATCACTTTAAATGATAAAGTGGTAAACACTTCAACAGATACAGTTTCTTTCAAAAACACTTAAATCCAAATACTTTTATTCTCAAGGTTAAAAGTCAGTGGTACTTGTAACTGTCATAACAATTCTTTCAAAATCATAGGAAACCTTTTTATCCTTTGTATAAGCACTATAAATGCAAACTAATTTGATGATACTTTGATATAAAGATACATAAAATTAAAGTCCAACAGTTCCTGTAATATAAATATTTGTTAAATTTTATGTGTCTAATGACATAAAATGAATAATTGTGCTCTTTCTTAAAATGTGTCAACAAGTTTCCATTCTTTTAAGATTCTTAATTAAGTTGCTGATTGAGGCATTTCTATTTCTAACTAATTCAAAACTAAGAGTAGACAAAAGAACATAAAGCTTAACATGTTCTGTTTCTCACAATATGGACAGGATGATCAAATACTCTGATTTTCTCAGGGCTGAGAGCCTCCTAAAATATGGGACCTTCAGTTTTAAAAGCGAGAAAGTCTTACGCAAACTAAAACAATTTGGTTATCCAACTTAGGAATAAGCAATTTTGACCTTTAATAATGAGTAGTATATAGTAAACAAATTATGTTAATGATATTTAGGGTTTACATGCCATTTAAAACTAATTGTAACTCATGAACACTTTATTAGTAAACAAAAGGAGCCAAAACACTCAGGAGAAAAAAAATTTATAGAAAAATTGAAATAGTCATAACAAAAGTGAGAATTATTTAGTAAACTGAACATTGTATTCAAAATCAAATGATCTGTACTTAATTTATCACTCACTAATTGTTTGGCCCTTGCCACATACATGATCTTCTCTGAACTACACATATTTCTAATCTGTAAAAGAGGGATAATGATGTTTATCATATTGCCGTAATTGATTCTTTTGAAGATTGAGGAAGATAGTGCATAACAGCAAATTGGAAACACTGAAGTGTTACACTAATGTTACTTATAGGCTTGTATTAATATATTCAAAATCGTAGAAAATTATCCAGCATCACTTGGTAACTTCATGTCGTCATTGAAAGCATGTGACATTTAAAAGATTACATATTCAAATGTTCACTATTACCTTTCCTATGGTGACTGAAGTGATAATAATTTAACCAAGCCAAAGATTTTATTTTCACGCATCACATTGTACATCATTATATAGTTTTTTGGTCACATATTACTTAAACATTGAAAGCAACTTTTATCAACCCTTTCCTTGTGGACACAAATTGTATATATCTTAAATTCCCAGTTACAGTAATCACTCACTCACCATAATATAAGTATATATGAATGTTGACAATATAATGTGGCATAGAGGAATGTTTGTTAGAGGAGAAAATGTTTGAAAAGGAGAAACTATGTAAGCATATCAAGAACACAGGCATTGCAAGTAAAAGTTACAACTGTGAAGGCAAGTCGATTGAGAAAGTATACAGAATTTTCAGGGAATTAGTTGTTCAGTTACACTGAAGTACAGAGTAAATATAGTGGCATGTCAGGACAAGAGATAGGATAGCTGATATAGTCTAGATTGCATAAAGTACTTTAGGCAACGGCAATTGTTATCATTTGTAACCCCAATGACCAACAGATTTTTTTGCTATTAGGTAGGCACTGCTAGATGCTAAGCGAATATCTGTTTTCCTAATCTTCCTTAAAGGTAGAACTTTGGTTATTTTTTGGTTCCTAGGGTGCCCAGCTAAAAATCCATTTCCAGACCCCTTAACACTAGAGATGGCTAATGAAATAATCTTGATTCTTCTATATAGTCTGATGTATTGTTTCCCTAATCAGCTTTTGTCTTATTTTCCTTTTTCTTCTTTATGACTGTTACAAAGACATGAGCCAGGAGAAGTACAATTATCTTGTCACCATGAGGTGATAAGCTTGGGGATGAAGGACTGCATACTGTGAAAAACAGGGCTGAAAGATGAAAAGCACCTGGACTTGTGTCTTGTGATGTCATCAAACCATTGCAGCTGCCTCTCAACAGTGTAGTTCTGGACTTATATGAAATCAATAAATATTTGCTCTTTAAACTACCACAGTTGACACCATAGGTATCAATAAATAATTGTTAAACAAATCCAAAGGCCACATTTTCATTGCTAACAGTCTTCAATCATATTTTCCAACTGATAGAAGCCATTTAAGTATTTTAACCAGAGGTTTAATACAATCACTTCCATATTTTAGAAAGGTCACTCCTGCTGCACCAAATGTCTATAGTACCTATTTATGCTTTATGAATTATACAAATAGTATATCATTGTATGTTTAAAAAAACAGTTTTCAAAGTAAATGCAAGTCAGAGTAGAACATTGCCAGATATCCTAGTTATTGACCAAACTCTAAGAATTTCCACAGATTCAGGCACCAGTAAATGTGTATTTAAGATTGATGTCACTCCAGAGTAGCTTATGCTTGACTGGAATAATTCTGTCTGCCATTCCCGACCCATGACAGCTTGCTCATATCCCCATCTTCACTCATAAGTGAGAATCAGGGGAATGAATTCAACATCAATATGGACTTATGCAATATCTTTTGATTAGTACCTTTCTGAGAGGCTAAAATGAAATAATACAGCATCTTTACAAATGTCATCTCACTGAGGTAATTGGAAAAAATACTTTAAAATTTTAGTCTTTAATTGCTAGAGATGCAGCATACTTCTGCAGCGTTATACACAGAGGAACAAACAATAATAGCAAAAATCACCCAAAGGCTGTCAAAAACCCTGGATTTCAACATCACTTATTTTTGTAAGGTCACTGAATGTATGAACTCTGGGCTCAGAGAACCTCATGTATGAATACCAGTTATACCATACACTAAATGTATTATATAGGAAAATCATATCAGAATATTCCTAAGAACGAATTTTTCTAATCTTGAACAGGGATTATAATACATCCATGTAGGCTTCTGAGAATTAAGTGATATTTGTAAAATGGGACACTTAACACCTGGCATATAGTAATCATTCCATTTAGTAGTAGTTGCCATTAATAAAATAATTACTACTATTAGCATTACTGTCATCATCATTATTGCCTTCGATTAGGAGAGAAAACACCAACTCATTCAAATGTCCATAGTTTCTTATGTAAATTTTCTTTACTGTGTGCTTACATTCTGTCCATTCTTAATTAACCATGAGAGGATTTGGCTGAAATGATCTATTTTAAACTGGTTTTCATTCTGAGAAAGCTTCTTCCATGAATTTCTGGTCCCTCTGTCTGCCTGCACTATTTAATGTATATTTAGGATATGAAAAAGTGATTTTAACAGTAAATTGAAAAGTATGGAAGTAACTACAATGCAAAAGTTTACCTGATGTATTTTAAAGCCAGCATCACTCACAGTTAGAGTGATTCACATTTTTTAAAAAAATGTGGGTGTAATAAACATCATGCTACATTGAGGATTATATGTATTTTCAGGATTGCTTAGAATGCTAGTGAACTAGAAATGACCTGAAGCTTCACTCTACATTTAATAGACCAGACCCACTGCTTCCTAGAATGTGGTTCGGACCTCCATTTTACACAGTACCAAAAACCATCAATAAGCACTGGTATCTTAAGGATGTATATTTAAATTTTAGCATATAATATAACTTTGAGGATAAAACACTGTCAAAAATGCGTACAAGGTCTGCTGATTTGTTTAAATCTTTGTTGAAAATTCTTGCAGCACTTAACTCGAAATGTTTTTTTAATGAAAACTATTCTCACGTAGATTTTTACCTAAAACTAAAAACTTAGTAACAAAATTCATGTTTATACAAGTGAGAGAAGGTGTATTTCAGACATGGGTTTGTGCAAATGAGAGCTTTCTCTGCAGTGGAGACCACATGCCAATCACTTTCAAGAAAACCTCGTTATATTTACATTTGGACACTACTAAACCTGGAACACTAATTTTTTTATTGTTGTTGCTTTGTGTTGTTGTGATAAAGAATATTTATCTTTATCTAAGTGAGAGCAAGAGGTTTCTGCCTTCTAAATAGGACAGTATTGTTAGGTGCTTTACATGAGACAAAATAAGCTTGTTCTTTCCTCTTTAGTTGTATCAAAAGGAGCATCAACCACATGGAAAAATTATGAGTTCATACTGTGAAGATGAGGAGAGACAAGATAATAATCTTCAGGATGACCGGTAGAAAGCAGCGAGAGAAATAATTTCTGGAAGACTAATTTTGCAGTTATTTGAGATGATGACATTGAGGCATGCTCTGCTCCTGGATGGCATACACTTTCACTTTGCCTACCAACTCAGATTGACAGGGTGCTTCATGGAGAAGGATGGAAAAGTTACATTCAGCCTTCACAAGAGAGGGTGCCAGAATCATTTGGAGAGGGGAATAGTGACTTTTTATGGTTCCCAAGTAAGTAACCCTCCCTTGGAGCCAAGTTTGTGCTAGAAGATTTAGGACGCTAAATTTAACGATATGACTGAGTTACAAAGTCAAATCAATATTTATAAATATGGTGATGATGGCTGTTTATTGATTATCATCATGAATTGTGCCCATATTTTAATATTTAGATTAATTCTGTAAAATAAACATGTGACCTGGAATGTTGGAGTATTTTGCCATGCCCACCCATAACAGTATTTTTGCTTTTAGCAATTATCCTGAACTAAAAATCAAAATGCTTTCTGAATATGTGTGCCACTCACTCCTCTCTGGTAGATCACAATGAAAATATTCATAATTTTGATACTACAATCATTCTGTTAATCCTCTACCTATATGTTTCACATGTTTGAAGCTCTACTATGAGAAAATGTTGAGTCTCAGGAAATTTAGGTTTCGGTTTCATTAAAAAATAATAAAAACAAATAAATAAATGCACTTGACTAAATAATAAAAAGAAGAATAAACAAAAACCAAAACAGAAAATAGATACCACAAAGACATCTTTGGTTAGTATTTATGTTACTTGGGGTAAAGAGAGCTTTCATAATTTGAAAAAAACCTTTTTTATCACTTTCTTAGTCATATCTTTACTATCTATACAATGCTTTAGCTTCCGAATCATTTTCATGAAAACCTCAGTATATTAAGGGGAAAGTAATCCAAGCATACACTAATGAGCACTTCTTAAAGAGAGTAAATTACTACTTTCTTTGACTATCTCCCCAAAATGATCAAATTTATAAACAGTGGTCATCTTACATCCTGATTTTTTGCAATGTAAGATACATGCTTCCTTTCTTTTGATCTTTCTTGAAATAAAAAGAGAATTGGTTTCATATTATTGCCTTCATTTTATACACAAGTTGTTTTGAATCTATTTTTCAGGATTCTACCAAATACTCTATATGTCAAAGGGATGAGTTAGCAGATGGAACTTTATTTTCCAATTCATTTCTTTTAAAAGCTTCATGCAAAAGGAACTTTCAGTGCACAAAGTCGAAATTGTAGTGTGTTTTGCTTTCTTAAGCACTAAAATGGTCAAAGAACCTGCTTTTTTTTTTTAATAACATACTTTTTTTTATTCTTCTAAAGCACCTTGAACTCAGGCTGGTATTTAGAAAATATGTGGACTTAAAAGCCTACTTAACTTAAACAGCTATGCTTACATAAATGACTCAATTTACTGTGCCAGGGATCAATTTTATGAGTAAAGGTCAATTATCATGGCTGGAAAGCACTTTGTAATCAAAATAAAAGAGGACAGTATTCAAATTTCTGTGATTTTTCTCAAGAGATTTTTCTAAACTTTTGTGTGTTTGTCTTTACACAACTACAGTTAAATTAGAAACAAAAGTGAAAGGATAATTTTAAATACAGATAGAGGTATTTAAGAAAATCTTTATATAATTCAATTTGACTTTAAGCAATGTATTGAATAGGTGAAAATAATTACTCAAAATATTATCATTATACATGTATTTTTTCATTATAATATGAAAATGATGTAGGTTCAAACAATATAAATGTAATCCTTAGCAAATAGAGCATTCTTAAGATAAATTATAATATTGACTTAACATTTAGTATTTTCTACATTATTAAAATTGCAAGTGATGAGTTTTTTCTTCTAAGTACTTTGGTATTATTACTATACTACCCATGCAATCAAATGCTTTGAAAATACCTAGAAAACTGTTTTCCCTAGAAAGACAGAATTAATTAGTTTTAATTTAGATGTTTAAAAGTATGGAAATATTTTAGAAGTTTTGAAAATCATAACTTTATTTTTCTTGTGGGAAAACTTTACTAAGATCCCCAATTGTGAAGCTGAAATCCATGTGAAGCATTGTTTACATTCCTCAACTCAAAATGGCACACCGTATTTTCAGTTACTTAAGCCAAAATCAAGATTATCCTTGATTTGTCTCTTTCCCTAGAAACCCATATTCAGTATATCAGGAAATCTTTAACTTCCAAAACATTTTTTGAATTTCATTCTCTCCATCTCTACTGCTAAAACTCTGTCACGTTCGATTTGTTCTTATCTTCCCCAACATTTTCCCATTTCCCCACTCTTGGCTCACCTACCATTCATTTCCTACATTGCAGAAAAAGCAATGTTATACTAAATCAGTAAAATATGAGGTGGCAGAGAAGTGGGAAAAGGTTTTCAGTAAATTAAGTTGGATAAGTTGTGGGCTAGTTGGACATACCAATGGGAGGAGGAGTGAATTTGACTCTCACCTCAAAGCATTCCCAAAAATCAATTGCAGGTGGATTATTTATCTAAATATAAAATGATGAAACTTCTAAAAAATTGCAATTGTTTTATCTAGAGTACTAATATCCAGAATATATAAAATGAACTCACTCAAAGTAATAATGGAAAGACAGTCAACCCCCCTTCCCCACTCTAAAAATTGGCAACATAATTTGAGCAGGTATTTCACAAAAAAGAATAGCTAGAGTGACCAATAACATTTTTTAAGGCTGTACAAATGAAACTATGCTGTTTCACATCCAGCATGGCTAAACTTTAAAAGATGGACAATTTTAAGTGTTGGAAACATATGAAGAATGAAAATTTTCATATGCTACTTTTGGGTAGGTAAAAGGATACCACTATTTGGATAGCCATTTTTCCATATCTGCTTTGCTGTATATCTGCATTCTCTATGACCCAGCAGTTTCACCTCAAGGTATACACGCAACATAAAACCGTACATATAAAGACCAACAGGTACATAGATTTTCACAGTAGCATTATAATTAACAGCCAGAAACTTAAAACAATCCAAATATCCTTCAACAACATTAGAATGGATACATACTTTGTGATGTATACATTCAGTGGCATACCATACAGATGCTGCTCAACTTATGATGAGGTTATCTGCTGATAAATCCATTGTAAGTAGGAAATATCATTAGTGAAATGAATTCAATATAATTAACGTACTGAATATCACAACTTAGACTGGCCTAACTTAAACATATTTAGAACACTTACACTAACCTACAGTTGGGCAAATAATTTCCAAAAATTTATATTACCATGCTTAGATCCCTCCAAAGGTTTTGGCTTCTGTGTTTATTTTTTTTATAAGTCCCTATCTCTTTCAATTCCACTGAAATCCAAGCTGTAAAGATTTACTTTTTGTGCCCCTCAAAAAACAGAGATCATTTCTACATCAGGATATTTTCCAGGAATTTTCTTCCCCATATCTTTATAAGTGGTGCAATCTTATCATTCTGGCCTCAACTAAAACTTGACTCTCCTGGATAGACCATCCCTGAAATCTAAAGGTTTTACATGACTTCCATGAAACAATCATCCAAATAAACAAACATATAAACAAACCTTGTTTCTTTTCCTGTGACCCACAAATTTCTAGACAATATGTCTCTCCTTACTTCTTTTACCTTAAACAGGCTCTCCTTACACCCCATGCCTCCGCTTCCTGAATTGGCCTACTTCCTGAGGCTTTAATGCACTATGCTTGTTTTGGCCTGAAATCCTTTGCATTAAGAGGTCTATCTGCCTGGAATATTGTTGTCTATATATTTTTTTCATATCCTGGGGAAAGCTACTCTTGTCCAAGTATTCTTTCCTGATCATTTGTTTTCTTCACAATTATCACTATATAAATACACACACATATAAAATGTTATATATACATATAAGATGTAAATATATGTGTATATATGTAATTATAATACAAGTATGTAAGTAAACATGTTCTTCTGGCCTGTCTTCTATTCCTAGAACATAAGCTCAAGGATGTCTGAGGTTTTCACTTGGCTTTTTACATATAAATGAACATGCAATTAGACTGTGCTTCCAAGAGAATGAACATTGAATAAATACGTATGGAAAGGAAAAAATAAACATAGCAATGGCTATGTGGTTTCCTGAACATGTTCTAAACTCAGAGCAGTGTCATAACAAAAGAAACACCGTGCATAATAAAATTCAAAGATACTCCCAAATTTATTGTGTGCATTTCTCAAACACTGTGAAGTGTACATATGGCTCTTCCGTTTCTCTCAGCTGCTTTCAGATTTTTTCTCCTTAACTCCGAACCCATCCAATTCCTTCCTGTCTTCATTTCTGTTTTATCCAAGTTTTAAATCCCACAAAGCAAAAAAAAAAAAAAAAAACCAACAAAACTAAAAAATAATTAGTCTGGCAGTGTATTTTCTCAAAAATTAGGGGAATGGAAACAAACTCAGCAGGAAAAAACAATTCCTCTTTCATGAATAGGGAGAGCAAAAGCCTGAGATTACTCATATATTAGCAGTGATGAGTCACACATGATATATCTGGAGCAGAAATTCAGCACTGATGTAAAAGAAATCCCCAACTGAACCTCAACACTTTGGAAAAACATCAAGGAGAGTCAGAAATGGTTTGACAAGTCATGCATTGAGCTATTTCTGAGTGCGCCTGTGTTTTAAGTTCAATAAAGTTATTTGCATCTTTCGCTATTATATACACCATGACTATTTTAATGGTTTAAATATATAATGCAAATTTTAATCTTCTAAAGCCAGGAAACACATTTCATACATCTTTGTATAATCCTTTGCACTGAACACAATACCCATTGCTCATTGCTGAGATTATGAATGATGATGAATTACAAGAGGGTCAGGGTTATTTATGAAGTAGAAAAGATCTTATGTGGAAGAAAGATGGTCACTTCTTTTTTGGATTTTGACTGGTTCAGCTCTAAGTGATTAAGCTGCAGCTATTCTTCAATTCTTGTTGATTAATTATATTTAATTGTCAGACACATAGGGCTTTCCTAAGAACAGTCTGGGATAAATGATCCAAGACACATATACTGTTGGCGTATTACACAATGATGATACCAGAATAAGAAAATTATATTTAAAATAACTATATGGAAAATGTTCTTTACTTGAAATTTTGGCACATTTTATTATTTACAATTTATCTGAGACCATTTCACAAGGAAACAGGAACATCCATTAATTAAGACAAATTCACCTTATTTTAATCTGAATAAAAATGTAAGAAGATTCTTCTTTTATGGCTGTCTGAGGTGATGCACTTGGAAATTGAGGTAGTCAACAGGAGAAAAAAAAATTAGGCAAAAATTTCCAGTTAATTCATTTAATAATTAACTTCTCCATTCAGGAATATGGAAGACCTTTTTATTGATCATCTACTATCTGCTGTGCAGGAAGTAGAATTTGATAGAAAACAAGTAAAATCTTTTTCATTATAAAACATGGAGTATAGTAAAGGAGGGTACAATTAAACCCTCTTATCTATTAAACAAATAGATAAATATGTAATGTCAATGAACAGGGAATGCTAAAAACAAAAATAAAGCAGAATGGGGATGAACATGTTCAAGAGAAGTATGACGTTTACTTACTAGGAATCAAGGAACATCTCTCAGGATATACTTGATCCCATGTGCTCTTGCACATTTACATCTCAGAATAATTAGCATGAAAGTCTACTTCTTCCATGAAAGATAAGTGTTTTAGAATTTGGGAATGAAGATAAATGATGATAGAAGAAGCAAAATATTACTATTTCATACACTTTCAATTTTACCAATTCATCTAAACTAACACTACAAACGAAGACTTCTGATGAACTAAAATATGTCCAAAGGTACTCCAAATATGAGCCCTGGGCACTGGGATTCCGGAGCTGCCACATTCAAGAGTAATAGAGAGATGGGTTTCTGCTTTAATTTTGTGCTCATCTTCACACTGGAGGCTTCAGTAGCTCTTTGATTAGCAGAGTTCTACTGACCCAGAAGCCCTGGAGGGCTCACAGGAATCATATCTAAAGGAGCAAAGTGGTGGAGTGTGGGAGAGAATATTCTACTCACTGTTAACAATGGTTGTAGATACAAAAAAAGAAAAAAAAAAAAACAGGGCTGACTGTGTTGCCATATATTTCTAATAGTTTCTCAGATTCTTTCTTTGTGTCTGAATCTAGCACCAAAATTTTTCTTTCATTAAAAAATCACAACAGTGTATGCCATATTCAAAGCATAGGCAGGATGTTGCTTCTCAAGTCTCTCCCTGACCAATCTTCTAGGATACCTAATAGCACTTAAAATAGTGTTGGATGGATAAATGGCTGTTTTAGTCCATGTTCTCCAGAGAAACAGAGCCAATGGAATATCTATCTATCTTTCTATCTATCTATCTATCTATCTATCTATCTATCTATCTATCTATCTATCATCTATCATCTATCATCTATCTATCATCTATCTCTGCAGAATTGACTCACATGATGAAGGAGGCTGGAGTCCCAAATCTGCAGTGTGGACCAGCAGCCTAAAGACCAAGAAAAGCTGTCATTTTAGCTCTCGTCCAAAGGCTAGAAGGCTGGAGACTCAGGAAAGCTGATGATGCAGCTGAAGTCTGCTGGGGAATTCCCTTTTGCCTGGGGAAGCAGTGCCTTTTTGTACCATTTAGGCCTTCAATGGATTGCATAACACCCACAAATATTATGGAGGCAATTTGCTTTACCCACCCTTCAAGTTGACACATAAAATTAATGAATGCGTTACTCAAGAACTATTTCTGAGTTTGCAAATACAGAATTTGTAAATATAAAGATTCTACATATTTGCCATTGTCACACCCTAACACATTGAGATGATACCAAAAAGTTCATACTGTTTAGTTGCACTGCCTTAATGTTTTTTTCTACTAATTGCATTTAAATTCTCAGTTTTTGTGCTTGCATATTGGAAATAATATTTTAAAATAGAATATTTAATAATTTAGGTACAAAATTTGTATTGTTATAAAATCCAGACCTTTCTTTTCTATATGTAGCATCAGTGGCACAGCATTAAAATGGCAGTTATTTAAACAAAAAACTCACAAGATTTCATAACCCTTGATATGGTTTGACTGTGTCCCCACCCAAATCTCATCTTGAATTGTAGTTCCCATAATTCTCACCTGTCGTGGGAGGGACCTGGTGAGAGGTAATTGAATTATGGGAGCGGGTCTTTCCCTTGTTGTTCTCACGATAGTGAATAAGTCTCACAAGATCTGATAGCTTTATAAAGGGGAGTTCGCCTATACAAACTGTCTTGCCTGCAGCCATGTAAGACAGGCCTTGTTCCCTCTTTGCCTTCTGCCATGATTGTGAGGCCTTCCCAGGCACATGAAACTGTGAGTCCATTAAACCTCTTTTTCTTTACAAATTACTCAGTCTTGTGTATGTCTTTATTGGCAGCATAAAAACAGACTAATATACCCTTTCATAAAAATAATATAATTAGCCGATTTTAGTAGCTCTTTAAAAGATCATATTTTTAAAATTGAGAGGTTTTTTAATTTAAAAATAACTACTCACAAGAATATTTAAAAATCATGTAAATTCAAGGTTGAGACATTAAGCATCTTTAATAGTTTTTATACTAGAATATAGTTTTTTTCATAAAAAATACATTTCTTTATAATCTTACTATAAAATATTTCCAAATGAGTTTTTGTTTTGTTTTGTTTTGTTTTGTTTTGTTTTGTTTGTTTGTTTGAGATGGAGTTTCATTCTTGTTGCCCAGGCTGGAGTGCAATGGCGTGATTTCGGCTCACTGCAACCTCCTCCTCCCAGGTTCAAGAGATTCTCCTGCCTCAGCCTCCTGGGTAGCTGGGATTACAGGCACCTGCCACCACGCCCAGCTAATTTTTGTGCTTTTTTTTTTTAAAATAGAGTTGTGGTTTCACCACGTTGGCCAGGCTGGTCTTGAACTCCTGACCTCAGGTGATCTGCCACCTCAGCCTCCCAAAGTTCAGGGATTATAGGCATGAGCCACCATACCTGGCCTCCAAATGAGCTTTTACTTTTCTTCAATCCCTCACAGGTTTTATGTCTGATGATGTTGAAATTACAACCAGGAGACGTTATTCATTGAAACCCTGACAAATAAATGGAGACTATTTTGAAAATTTTTTGTTAATTTATTTACAGGTAATCTGAAGTAAGGATTTAATTTCCTCAAAATAGGCACAGAAATTTGTTTGAGCTATGATAAATGTCATGTTTATCCACAAAATACAGGTCTCCTGTATAATATTCACTAATAATCCTTCTGGAGTGTTAATTTTGGATTAATGTTAAAATATATGTGCCATTCGATTTGGTAATGTGTTATTTGGCATCACAAAATATATAGAAATTGTGATGTAATACATTCGATATCACACACATATACCCCACATTACATAAGTTGAGGTTATCATATCCAGTATAGCACAGAAATGAAAACATTTAGATCAGAACCCCAAGGAAACTGAACTGGTGATGCTCATAAAAGCTTGCAAGAATCTAAAGAAAGTGGCTGTTCATAAAGAAAAAAAAATCAATGCGTGCTATAAATTTGGAAAGATAAGTTTCTGAGGAAAGTAACAGATGCTGTTTCTTTCAAATTATTTTAAAATGGTGTACACATTTTTTAAAGAAAAAAGCATGTTAAAAATTGTAGCACTACTAAAACAAAGAATGTAATAAACCTCAAAGGTCTGCCACTGCTGTCAGTCTATTTCCCAAAGGCAGGGAACTATTTCTTTCATTTTTTCTTACAACATTTTCTTATAATTTGACCAGTCAAGTGTTAAGATTCCCAGAAAAGAATAATCCAGTACATCATATGAGAAATTGATAGCTCTTGCTGTCAAGTGTCTGCTAGAACCAAGGAAAATGATGTCTCCTTCATCACCTATTCTCAGATAAGATCAAAGTCCATTAAAGACATCTCAAGATATGTTCAAGGTACAGGAGGCTAAGGGCAATGTAAGTCAGTAGCCAAACCAGAAATATAATCTTACATCTTTTTACAACCAGAACCATAATCTAACCACTGCCCTCCTATCTCAAACTGAAGTTAATGCTTCATGTTCTTACCTCCCTGCATCTCTTTCTCCCTTCTTCCTTCCTCCTGTCCTTCCTTTCATTTTATTTCCTTGCTCTGACTTCTCTCTTCCCTCTTTCCTTGTTTTTCTCCTTTTCTTGCTCCCCTCTCAAATTTTAGCTTTCTCAAGATTCACAATCAAAGTCATCACCAACTTTCGACTTGATCGTGGTGGATAAGCTTTTTAATGTGTTGCTGCATTCAGTTTGCCAGTATTTTATTGAAGATTATTGCACCGATGTTCACCAGGGATATTGGCCTAAAGTTTTCTTTTTTTTGTTGTGTCTCTTCCCGATTTTGGTCTCAGGATGATGCTGGCTTCATAAAATGAGTTAGGGAGGTCTCCCTCCTTTTCAATTGTTTGGCATAATTTCAGAAGGAATGTTACCAGATCCTCTTTGTACCTCTGGTAAAATTCAGCTGTGAATCCATGAATCCGTCTGGTCCTGGGCTTTTTTTTGGTTGGGAGGCTATTAATTACTGCCTCAATTTCAGAACTTGTTATCGGTCTATTCAGGGATTTGACTTCTTCCTGGTTTAGTCTTCGGAGGGTGTATGTGTCCAGGAATTTTTCCATTTCTTCTAGATTTTCTAGTTGACTTGCATACAGGTGTTTATAGTATTCTCTGATGGTAGTTTGTATTTTTGTGGGCTCAGGGGTGATATCCCCTTTACCATTTTTTATTGTGTCTATTTGATTCTTGTCTCTTTTCTTCTTTATTAGTCTAGCTAGCATTCTACCTATTTTGCTACTTTTTTCAAAAAACCAGCTCCTGGATTCATTGATTGTTTGAAGGATTTTTAGTGTCTCTTTCTCCTTCATTTCTGCTCTGATTTTAGTTATTTCTTGTGTTCTGCTAGCTTTTGGATTTGTTTGCTCTTGCTTCTCTAGTTCTTTTAATTGTGATGTCAGGGTGTTGATTTCAGATCTTTCCAGCTTTCTGATGTGGGCATTTAGTGCTATAAATTTGCCTCTTAACACTGCTTTAGCTGTGTCCCAGACATTCTGGTACATTGTGTCTTTGTTCTCATTGGTTCCAAAGAACTTCTTTATTTCTGCCTTAATTTCATTATTTACTCATGAGTCATTCAGGAGCCAGTTGTTCAATTTCCATGTAGTTGTGCAGTTTTGAGAGAGTTTCTTAATCCTGAGTTCTAATTTGATTGCAGTGTGGTCTGAGAGACTGTTTGTTATGATTTCAGTTCTTTTGCATTTGCTGAGGTGTGCTTTACTTCCGATTAAGAAAGAGATCATGTCCGTTGCAGGGTCATGGATGAAGCTGGAAGTCATCATCTTCAGCAAACTGCCACAGGAACAGAAAACCAAACACTGCATGTTCTCACTCATAAATGGGAGTTGAACAATGAGAACACATGGACACAGAGAGTGGAACAACGCACACGGGCCTGCTGGGGGCTGTGGGGCAAAAGGAGGGAGCACAATAGGACAAATACTTAACGCATGGGGGACTTAAAACCTAATGACGGTTGATATATGCAGCAAACCACCGTGGCATATGTATACCTATGTAACACACCTGCACGTTCTGCACATGTATCCTGAAACTTAAAGTAAATCAAAACAAAGAAATCATCACCAACTTTCTTCTCACCATTATCATGTTAATTTAAAATGCCTTTAATGTAATTTTATCTTTTGAAGGATAATACTTTTTATTAATTATTAATAACTTCACAGTATATAGTTTAATATATATGATGTACAGATGGATTTGTGATTAGTGTCATAAATACCATGATACATTGGGGAAACATCTTAAACTATTATATAATATGGCTTCTGTCATGTGTAAATCTAGGACTGCCTATTAGCAGATTACCTAATCTCTACCTGTGGTTAATTGTGGTAGCCTTAAATGTCACATTGTCTCACCTTGCCATTTCCCAGACTTTTCTCCTTCTTCTCTTACAATCTGAAAGTATATTCAAATAACTTTAATAACAGCAATAAGCCAGGCATGGTAGCTCACGTCTGTAATCCCCACACTTTGGGAGGCTGAGGTGGATGGATCATTTGAGATCAGGAGTTTGAGACAAACATCTTGACCAACATGGCAAGACCCCATCTCTACTAAAAATACAAAAATTAGCTGGGTGTGGTGTCGCACACCTGTAATCCCAGCTAATCGGGAGGCTGAGGCAGAAGAATTGCTTGAACCTGGGAGGCAGATGTTGCAGTGAGTTGAGATCCTGCCACTGCACTCCAGCCTGGGCGACAGAGTGAGACTCCATCTCAAATAATAATAATAATGATAGCAATAATAGTTTGAAGTGCTTTATTTTGTACCACAGCAATGTGATAAGTACTTTGCATATTTAGTCTCTTTTACTTTTCACATATTCACGCAGTGTAAGTATTATATATGACCCTATACTATGCAGGAAAATTATTAAGGTGTATTTATTACATACCTTTCTAATTAGTTGTTTTATTGATTAAATAAGCTGAGAAGCACAGAGTACTTAGAGCTACATTTGAAATACAGCAAACTTTCAATATTGGTTATTCTTAACTTTTTAAGTGAAAACTCCGTATTTGGAGACATGCAATAGTCAGAAAAACTGTACAAGTATTTGAGGATGGAGAGTGGGTGGAGGGTGAAGATCAAAAAGCTATTGAAAACTGATTAGCAAACCCTATAGATGTCTTATTATCAGTTTCTAAAATTCTTAAAAAGTAAGTCACAGCAAAAAGATAAATTTTGTCTAGTAATTTATAATTTCTTGAAATAATTTGTTGTGACATGAAATATTTTGGAAAACGTTATGAAAGAGGATTGATGTTAAAGTTAATCTAATCTAATGTCCCCTTTTTAAAGTTATTTGTCCGATGTGATCTTATTAGGGACAGAACTGAGATTTGTATCCAAAGTGTTTTTTTCCAATTTTCTGCCTTGAGTCTCATTTACCAGCACTTACAAATTACTTCAGTTGGAGACTTTAAAAAATATTTGAATATTTAGTTAATTCATTCTAGTCTCATTTTTCTATTAACATTATCTCTCCAATGTACATATTATTTTACTAGAAAATAATCTTAAATCTGTTGAAATTTCTTTGAATAACATAAGGAATGTTAATAATGAAACCTGTAATGGTACCTTTTGATTCAAAAATTAGATCTATTTACATATTAATTTTTTATATATACACACACCTGGTGTGTTTTCAATACACAGTATTCTTTCTTAAAAAACTTTTATTTTCAGTTCAAGTGTACAGATGCATGTTTGTTATACAGGTAAATTTTGCGTTGTGAGGTTTTTGTGTACAGATGGTTTTGTCACCCAGGTAGTAAGCATAGTATCCAATAGTTTCTTGCTATTCACCCTCCGCCCAACCTCCATCCTTAAATAGGTCCTGGTATCTATTGTTCCCGTCATTGTGTCCATGTGTATTCAACGTTTATTTCCCACTTATAAGTGAGAACAGTGGTACATGGTTTTCTGTTCTTCAGTAGTTCACCTGGGAATAAACTAATGGTTTCCAGCTCTATCTATGTTGCTGCCAAGGACAGGATCTCCTTCTATGTTATGGTTGCATAGTATTCCATGGAATATATAGTATTCATAAAATGGTACCATTTAAACTAATTATTAGGAAAAAATAGAGTAGCACTTATATTAGTATCTAAGTTTTAGTAGTGCTTAATAAATTATGATTTTTAAAATGTGTTTTAAGAAGTAGACAACATTGATTTTTTCTAATTAAACATGTACCGTTCTTACATTATTTTTCATAGAACATTTAAAATGAGTTCTAAATAGCAAATGAATTTCTCTGCTCCCTTTCCTAGTGTCAATTCAATAAAACTTAAAATCTTTTGTAAAATTTATTAAATATACAAAAATGGAGGCAATGTACTTAATTCTATTTTGATTTAAAAACAAGTTAACAGAATTATAATTTTGAATGTATTTGTCAGCTAATAAAGAGTAAGATAGGAATTTTAGGAAGCTCATATTTAAATAATCTCTGATAAATATTATTCAATGACCAACGTTGCTTTCTATTGCATTTGGTATCTCAGGAATATAATTACTGCTACACATAGAATTAATAAAGAAAACAGCCTTCAGAATTGACATTATCTTTTGAAAATTCTGCTTCTCAGCAAAATAAATTTACTGGAAGCTTTGGAGTTGATTCCATTGCCAATTATACAATTGAGATAGAGGAATAGAAATAACTGGTAAAACACATATCCAATTTCTTCTGATAAAATTGGTCCTAAGCTCAGTGGAGATTATATCAAAAATACTGTGTATCATGGGACTTTTAATTTTTTTTAAAATCGAGGTCAAATTCATATTATGACGAGCCATTTTAAAGTTGTGATTCAGCAGTTTTTAGTGTACCATTCAGCAGTAGTGTATTTATAATGTTCTGAAAACACCAGATCTCTCTAATTTTAGAAATTTTTCATCATCCTGTAAAAGCACCCCATACCTATTGAGTAATTATTCCCTATTCTCCATTCCTTTTAGCCCTAGTAACCTATAATTTTTTCTCTGTCTCTAGGAATTTGTGTTGTCATATAAAAGAAATCATACAAATATGTGACTTTTTATAATGCGTTTCTTTCCTTCACACATGGTTTTGGGCCGGGCGCGGGGGCTCATGCCTGTAATCCCAGCACTTTGGGAGGCCGAGGTGGGCGGATCACGAGGTGAGGATATCGAGACCGTCCTGGCTAACACGGTGAAACCCCGTCTCTGCTAAAAATAACAAAAAATTAGCCTGGCATGGTGGCGGGCGCCTTTAGTCCCAGCTACTTGGGAGGCTGAGGCAGGAGAATGGTGTGAATCCGGGAGGCGGAGCTTGCAGTGAGCGGAGATCACGCCACTGCACTCCAGCCTGGGCGACAGAGCAAGACTCTGTCTCAAAAAAAAAAAAAAAAAAAAGGAAAAAAGAAAAAAGAAACATCTGCTTTTAATGTTTATCCAAGTTGTAACAGGTATTGTTACTTTATTAGTACTTTATTCCTTTTTCTGACTGAATATTTTGTTGTCTGAGAAAACTGTGCTTTATTCATTTATTCATTGACAGATATTTGAGTTATTTTCACCTGTTGGCTAATGAATAATGCTGCTATATACATTTGTAAACAAATTTCTGTGTGGACATATGTTTTTATGTCTCTCAGGTATATACCTACAAGTATAATGCGCTGAGTATTCTGTTGCACTTTTTAAGGGATCATCAAACTATTTTGCACAGTGGCTACATGATTTTACATTCCCACCAGAATGTGCCTGTTTCTTGAAATCACCACCAATCATTTTTTTTTTTCTTTTCACGTTCTTCATTAAAGCCATATGAGTTGCGTGAGGTGGTATTTCATTTTAGTTTTAATATGTACTGCCTTAATGATCAATGGTTTCTCTTTTCATGTGCTTGTTGGCCATCTGTATATCTTCTTTGGAGAAGTGCTTATTCAATTCGATTGCCCATTGGGTTGTTTGTCTTTTGTTGTTTAAATGTAAGAGCTCTTTCTATATGCTGGATACTAAACCCTTACCAGATATCTGATTTACAGATATTTTATCCATTCCTGTATGTTTCCTTTTCACAATCTTGCTAATGGCTTTTATTGACCGAAAGCTTTGAGATTTTTAAAGTGCAATTTATTTTTATTTCCTTTTTGGCATGTGTTTTTGGTGTTAAAGCTAAGAATCAACTGCCAAATCCAAGGTTAGGGAAAACACCTTATGTTTTCTTCTAACAGTTTTATAGTTTTAGCATCTATATATGTTTTTGATCAATTTTGAGATTCTTTTTGTATATTGTGTGCTATGGTCTGAATATGTATGTTGCCCTAAAATTCATAGGCTGAAATCCTTATCCTCAGGGTGATGGTATTAGGAGGTGGTGGCTTTGGGAGATTAATAGACCATGGGGGCAGAGCTCTCATAAGTGCTATTCATTCTCTTATTAAAAATGTCTGTGAGAAACTTCTTACCCCTTTAGTTATGTGACATTAGAGTAAAAAGACAGCTGTCTATGAGGAATTGGGCACTCATCAGACACAAAATCTGCTGGTGTCTTGATCTTAGATGCCCCAGTCTCTAGAACCATGAGAAATAAATTTTGTTGTTTATAAATCACACAGTCTACAATATTTCGTTGGAGCACCCAGTATGGACTAAGACATCAAGTTAAGTAGGATCAAGACTGATTCTTTTGCATGTGGAAATCTAGCTGTCTCAGCAACATTTATTGAGGAAACTTTATTCTCTATAAATGGTCTTAGCATTCTTCTTGAGAATCAGTTTGGGTTGATTTCTGGACTCTCAACCTTATTCCATTGGTCCGTATGACATCCCTTAAGCCAGTACTATACTGTTTTGATTACTTCATCGTTGTTACAAATCTGGAAAAAATGAAGTGTGAGTCCTTCTTCTTTATTCTTTTTCAAGGTTGTTTTGGCTATTTGGGACTCATTGAATTTTCACATAAATTTTAAGATCCGCTTTTCAATTTTGGCAAAAAAGGCCATTCGAAAGTCAATAGATATTACATTGAAGTTATAAATTGCCTTGAGGAGTATGAAAATCTCTATTAGTTGGAGTTCTCCAAGAAAACACAATCATGTGAGAGCTGGAGAGCCAGTAAATCTGGTGGGGTAATTTCATCTGAGTCCAAGGACCTGAGCACCAGGGGAGCTGATTTAAATTTCAGCCGAGGGTTGAACTCCTGAGAATGGGGATGGGGTGTGCTAATGTAATTCACAGAGTCCAAAGGCCTGAGCACTGGAAGCTCTGATGTCATAGGCAGGAGAAGATGAATGTTTCAGTTCAAGGAGAGAGAGAAAGAAGTTGCCCTTCCTCCACCTTTCCGTTCTATCTCAACAGATTTGATGAGGGTTCACATACTGATACCCATATTGATAACAGGGCATCTTCGGATGTTTACATTTTCCAGAGATATCCCCACAGACACGCCCAAAATAATGTTTTACCATCTTTTAACCTTGTCAAAGTGACACATAAAATTAACTATCACACATTTTACTAATATTGCCTTCTAATCTATGAACATAAAATATTGTTCCATTTATTTAGAACTGAGAATTTCTTTCAGCAATGATTGTAGTTTTCATTATGTCTTTCACTTCCTTGGTTAAATTTATTAGTAAGCATTTTGCTCTTTTGAATGCTATTATAAATGCTTTGTTAATTTCTCTTTTGGCTTGTATATTGTTGCTATTTAGAAGCATGGCTGATTTTTGTATGTTAATCTTGAACCATGCAAATTTTCTCAATTTGACTATTAGCTCTAGTAGTTTTTGTGTATTCTATTAGTTATGCCATCTATAATTAGAGATAATTTTTTCTCTTTGTTTCCAATCTGGGTGACTTTTATTTATTTCTCTTGTCTAATTTCTCTGCTGGTACTTCAGTTACAATGTTGAATAGCGTAAGTAAAATGTGCCTAATTTTAAAGGAAAAGTTTCAAATTATTATGGTTAACTACAATGTTAACTGTGAATTTTTTATAATTTTTAAAATTTTTTTATCATGTTAAAGAAGTTTCCATCCATTACTAGTTTGCAGACTATTTTATTAAGTGGAGTTGAATTTTGTCAAATTCTTTTTCTACATTGACTGGGATTATCACTTGTTTAATTTTTCTTCTTTCTATTAATAAAGGTGTATTAGTCTGTTTTCATGCTGCTGATAAGGACATACTCAAGACTAGGCAGTTTATAAAAAAAGAGATTTATTGGACTTACAGTTCCACATGGCTAGGGAGGCCTCACAATCATGGCAGAAGGCAAAAGGCACATCTCACATGGCAGCAGACGCAAGAAGATAGCTTGTGCAGGGAAGCTCCCCTTTTTAAAACCATCAGATTTAATGAGATTTATTCACTATCACAAGAAATGTGTGGGAGAAACTGCCCCCATGATTCTCCTACTGAGTCCTTTCCACAACTCATGGGAATTATGGGATTAAAATTCAAGATGAGATTTGGGAGGGGACACAGAGCCAAACCATACCATGTCACCCCTGGACCCTCCCAAATCTCATGTCCTCACATTTCAAAACCAATCACAACTTCCCAACAGTCCCTCAAAGTCTTAACTCATTTCAGCATTAACTCAAAAGTTCATAGTCCAAAGTGTCACCTGAGACAAGGCAAGTCTCTTCTGCCTACGAGTCTGCGAAATCAAAAGCAAGTTAGCTACTTCATGGATACAATGGGGGTACAGGCATTGGGTAAATACAGCCATTCCAAATAAGAGAAATTGGCCTAAACAAAAAGTCTACAGGCCCAATGCAAGTCTGAAATCCAGCAAGGCAGTCAGATCTTAAAGCTCCAAAATGATCTCCTTTGAATCCATGTTTTACCTCCAGGTCACACTGATGCAAGGGGTGGGCTCCCATGGCCTTGGGCAGATCCACACCTGTGGCTTTTCTAGCTGCTCTCATTGGCTGGTGTTGAGTGGCTGTGGCTCTTCCAGGTGCACAGTGCCAGCTGCCAGTGGATCTACCATTCTGGGGTCTGGAGGATGGTGGCCCTCTTCTCATAGCTCCACTAGGCAGTGCCCCAGTAGAGACTCTGTGTAGGGGCTCCGACCCCACATCTCCCTTCTGAACTGCCCTTGCAGAGGTTCTCCATTAGGGCCCTGTTCCTGTAGCAAACTTCTGCCTGGGCATCTAGGCTTTTCGATAAATCCTCTGAAATCTAGACGGATATTCCCAAACTCTAATTCTTGACTTCTGTGCACTCACAGACTCAATACCATGTGGAAGCTGCCAAGGCTTGGGGCTTCCATCCTCTAAAGCAACAGCCCGAGCTGTACCTTGGCCCCTTTTAATCATGGCTGGAGTGGCTGGGATGCAGAGTACCAAGTCTCTAGGCTGTGTACAATAGGGGGACCCTGGGCCTTGCCTATGAAACCGTTTTTTCCTCCTAGGCCTCTGGGCCTGTGATGGGGGGGCTGCCATGAAGCCTTCTGAGGTTCCCTGAAGACATTTTCCCCATTGTCTTGAAGATTAACATTCGAATCCTCATTACTTATGCAAATTTCTACAGCTGGCTTGAATTTCTCCTCCAAAAATGGGATTTTCTTTCCATCACATTGTCAGTCTGCAAATTTTCTGAACTTTTATGCTGTCCTTCCCTTATAAAACTGAATACCTTTAACAACATCCAAGTCACCTCTTGGATGCTTTGCTGCTTAGAAATTTCTTCCACCAGATACCCTAAATCATATCTCTCAAGCTTGAAGTTTCATAGATCTCCAGGTCAGGGGCAAAACGCTGCCAGTCTCTTTGCTAAAACATAACAAGAGTCACCTTTGCTCCAGTTCCCAACAAGTTCCTCATCTCCATCTGAGATGAGCTCAGCCTGGATTTCATTGTCCATATCATTATCAACATTTTGATCAAAGCCATTCAACAAGTCTCTAAGGAGTTCCAAACTTTTCCACATTTTCCTGTCTTCTTCTGAGCCCTCCAAATTGTTCCAACCTCTGCTTGTTACCCCGTTCCAAAGTTGCTTACACATTTTGGGGTATCTTTTCAGCAGTGTCCCACTCCTGGTACCAATTTACTGTATTAGTCCATTTTCATGCTGCTGATAAAGATATACCCAAGACTGGGCAGTTTACAAAAGAAAGAGGTTTATTGGACATACAGTTCCACATGGCTGGGAAGCCTCACAATTATGGCAGAAGGCGAAAGGCACCTCTCATATGGCAGCAGACAAGAGAAGATAGATTGTACAGGGAAACTCCCCTTTTTAAAACCATCAGATCTCGTGAACCTTATTCACTATCATGAGAACAGTATGGGAAAAACTGCTCCCATGATTCAATTACCTCCCACCAGTTCCCTTCCAAAACAAATGGGAATTATGGGCATACAGTAAAGGATTTTATTTTATTGAAATAACATTACATTTTTTGATAAATCCCATTTAGTCATAGTGTGTAATCAATGTAATATTTTGTTTGATTCAGTTTGCTTATATTTTGTTGAAAAATTTTTTGTCTATATTTATAAGGGATTTGGATCTTATGGAGTTTTCTTATAATGTTTTTGTCTATATTTATAAGGGATATTGATCTTCTGTAGTTTTCTTAAAATGTTTTCATCTGGCTCTGGCATCTGGGTAATTCTGGCCTCAGAGAATGTGGTAGAAAGTGTTTCCTCCTCTTTAATTATTGAAAGAGTTTGAGTAGAACTGTTGTTAATACTTTTTAGAACGTTTGGGAAAATTCGCCTACAAAGTTATTTGGTCCTGGATTTTTCGTTTTTGGGAGGTTTGATAACTGATCCAATCTCCTTGCAGATGGGCCTAGTGTACATTTGATCAGATTGGTTTATAGGGTTGTTTAAATCTTTTATTTCCTTATTGATCTTCTGTCCAGATTGCCTGTAAATCATTAACAGTGAGGGTATTGAAGGCCCCAACCATTATTAAAGAGCCTTCTATTTCTTCCCTCAATTCTGTCTGAATGTGTACTGGGCTCCCATTCTAAATGTTTACTTCATATTTCTGTAGTTTGGTATGTAGATGTATACAATTGTCATATCTTATTGATGAATTGAACTTTTTATAAATAAAAATGTCATTTTTAGTTAAAACCATTACAATTTTTTATTTAAAAACTCCTTTTTTTGATATCGATATAGCCCTGACTCTTTTAGTTATCATTTGCATAAATATATTTTTCCATTCATTCACTTTCAGCCTATTTGTGTTTCTCAATCAAAAGTGAATCTCTTGTAAGCTACACATTGTTGAAGTATATTCTTTATTCTTTCTGTTAATCTCTCTTTTAACTCATGAGTTTAATACAATCAGATTTAAAGTAAATAATGATAATGAAGAACTTGCTTCTGTCATTTTAGTATGTGTCTTTTATATTTCTTATACATTTTCTGTTTCCTCAATTTCTCTAATATTATCTTTTTCATTTGATTGATGTTTTCTACTGTAACATTTTGATTCCCTCTTTATTTCCTTTTGGCATAATTTTAGTTATTTTTGTAGGGGTTACCATGGGGATTACTGCTAATATCCTACATTTATAACAATCTAGTTTGAATTATAATAATTTAACTTTAATAACTTATATTAACTTTCCTTCTGTCCAACATCATTCCTTCCTTAGCACTATTATTGTCACAAATCACATCTTTATACATTTTGTGCCCATTAATATAGATTGGCCATTGTCATTTCATCTGTAGGTCTGTTGAAACATATAGCAGAAAAAAAAGTTGTATACAAAAATACAGTGAAGCTAGTTTTATATTTACATGTGCAGTTAGCTTTGCCCCTAATCTTACAATTTCTTCATATTGGTTTGAGTTGCTTCATTTCAGCCTGAAGCATTCTCTGTAGGGCATTTCTAATGGTAAATTTTCTTATCTTTTACTTGGAATATATTAATTTCTCTTTTACTTCTGAAGGACCATTTTACCAGATATATAGTTCTTGTTTGACAGGTTTTTTTTTAAATTATCACTTTAAGTGTATCATCCCACTGCCCTCTGTCTTCCATTGTTTCTGATGATATATCAGCTGTTAATCTAATTGAGGGTCCCTTGCCTATGAAGCATTGCTTCTGTCTCATTGCTTTCAAAATTCTCTTTGTGCTTGAATTTTGACAGTGTGTCTTGGTGTGGATCTCTTTGAGTTTATCCTAGGAATTTTTTGAGCTTCTTGCATGTGCACATTGGCATCCATCATACAATTTGAGAATTTCCCTTCCATTTTTTCTTCAAATATTCTTTTCTACACTTTCTATTTCTAATCTCATTCTGGAAATTCCACAATACATATGTTGGTACCCTTGATAGTGTCCCATAAGTTCCTTAGGCTAAGTTTTTTTTTAATTCTTTTTTCTTTTATTCTTTTTTTTTGAATTCTTATACTGATCATTTCATTTGTCTTACATGTAAATCCTCTGCTTCTGTCTTCTGCCTGCTTAAAACTGTTTTTGAACAAGTCCAGTGAAAATTTATCGGAATAGTGTACTCTTCAATTCCAGAAGTATTACTTTGCTCCTTTTTATAATATCATCTATTAATATTCCCTAGATGCCTATTTATTTTTCTCTTAATTTCTTTGCTTCTCTGTCTGTGGTTTCCTTCATACCTTTGAGCATACTTAAGACAGATAATTTAAGGTTTTTATCCAGTAGATTCAATGTCTGAACTTCTCATGGATGGTTTATTTGTTTTTCTACTAGAAGGAGTCATAATTTCATAATTTCATGATTTTTGTATGCATTATAATTTTTGTATTGAGAACTGAACATTTTGAATATTGTAATGTGGTAACATTGGACATCAGAATTTTCCCCCTCTCCTAGGATCACTGTTGTTAACTGATGAATGCTCAAATTGTCAATTTGTTTAGTGAGTTTTCCAAACCACTTTTGGAAAGGCTATGCTTCTCTTGTGTGTGGTCCACTGAAGCCTCAGTTGTGCTGTGTCCTCAGTCAGCAAATAACCTGATTTCTTTAAATACTTATCAAGTAAGAAAAAGAAAAATTTAAATAAGAGTGTCTGTCTCTTTAAATTCCCTCCTGCCAATGACTCCTTCAACCCATATGAAAAACTAGTGGTCTGCATCTGTATCAGCATCTTCACAATCAATAGCAGCAATCAAAATTCAAAACCTCGACTCTTGGAGGATAAATTCCTTTTCTCACCCTGACACCAGTGTGTCACACTACAGTGTGGCCTGACATCTCCATAGGGCTGGAGATGGGGTATGGTAGCCAGAATAGGAAGCTCAAAATTCATTGATATTTCTGAGTGTTCCTCATCAAGCAATCCCTGGCATCCTGCAAGTATTCAATTATACTCTAAAATTCCAGAATTGTTACTTCACAGTTCTTGCTAGCTCAATAGTTGTCTCAGTAGAGGGAACAACTTCTTGAGCTTCCAAACTGCCATTTTCTGTGATGTTCAGGTGTCATGTGATGTGGATATTGTACTATTCCCATTTAATAACAATTTAGAAAACACTTTTTTAAGGGCAGCACTTTATTTTCATTTTGTTTTAAAATGGAAATTAAAGGTCTTAAGTATTGGAATGAATCAGAGGAAATGCTGTCTCAGTTACATAAAATTGATAGACAATAGGCCTATAAGAAAATGACTTTTTTCTCTACATATTTAGTTGTAGCCAATTTAGTAGGGGTAAACATAATTTTATTTAAGGCAAGATTGTTGGATCACAAGGTGGGAACCTGGGGCAGAATGAAGCAGAATGGATCAGTATCAACTTCTTAATTTACTGTAAAAGAAAATGATATTAATCATAAGACACTTGAGATTTCAAAGTATCTAGGTGGTATTTAAAGTAAGATTTAGCAATCTGGGCAGCCAGGGATTTGTATTCTTTTTATCATTAATAATGTAAAACTTAAAAGAAAATCTCTGAAGAATAGGATAAGAGAACTGGCTAATGCAGAACCCCTCTTACATCATTGTTAGACATGCATTCATCTCTCCTGACAAGAAATCTATAATTAATGTCTTCACTTCTGTAATAGAATTCTCATATGTTTCTGCCAAAAAAGTTACAAAAGCCTAAAAAATTTTCTTTTATAATTTTTATTTGATTTTGGGTACTGTGATTTATGCTATTTGTTATTGAAAGAATTGACTCAAATATTTTGTAAATGTTTGATATTCTGATATATTCTGTAAGAAGAAATAGTTTATTAGGAGACAAACTATGTTAGTTTATGTTGATATTCTCCTTTAGTCTTACCTGTGTATGTGTGTACACACACACACACAAACACACATACAAACACACACACACTCTGGATTATCTTATAATTATCAAGTACATAAAAAAGGAAGGCTCCTGGCAGGGCTGTGCTAGTCAGGCAAGTGAGTTAGATGAGAAACTTACCTCTGGGGCAAAATTTAAGGGGATACCTCGAAAACTCAGCATTCAAGATAAATTACATTTAATGCAATATTTTAAACATTAAAATTAATTTACAATAATTCATAATGAACAAAATATTAAAAATTTAGACCCTGATTAGATCAGCAACAGGAACTTGATTAACTATGTTTGAGCCTCGGGTAAATGGAACATTCAGTGTTATTAAATTAAGATATTATTTACATCAATTACTAAGTATACTTTTCCTTTTTCAAATCTCATGACTGAGGCAAGTGCCTCACATTCTTCCCCTCACATTCTTCTTGCTGTATCTGAATTTCTACTCTCCTGACAAGCTTTGAGTGTCTAGGCCATGAAGCAGCAAAATGAATCTATTATTTGCTCAGCCAGCATTTCACATTCAAAATTTGTCTTTGCTGGCAACTGAAGTTATTGAATGTTGCCATTTATATTCAGGAAAAAATGTATTTTATTATGTCAGTAAGAAGTTTAATATGGAGAACTAAGCCAGGAACATAGCAACAGTCAACTCTCTATCAGAGCTTGACTCTTTCCAAAAGGACAAATGAATTGGTATGCTATGTGAAAAATACTTTCATGTTCTCAAGAAACAGGCAATAAAAAAAGCCGAGGTGCACTTGGCCAGAGGATACAATAAAAAAGAAAAACACCAGAATCTGAAGTATTCTTCTCTCTCCATCTTCTGCATTCTCCTGTCTCTCACTCCCCCCCACCCATCTCCCTCTCTCACACAAACACAAGCACACACACAAACACACACACACTACTGAGAGATCATTTATGCACAATAATCTTTAAAGTCTGTGTTAAAACATATCTGTTAATCACCAAAATAAGCATATGATCTGAGAGACATGATAGAGAAGCTTTCTTGAAAATACTTTTACATCCATCTGCCCATCCATCCAGCCATCCATCTTTCCATCCATCCATTTGCTCTACAAACGTAAATTGGCATTTGTATGAACTGCACTATCTCAGGATGAAAACTCAAGCAGTGTATGAGAGGAAGCTAAAATGTCACATATGAAAGCACCTGGGCTACATATGAATAATGTAACCATATTGAAGAATGTGAGGAAGCATAGAACTAACCAAGTTACTTTGAGGAAGAACTTTCAACTTTTTCTCATTCAATATGATGCTAGCTGTTGGTTTCTCATATATGGCCTTTATGGTATATGTTCTTTATATGCCTAGTTTGTTGAGTTTTTATTATGAAGGGGTGCTTATCAAATACTTTTCCTGCCTCGATTGAAATGATTATATAGTTTTTGTCTTTAATTATCTTTATTTGGTTTATCACATTTAGTTTTGCATATGTTAAATCATCCTTGTATCCCTACTAAAATTGTCACTTAATCTTACTGTAATGTCTTTTGAGGTGCTATTGAATTCAGTTTGCTAGTACTTTGCTGAAGATTTTTGCTTCTATGTTTCTCAAGGATATAGGCCTGTAGTTTTCTCTGAGGTACATGATTAGATTATTTATTAGAAACTTTCCACTCTTTTGATGGAGGCATTTATTGCTATATACTTGTTTCTTACTACTGCTTCTCTTGTATCCCACAGGTTTTAATATGTTTTGTTTCCATTTCATTTGTTTTAAGAATTTTTTAAATTTAATTTCTTAATTACTTTTTTTTTGAGACCGGGTCTCACTTTGTCACCTGGGCTGGTGTGCAGTGGCACGATCTTGGCTCACTCCAGCCTTGACTTCCTGGGCTTAAGCCTTCCTTCCACATCAGTCTCCTGAGTAGCTGGGACTACAGATGGGTGCCACCACACTTGGCTAATTTGTGTATTTTTGGTAGAGATGGGGTTTCACCATGTTGCCCAGGCTGGTCTCGAACACCTGGACTGAAGCAACCTGCCCGTCTCAGCCTCCCAAAGTGTTGGGATTACACATGTGAACCACCATGCCTGGCCAAATTTCTTAATTTCGTAATCTTATATTTCATCATTTACCCATCTTAATGTCTTCATTGACCCAGTAGTCATTCAGGAACATACTGTTTATTTTTCATGTATTTGAATATTTTCAATCTTAATTTCTTCGTTGACCCATTGGTCATTCTTCATTTCTTCATTGACCCATTGGTCATTCTTCATTTCTTCATTGACTCATTGGTCATTCTTCATTTCTTCATTGTCTCATTGATCATTCTGCATTTCTTCATTGACCCATTGGTCATTCTTCATTTCGCCATTGACCCATTCTTCGTTTCTTCATTGACTCATTGGTCATCCAAGAGCACGTTGTTTATTTTTCATGGATTTGAGTATTTCCCAAAATTCCTTTTGGTATTGATTATCAATGTTATTCAATTGTCTGAGAAGACACTTGATGTAATTTGGATTTTTTAAAAAAAACTATTGAGACTTTTTCTGTGAGCTAATATAGTATTTATCCTGCAGAATATTTCATGTGCTGATGAAAAGAATGTGTATTCTGCAGTTGCGGGGTAAAATGTTCTGTAAAGTTCTATTAGGTCCATTGGGCTTACAGTCTAGTTCAAATCCAATGTTTTCTTCTCGATTTTCTGTCTTGATGATCTGTCTAATGCTAAGAATGGAGTATGGAAATTCCCCACTATTACTATTATTTTATTATGGTCTATCTCTCTCTTTAGATCTTGGAATATTTGAATTATAAATCTGGGTTCTCCAGCGTTGGTACATATATATTTAGAATTGTTATCTCCTCTTACTGGGTTGATTTTTTGTCATTATTATAATGACTTTCTTTGCCTTTTTTTTTTTTTTAACTGATTTTAGTTTAAAGTCTGTTTCATCTGATGTAAATATATTATGGCAAAAACCACAATTTCCTCTGCACCTACCTAATAGCTACATTTGCTCACTTTGATTTCCATTTTCATAGACTATATTTTCTCCTCCCTTTACTTTCAGTCTAATCGTGCCTTTAAAGGTGAAGTCAGTTTCTTATAGGCAGCATATAGTTGAATCATATTTTGAAATTTATTCAGGCAATCTATATCTCTTAAGTGGAGAATTAATTTATATTCAAGGTTACTATTGATATGTGAGGTTTTATTTATGTCATATTATTATTTTCTGGTTTTGGGGGCATATTTTTTATTTCTTTTTTTTCTCTTATTGTTTGTAATTGTGGCTTTTTGGTTATTTATAGTGGCATCATTTTATTCCTTTCTCTTTCTTTTTTGTGTGTTTGTCTAACCATTGAGTTTGATTCTTTTGTGTATTTTCGTGATTCTGATTGTTTTCTTTTTGCTTCCATGTTTAGGACATCCTAGAATATTTCTTGTAGGATTGGTCCAGTGGTGACAAATTCCCTCACCTTTTGCTTGTCTGGGAAATACTTTATTTCTCCATCACATAAAGTACAATATTTCCGAATGAAGTATCCTTGGCTGACAGTTATTTTTCCTTTGAGCACTTTGAATAAATCATGCCATCTTCTCCTGGACTGTAAGTTTCTGGCTGAGAAATTCACCATGAGTCCATTGGTGGTTCCTTTATAGGTGACTAGACACTTTTCTCTTGCTGTTCTTACAATTCTCTCTTTGTCATTAACTCTAGACATTGTTACTATAATGTTCCATGGGAAGACCTTTTTACTATAATGTGCCATGGGAAGACCTGACTGGCTTATTTCAAAAGACCTACCTTCAGGTTCTGAGATTCTTTCTTTTGCTTGATTTGGACTGTTGTTCATGTTTTTTAATGTATTTTGCAGTTTATTTAATAAATTATTCAGTTCCAGATTTTGTGTTGGTTCTTTTTTTAAATAATATCTATATCTCTGGTAAATTTCTCATTCATATCCTGAATTTTTTTCTGATTTATTTGTATTGTTTTTAAAAATTCTTTTGTATCTCACTGATCTTGTTTAGAATCAATAATTTATATTCTTTTTCTGGGTTTTTACTAATTTTTAATATTAGGATCTTTTTCTGGAGAATTATTGTGCTCCTGTTTGTAATAATTTTTTTCATATTTATTGTATCCTTAGATTGATATCTGCACATCTGATGTATCACTATCAAAATTTTTGAATTTGCTTTTGTAGGGAAGGGATTTTTCCTGAGGATGAATGTATGGTGTTGGTTGAGTAGAACACTTTGGTCTTGATTCTAGGTGAATTCCACAGTGTAGTGTTTGATCATTTTTCTGTGTGTAAATAGCATCATTGGTATCTGAGATTTTCTCAGTGGCTTAAGGTGCAGTTATTAGTAAAGGCTCTGGTACAGATTTATTGGGGACTGGGACACCAGGTAGGTAAACTCCAGTGTTGACAGCTGTAGGCTGTGTGCCTGTCCTTAGGGCACAAGTGTCATACATTGTCACCAGTGTTAGTAGTTTCAGGAAAGCTGATTCTTGGAGCTCTAGGTGGCTCAGATAGTGGTAGCTATGGGAATAGTAGGTGGGCAGGTCCTTTGTCCCCTGAGCAGTCAATGTAGCATAGACAATCACAGTGGTGGTGGCAGGATGACTTTCGGAGTCCTGAGTGGTGCATGCTTGTGTTGGCAGTGGCTGTAATGGGCTAGGCAGGTCAGTATCCAGGCATGCAGGTGGTGCATACAGGCAGCTGCCAGCTATGGAAGTAACAGCAAAACCTCAGGTCCCCAGGAGAAGTGTTCAGGTACCAGTGGTGCTGATCTGGGCTGGGCAATCCCTGGGTCCCTGGACTATGTGCCTTGACACGTTGGGGAAGGGTGAAGCCAGGCTGGGCTGGCTTGTCCTCATCCACGCCAATGGTATGTACAGGTACTAGCCATCTTAGGCAGTGGCAAGGTGATCCTCAGGCCACCAGCAGAATGCTTAGGCTGGGGATGGCAGTGGTCTTGCTGCTATTCTAACACTGGGTAGGGGGTGATGCCACCTTCAGGGACAGCAGCCTAAACTGGTGGGTAGGGAACACACACACTAGTCATACCTCAGACCCAGTGGTGCTTGTGCCTCAGTCCTGGGTGCAGTAGCCTGATTTTACTCATGCCTAAGCCCTAGAGTCAGCAGCCAGCTCTTCTCTTGTGCCTCAGCCCCAGTGGGGCAGGGCTCCAGGAGATAGTGTACTATTTGTTGGGGGCAGAGCTCTAGAATGGCACCTTACTCATTCCTCAATCCTAAAGGTGGTGCAAAGGCCTGTGGTGTGCTTCCACCCCTGGTGTGGTAGCCTGTGGTGGTTTATATCTAAACCTTGGCAGCAGTAGCTCATGCTTCTTTTAAACCTCAGCCCCAGTACCACTGGAATCTTTAATAATGCACAATCTTTTGGTTGTAGAGTTTAAAAATGGTCTTTTTCTATAGTTGCTAAGGTCTCAGAGAATGTGACGGTCTCAGCCTGCACTTTCTCCCTGGGGCAGTGCTATCAGAGAATCTTCCAGTAGCTTCCTATGTTAGTTGCAAGGCCCATGAGGGCCAAGGGACTTTTCAGTTGCTAAGATTCCGGGAGTGAGAATGAAGCTCACTGAGGATCTCTCACCCTTTCCCTGTATTGGGGTTTCTCTTGGCTCCCAGACAATCTTGATCAAGTGGTGATTTTTGAATCAGGTGTTGTCATTTTCCCATGGGTCCCAAAGTTTTATTTGTACTTTTAAAAGTTAGAGTCATTTCTGGTCAGCAAAATGTACTATGTATATTTCCCATTTGGGAAATTTTTCAGAACAAAGAAGAAACACGTAAGCTCTCCTGGAGACTCTAACTTGACTTTGATATTTTATTCACTCTTGACAAATTTTTCAGTTGGAAGAAATATTAATAATTTAACAATATTTATTAGACTGCCTTCTATTAATCCATCAAGAATTATCAATTCACCCACCTATGATTAACTGTTACCTTGATGAACTACTTAGGTTATTGAAGATGTGGCTAATAAACTTGAAAACAAATTCAAATTTCTGTAACTAATTGTTGATGAACTAACTAGTGGTTCACTTAGCATGGTAAAATTCCTTGTTGGTTACAAAGCTATTAACACAGAATAGAATGAATTCTATAACTATAAAAATATTACTATTGTGAAATGTTGAGTGAATCCTTAATTCATCAATCCTTTATCTGGAAGTCTTACAACAATGTCTCTGGAATGTCAGAATGGTGAATAGGTGTTTTATAATTAGTAGCAATAACAAAAATCTTTAACTTATGGAATGCTTATTATGTGTCAGGACAGAGTTCAAACACTTAATATATACTGTCTTTAATCTCTACAATAAGAAATGAACCGATATTATTTGCATTCAACTTCAGAAAATAAGACAGATTAAGCAGTTGATACTAATCACATGATGAGTATGCAACAGAATCCAATTTCATCTCTAGCATGTCTAATCCCAAATCCTATGCCTGTGGCATTTATGTTGAAGTGCTCAAATAGTGGAGGGAAATTTCATATTTATGCAATCAAATGCTTTATATCAATTACTTTAATAATTTATAGAAATAAAGTGTATTATTGCATAGTATTTTTGTCTTTTATTTAATGATTAATGGAATATCTTCTATATTTAGATTATTGTGCCATAATAAAGAAATAAAATTACAGTTGACCATTGAACAATACAGAAGCTAAGGGCACTGACCTCTTGCACACTGAAAAATCTGTATATAAGTTTAGATTCCTCAAAAACTCGAATAGTCTACTGTTGACCAGAAGCCTTACTGATAATATAAAATGCGTTAAAACATTTTTTGTGCTGTATGTATTATATACTGTATTCTTACAATAAAGTAAGCTAAAGAAAAAATTATTAAAATAATAAGGAAGAGAAAATATGTTGTTATTAATTATGTGTTAGTGGATCATCATAAATGTTTTCATCCTCATTTCCTTGAGTAGGCTAAAGAGGAGGAAGAACAGGAGGAGCCAGTCTTGCTGTCTCAGGGGAAGCAGAGGTATAAAGTGGAGGGGGAGGCAGGAAAGGCAGCCACACTTGATGTAACTTTATGGAAATACATCATAATTTCTGTTTGAAATTTTGGCTTTTTCATTTCTCTAAAAGTGTTTCCGTATGATACCAATTCTTCCTCCACCATTTGCTTTAGATTCAGTGCCTGTATCATAGAAGAGTCCATGTCATAAACTAAGTCAAGGACAGTCTTGGCTAATCAGAACCCTTCTGGCAGGTTGTCTAATATCAATTTTTTTTCTAGCTCTGCTTCTTGTATGTCTTCTTCTTCATTGTTTGGCACTGGTTAGGAAACACTCATTTCCCTCAAGTCATCTTTTACTAATTCCTCTAGTGTGGTATGTAATTGATTTTGAATTTCTCTAGGATTAATATCTCTAAAGATTAATATCTACCATTAACCTTTTTGTCATATCCACAGTCTCTTTCATAATTTATTTGATTGGCTCTACTGTAAATCCTGTGAATACATGCATAACATCTGGACCCAGTTTTCTCTAGCAGGAATTTATTGTTTCAGGCTTGATGATTTTCACATCTTTTTGTAACACTTATTGCATCTTCAATGGTGTAATTCTTCCAGACTTTTATGATGATCTATGGGTTCTCTTCCTTATGGCTGGCAATCCTTTCCATAGAGTACTGTATATAATGATCCGTAAAAACCTTTATGAGCTCCTCTTCTATAAGCTGAGTTTGAGATGTTGTGTTTGGGGGCAAGTAGACCACTTTGACACCTTTGGTGTTGAAGTCATGGAGTTCTGGGTTGCCAGGGGCGTTGTTCAATACCAAAAGAGCTTTAAAAGGCAAGTCCCTTACTGGCAAGATACTTCCTGACTTTAAGGACAAAGCATTGATGTAACCAATCCAGAAAAAACCTTTCTCATTGTCCAGGCCTTCTTGTACCACCAAAAGACTATTAGCTCAAGGGTAAGCAGCTTTATTGATAAGAGAAATCCTGATCATAAACTGGACTGTATTTGCACAAAACAGTAAAGTTAGATTATGGCTTCCTGCCTTAAATCCCCATTCTTGTTTTTCTTCCTTACTAATAAATGTCCTTTGTGGTATTTTTTCAAAGAATAGGGTATTTTCATCTGCATTAAAAAAAAAAACATGTTCAGGTAGATATCCTTTCTCTTCGGTGATTTTCTTAACAGCATCTGAATTATCATCTGCTGCCTCTTGGTTACCAGAAACAGCTTCTCCTGTTATCTTGATATTTTTAAAGCCAAGCCTCTTTCTAAAATTATTAAACCATCCTTTGCTGGCATTGGATTATCCAGCTTCAGAGCCTTCACTTCATTTTTTGCTTTAAGTTATCATATAATAGTTCTGTTTTACTTGAAACATATTAAAGTCTATAGGTATTTGTTTCTTATAGCAATCTTTCACTCACATAAAAACTGCATTTCAATACAAGATAAAAAGGTATATCACATAAAGTACAAGGTTTTTACACCCGCTGATATAGCTGCAATGATGGCTTCACAATTTTTTTTTTTACTTTTTTACAATAATTCTTATGCTGGATTCATTTATCTTGCAATGGCAGGCAATTGCAATTGCAGATTTCAGTCTATGGTATGTATCAAGCAATTCAACTTTTTCTTGTGAAGTTAAGACCTTTCTCTGCTTCTTCCAACAACTTCCAACATCAGTAGTGGCACTTCATATGGGTCTCATTGTATTATTCAGGGTTTATGTTATTGCACTAAATATGATTTAAAAATATGTGAGAACTGTGAGAGGTCACTTTTTACTGCAACATGCAATTTACTGGAAAGACGAACTGCTCATATGAAGATGATTAGCGAATACTTGCAATACTTGGGCTCACAGCAATAGCAACAGGAGGTGACTATGAAATTATTACAGTAGTATAATATGTACTATAGTTATTTTAAAGCAGTTATTATTTAATACTCTATCTTTATATTTGTTTACATTTCTCTCTACTAGTAAATGGCACCATGTACAGTCTGCATTTATGTGTCTAAGTTTTGATCAATGTTAACTTTTTGTAATGAATTTGTGTGGTAATAAATAATAAAATAGGCTACTATGCATACATATTTCATGTCTTCATGACATACCCTTTTCTTAATTTTTAAAAATATTTCTAGGCTAAGTGGTTTGCCTGCAAATATTTTCAAATTATTGCAAATCTCCAAAAAGTTTCTAATATGTTTATTAAAAAGCTGCATTGAAGTGTTCTATGCATTTTAAACCGATGTTACTCAAGAGTTAACTGTTTATTAATTTTACGGGAACATAGATTGAGGTTTAGAGAGGTTAAATGAATTGCCTGAGATCTTATAGCCAGTAAGTTCTGGAAATATGACTCACTCATGCCTGTATTACAAAATGTGCTGATACTTGCTGCTAAAAGTACTTTCTGAGTTGTCTGGAAAAATAAAGGCAATGAGTGGATGTGGTAAATGGATTTCTCTTCTATCCATGTGAGCAAGTTCACTTGAAAAGCTATTAACAAATACTTCCTTAGACAAGAAATCTATTTATTGAAATTGACAGAGTAGGGATTAATGACAACAATACTCACACACAATCCTTTCTGACCAGCACTTTTTACCTATTGTCCCATCCACCTTGGGCCTCAGGCAGGAGGCCCAAGTCCAAAGTTGTTTGAACTTTCTTTTTAAAATAAATGAGTTCAGCTTTTTATTCATTTATTTTTTATATTTTTTTAGTAACCTAGCTTAGTAGTTTCTTTTGGAGGAATGGCTGGGCCTTTGACTAATTTCTATCTATTCATCTATCTTGATTCAGAGAAACTTAAGAATCAAGTTGCCTCTGAAAGCATGTTCATTTGAACAACACTGAGATCAGATATAATTTTGTAATTTTTTTGTTCTTTCTTCAGAAATAAATCTTGCTTTACAGTAGTTTATTATACCCCAAATTGGCACATCAGAAGTGAATAAGCTGTTCTCATACTAATGCAGCAAAAATATAGCAAAACTAGAAAAAACTAAGATATTTTTGTAGTTAGCAATTGTAGCCTGGAGTAATGCTACGTTTAGTTATGGTATATAAAAATGCTTAAACCTTAATAGGTTTCCTTATTTTCTAAGACCACAGAAACCTGGATGTTATGTTAGCAAAAATTCATCTTGTCCCCCCCTGTAATAATTTAGGTGAAATAATAAATTTACTCTAATTGGTAACTTTCCAAATGGAAAACATATTTCTATTATTGGGGACGCAAAAGAAGGATTTTCTTCTTGTCTCTAGATATTATGCATATTTCAATTTCTCTAAGTTGAACATTACATAAACTATACATGACCTTAACTTTTTTAAAACTTTATTTTCAACAAAAATAATACTCCCCCAAAGTGACTACAAATGACTCAAATTTATTTGACTGACCAAAGTAGAATCAGGGAGATATCTGAGTCCTATGATAGTTCAAATAAACATAAAGGCTTATAGCTCTTTTTTTCAAACTACTTAATGTTATTAAAATGGACGGAATAGGGATTAATGGCAAGAATGCTAGCACAGAATCCTTCTAAACCAGCAGTTTTTATCAAGTGTTCCACACACCCTGGGCTTTGAAATGTGTAATTTTTCAATCGATTAGGTACATTTTATACCTACATTAATCTGTTAAGTTTATTATTTGCCTTATAGGAGAATAAGATTCATTGTTTATTAATTGTAATTATCATGTAGGAGATCTTATTTATTTAATTTTAGCTACAAACCCACAGGTCTTCTGTTTTGTATGGTTGTGCTGTTTGTGTGCCACACGAAGGAGCTCAGATAAAGGAGTCTCCAGAAGCTCAGATAAACGAGTCAACTGCTAGAATTTTCAGAGCCCTATTGTGAGGACTGAATATTTATATAAGATGTCCAGTGTTGCTGTTTGTAATTCACACAGAGGAGCCTATGAAACCAGTGTTTGAAAGATGATAACTTATCCTTTTGTGTTTTCTTAATTTTGATTCATTTTTTCAAAATGTGTTCCTCTTCTAGTTTTCACCATTGTAGTGAGGTTACATTACATTTAGTTATTCAGACCACAACCTGGAATCACATTAAACTTCAAAATCTGTTCATGCCCCTCATCCAATCTATCAATAAATATTATTGTTTCTGCATTTAAAAAGTCTTGACTTTGACCTTGTTTATCTACCCCAATGCTACTTCTCTAGTTCTTGTCACTATCCTTTCTTGCCTGGAGTATTTCAGTAACTGAGTAGAGCCCTCCCTTTCAAACTACTCTTTCTCTATAAAAAAAAAATTGACACATTTTACATATTCATAGGGGACATATGATAATTAGTTACATGCATATAATCTGTAATGATCAAGGGTATTTGAGGTGTTCATCACTTTGAGTATTTATCATTTCTATGTGTTGGGAACAATTCAAGTTCTCTCTTCTGGCTACTTTGAAATATACATTTGTGTTAACTGTAATCGCTCCACTCTTCAGTAGAAGGTAGAAAGTACTCCCTTTTTTTGTCTCTTGGTCTCACTTAAATCGTCTACCACAAATGAGCCAGCGTAGCATACTGAACGTAGAGGTTTCGTCAAGCCAACACTAATACCAATAGTTTCACAAAACATGTAGACTGAACTTCAAAGTCCTGCCTTTACCCTGGAAGACTGTGTAATAAGAGAGATAAACAGAAGCAAAATTTGTAGAAAAAGAGAGCTATTGAAAGACATCTGTTTTAAATATAAATGAATTGAAGACCTATTACTTACGGTTGCTGTGGGGCTGGTGGGGAGAGTGGGTAGGATGATGTTAAAGGAAAAATATTCATACACTTGTTAAAATGGTAAAGAAGGCTTTATTCAAAATGATTACAATAGGGGTCAACTCTACTGCAATAAGCAGGAGATTGGGTTCAACTCTGAAAAAAGTAAGGACAAATAGGGACATATGTAGCTAAAGACTGAGAGGATGATCAGTGGATAAAAAATTACAGAGAAGAGACTTTAAGAGTAGGGTAATTTTTGCTAAACTTGTCTAACAAGATTCTTGCTGAAGCCAGGCCAAAGACCTAGACATCAAAGTTAGGGGATGAAGAACTTGATAAGATATCAAGAGTGGTGTCAGGGTATGAATAATTGAGATTCTTTGTGAAGACTGAGCTGGGCAGGCCAAAGACAGGATGAGGGTCAAGGTTGAGGGCTAGTGAAACAGAGGGCTCAGAGAGCTAATATTTGATCAAGGAGAGAGTCTATGTCCTTATACAGGTTAATTAGACAATCTGATAACAGTCCTATTTGTGACTAGTTACTCTGAGTACAGCTCAGGATAATACAAGCTGAGCATTGACACGCCATGTGAAAGGTATGTAGGTAGATGTGTGTCAGGCAAAGCTCAGAGCCTCATATATCCCTATGGGGTAAGAAGGAGTAAATGAAAAGTTGCTGTGAGCTGGTAGATCCAGAAGGTATCATTTGAGACAAGGATTCAGAGTGTGTGGCTGACTTTGAAGCTGATGGCCACTCGTCAATCCATGGACACAAACCACAGTTGTCATACTGCCTAATAAATCAGAGCAGATAAAACAAAAATGCACTATGGGTAGAGGTCAGTGGATAAGACTCAGTCGTGGTACAACTGTACAACTCTTTAATGCCAGAATAAGACATATGTACCACTCCTGGCCACAGACTTAGAAAACCCCAAGGAAGCCAGGAGAAATGAAAAATGAATAAACTTGAGTTGAATCAATTTGATATCTGAATTGATCACTCTTAAAATTGGGATTGTTTTCATGTCCTTGGCAAGATAAAGTTTTAGAGATTTTTCTCTACAGGAAGAAATGAAGGCTTATATGTTCGGTTCATTTGAATAAAGTTCTAGAAAAAATAGTTTGATTTGCAACACCTGAGTACTGTACTGTAATTGTAAAATAACATAAATGCATTTGTGAATGCAATAAAAAATGTTGTTTGAAATAAGAATTCAAGATTTTATTTTAGCAATATTAAAGCCAAGCATTTTAAAATGTGCAATATAAAATGTGGGAAGTTTTACCCAGATTTTTCCTTAAAGCAATGTAAACTTACCCATGACTAAAATTTGCCCGAAAGTAATATTTAGGGCTCAAATTTGTTTTTATTTAAAGCAGATGTCTTTCAGTAACTGTCTTTTCCCTCAGCATTTAGCACCATATATGAAAGAAGTCTCTGGCTAGTTTTTAAAACTACTGGCAAATTTTATCAATATAAGTAAGCTAATCTGTAGCAAGAATCCATTATTTATTATTTTCAGTGTTTTCTTAGTGCTTATCAAAGATCATTATGTCAGTGGCACTTTGTGAAAACATAAAATGTATGCATAAAGAATTTATTTTCTTTTAAAATGTATTGTTTCTCCTGGCAATATCACCGCTTACTTCCTGAACAGGAATGAAGCTATACCAATCCAAATATAGTATAAATGCTCTTATAAAATTAATAATATCTGAGAATCTGTTTTTGTTAATGGTTTGCCTGTAAATATGAATGTTGCTAGGACTTAACTTTGGTTACTAAGGAAACCTCTTTTATTTAAGTAATTTGTGAGCACTGTAGTTAACAGCTAGATTTCTCTTGGGAGTGGTGAAAAGCCTGTGTCCTTTGGGAGAATAAAATATCTTCTTTATGCTTGAAAACTTAATTTATTCAGGCTGTGTCTTCAGGGACACTACACAATTATAATCTTAACCATCATTCTACCTTGGGAGAACAAGCCTGTAAAACTAAGAGCAGCTTTGATGGATGGTTGCTTAGGATGAAATGCTATGTCTTTCCTCCTTACTTTTCCTTCTTAGAGCCCTCTCTTTCAAGTGAGTAAGGAAAATACTGAGACAACAATCGTAGTTTCTATGTAGAAGGAAGCTTTCAAAATCACTTTTGAACTTAAAAAGAAAAAGCAAGAAAAACTACCCAATAATATGAGAAACTAGTATATCTCAATCCTGTTATGACTTAATAATTTTAAATTTTAAAGACAAGAGTCAATGATCTTCTTGGGGATTTACAGGAGCCTAATGAATAACAGAGCTCTATTTTCCTGTTCCAGTTTTAAATCATGAAGACAGAACAAAGGCAGACAAAACTCAAAATACCACCTTTCTTTTGATAACTTTACTTGTAGTGTGAAGCTATGAATGGAATTCTGCTGTTACTCTGAGTCTGAGAATCTGTATTTAAAGGACCACGCTTTACCCAAAGCTCCTTTTAACCAGAAAAAAACATTTTCCTTGTCCGTGACAGAATGTATTGGTTAAAGTGCTCCAGACTCACTTGCAGGTGTGATTGAAATTAGTTAGCAACTATTCTTTTTAGATGTCGAACGGATGTGGAAAAGTCCTTTTAGTCCCAATTTATTCACTTCTGTTAAAATGCCAGCATTTGATGCACTGGTATGCCATATTAATTCCATGAAAGTTCTTATGACTATTCTTTATTGGACAACATGATATAATTGAGCAACATTTTATGTTTGTGTCTGGACAGAATCACCACACTTCTTCATGTGATTTTCCTAAGATTTCTGGTCAAATTTTCTTTGGCTAGGGTATTAAATGTGACTCACGTCTGAACAATGAAGGTACCTCTTCACTGGGATCCTTGATGAATCTGCAGATTGACCTGTGATCTAAGCCAGGAATTGGAGACAAAGACAAAGGAGGAGGAGAAAGAAAAAGGGATGGGGAGGCAGCAGTGAGGAGGGGCATAAGCCTGTAAAGAATATTGATTTGAAATTGTCATAATTGTTGCCAGGTAAGAAGCATTTGTCAGAAATAATAAAGAATGAGGCCAACATATGGAGATAAACAGGGAAAGGAGGAAGTGCTAGTAAACAAGTATGATGAGAGAGGAAGAGATTGCATAACCAGTTGCTTATTGTTTGAATTTCTGGATCCAGCAATACCAGAAGTCACTTCTACTTCCTGATTACATAAAACCAGTCAACCTCCTACTTACCAACTATTTGGGCACGGGATTACTTTTGTTTAAATTGACACTTTGATCATTTGCAAGTGAATTATGAAAGATTTCTTACTGTTTAGTGGAAGGAAAGAGCAATAAATTAATAATAAAAACATCTGGGTACTAGTCATGGCTCTGATATTTATTATTTATATGATTATTAGCAAGCCACGTATTCATTCTGAATATGAGTTTCCTTATCCCATGTGAGAAAGACACCTTACCTTTACACTTCACAGCATTTGTTTAGAGTCAAATAAAATAAAATTGGTTAAAATGTGAGGACTAGCTCTGTCAGACTCAAAGCCTGTGTTTTTTTTCCCTACTTTTCTGCAGTGTTCATGTGCCTATCTGAGTACAAGGCCAGTACTAATGAGGCTATCTAGTGTCATATCCATAATCCTTGTATATAAAAACCTTTTTGGCTTGGAAACTGTCTTTCTGCCCTCCAATATTCAAAAGTACTATTTCATGTCAACAATATTTGCCCAAAGAAAATTAGTAACCTGAATCATTAACACCATAAGCTATTTGCCTGCTTCCACTGGAGAAAGTTTAAAAAAAAAAGGATGAAAGAAAGAAAAGAAAGAAAGAGAGAAAAGCAACTTGGATTCTCTGTAATTACCTGTTTGCTTTGACAATGAATTTATGTATTAAAGCCGTTTATAATCATGATGCCTCAAGCTTATTTAGTTGTCGAGTGTGCTATCTCTCAGAGCAGAGAAGGTCAGAGAGCTCCCAGGGCATAAACAAAATAATGGAACTAATGAATTACATGACAGTTAAACTGCACATATTTCACATTAAATGGATAGCTTCTTTGGTTAGTTCAGTCACACAGCTGGTCAATTCACTGCATTAATCAGCTATATTTGATGTCTAAGCTGAGCAGTATGATAAGGCAAATGGCCAAACTGATTGTTTAATGCAAACACTGTTAAAAGGACTATTCTTTCTCAAATTCTGGAGACTTACAAATACATTTTAACTTACTAGAACTTTTCTGATAATTGAAAAATTTGTGTATAACCCAGCCCATGGAAAATACTGCACATAACCCATTGGTGATGCACTTTATGATGCACTGGACCATGCACTTGAGAGAACCAATTTATAATATTGAATGGATTTTGCTAATTCAACTAATTTGTAAATTTTATTTTTAAAATTTTATTTTATTTTATTTTATTTTTGGAAACAGAGTCTCACTCTATCTCCCAGGCTGGAGTACAGTGGCATGATCTCAGCTCACTGCAACTTCTGCCTCCTGGGTTCAAGGGATTCTCTTGCTTCAGCCTCTGGAGTAGCTGGGATTACAGGCACATGCCACCACACTCAGCTAATTTTTGTATTTTTAGTAGAGACGAGGTTTTGCCATGTTGGCCAGGCTGGTTTCAAACCCCTGACCTCAGGTGACCCGCCCACACCTTGGCCTCCCAAAGTGCGGGGATTACAGGCATGAGCCATTGTGCCTGGCATAATTTGTAAATTTTATACTAAAATCTGCACTCCAAAGCTTTTTTCAGAGGCCTTTATCTTTTTTACGTAGGCAATGAACTGGAGAAAAGTACTTTAGATAGACTCATGATAAATTCCAAAATGTTGCTGCCACTGCTATCTCCTCCTAATACCTAAAACAATTTCAGCCCTAAAGATATTAAGAAAGTGAAGCCACAGGTCTTAATAAAAGTAAATGTCCTGGGTAAATTGCTATCATATCATATATTTTAAACAGCCAGAATTTCCTCACTGTTGTGCTTCTCTAATAATAACCTACGAAATAATGACTTCAAGATATTTTCATTTTTTTAAGACAGAAAAACAAATGCACATAACTTTGCAGATAAGTATATTTTAAATGTTCTATGGAGATAGGCACCAGCATTTCTCCTACAGGATTGTAGCGAGACATGTCCAAGATTAGAAAGCACTATGGAGAGAGTTTCAAAATATGTATTGATAATTTGTGATATTATTTTAATAAAAATCTGCATTAGTATATGGATTTTCTTTTGGAAAATGTCTTATTTCCTCCCTTATTTCTGTACATGTTTAATTAATGGGTTCTAATTTAGCATTTTCTTTCCATAAGCTAATGGATCATTTCAAATACTCTCTTTAAATATTCCTTCCTAGTACAGTGTAGCCAGAAGACAAGCCTGGGATTTTAGAACTAGAAGCACTTGAAGAGATCATTTAGGTCACCTCTGATTTCTAATTGTAGTGGAACTTAAGTCCCAGCAGAATTTAATGAAGTGCCCTTTTCTAGTTAATGGCTGCACAAACATAGGAATTCATGCTTTTACCCCTCCTTGTAAAATATCTTTTTCATGAAAATAATTTTTTAAAATTCTGTTTAAAAGCTTCCTTCAGGTTTAACAAATAAATATTCTTAGGGCAATGAAAGAACAGTTTTGTATCTCAGTGCAGTTTTAGTCTCGGAACTAGGAGGGAAAGTGATTGAATTGAAGAAAAGACTGAAATAATAATGTAACTTTTTTTTTCCTTTCATAAACGTTTTCTGTTGTCACTGGTCCTGGGAAGATTAGGTTTAATACCTTTTGTGTATGTGTATAGATATGTTGTGTTGCAAATTTGTGACTAACTGACAATGAAACCAGGGATATCTCTTTGTTGATATGATCATCAATTAAGTAGACATATGTCACATATGAAGGGTAGAATAAGAACGTATCTGTAGATTAAGGAAAAAAGAAACTCTATGTGTGAAATTAGCGGCATATTCATGCCTGCAGAAAAGTTATACTTATCTACTCATGTATACATTTGGAGATATATTGGGTTATACTTGTATGCATTTTATATTAAATAAAAGTCAGAATATATACAATACATTGCTTTTCCACAAGACAATAGAATTCATTTTATACATAAAATTGAAATTTACTTCTTGGTTTCTCTTACAGTCAGATATTACACTAAATACTGTGAGCAGTACGAGATTCAAAACAAAGCATTACTGGAAAATTAGTCTTTGAACTACACTTTAGAATACTATATGTCAAATTGACCAGCCACAGGAGCTATAGCCTCTGACCCAATAAAGGAAGTGGAAAATCATCTGGGGGCTACCACTGGACCTCTGAGTTTGCCATACTGTTCTTAATGAATCAGAAGGTGGCTGATGCCCCAGAACTATACACAAATACCAGTGAAGCTGGAAACTGAACTCTCCAACATATCCACACACACAATAATCGTATTTTCATAACTTGCTTGCCATCAAACAGCCAAAAAGTCTGTAAAATTTAAAAAGGGCTGCCTCCCAAATTTTCCCTTCAAAACTCTCGTATGAACCTATCTAATTGATAGAACCTCCTTCACATCCAATACTGCAAGGGAATCTATGAAATGAAGTCTTTAATTTTCTGCCCTCACCATACAGAAAAGTGCCTTGAGGAGGTGGTAGAAGTGGATAGCTCAATGGACTATATCCAACACAACTTCTTGAAATTCCTCCAGTGCACGTGTAGTTCTAAAATCCTGTTCTGATTTGTTTATCTAAACTACTAACAGCCTGCTTAGCTGCATACATTTTCAAAGACCAGATATAGTCTTTATATACAACCATCCATTTTCCTAATGGGAGTGGACATATATCAAACTACACATGATTTTAAGTTTTCTTGCATTCTACTTTCAAACCCTGACACTGTATAGAAATCTATGGTTGCTCAAGATTTCCTATATCTTACTGTGCTTTATTTTTAGACAAGAAACTAAAACATCTGGCTGCCCTGTCTTAGGCAGTCATTGGTCTGAGATTAAAACTCAATACCTTTTTGGTTTCAGGTATATAAGTACTTTGAATTTTTAAGCAAAAGTAACAAATCATAGATTTCCGTATGTAGCATTTTCCTTGTCGTAAAAAAGGAAAGTTGCCAACTTGGTTTTAGGATTTTGTATTAGTTTGCTAGGGATGCCATAAGAAAATATCAAAGATTGAGTGGCTTAAACAACATAGATGTATTTTCTCACCGTTCTGGAGACTGTAAGTTCAAGATCAAGATGATGGCAGATTTGATTTATTGTGAGGCCTTTCTCCTTGGCTTGCATATAGCTGCCTTCTCACTGTGTCCTCGCCTGGCCTTTCCTCTGTGTATGCCCTTCCCTGTATTTATCTCTTCCTCTTCTTATAAGCACACCATTCATATTGGATTAGGGCCCAACCCTTCTGACCTATTTAATGTGTATAAAGGTCCTAAAACAGTCACATTGGAGTTTAGGGTTTCAACATATACATTTGGGGAGAATACAGTTCAGTCTATAAAAAACTTATGTAGGGTATTGCAAATAAAGTAAAAATACAAATAATTATGAATATTAAATTTCAAATGTAAAACTTTTAATTATAAGTAAAACCTATTAAATGCATGATTTACTATGAAACAGGATTGCACTGGATAAATGTGGCAATATAAACTATAGTTATAATATTATTTAAACTTCTACCAATATGTCTAATTATTTTTATGATTATAGTCTTTCAAATGAAGTATTCGACCCAACTGACAAATTTTATTTGGAATGTAAGAAATAGAGCATATTTAACATCTCAGTTAAAAATAAATGGAAAGCTCATATTTTAACTTTTATCACTACATCTAGTCCAATCAAAACGTAATTCAAAATGACTTCTAGTTTGTTTATATTTCTGGTTGTGCTCAGAACCTTAGATAAAATCTACCTTTTATAACTATTGATCTAAGAAAATATTTTCTATTGGATTATTAAATAAATATAATTTTAAATCAAATATTTATTTAGATTCCTTTATACAAAACTAGTTTTAATTGTTTTCTTCAGAAAATGTTTTCGTCTCATCCATATAATAGTAATAGTATTTTTTAGCCAACAATTAAGATGTAATAATATTGAAAATATAGATTTCTTTGTTCTCACTTTTCTTAGATAAATATAAGTTGTAGAAATATTAGAGAAGAGATTGAAGGTATTTAAAATAAAGCATTTGTCTGATATTTTGCTCTCTTACTAGCAGTTCTGTTTTGAATTATATTTTCTAGTTAGAAGTGTGTTATATATACCTTTACCTCATCACAACTTTTGTTTAGGCGTGGGAATTAGCAGGTTATATACAGCGTGGTCATTAAAGCAAGTAACGTAAAGTAAGACAATTATTCAGGTTATCGCCTCTCTTCCACAGAAGTAAAAGTATGCCACATTTCCACAAGACAGCTAGACATGTGTCAATTTCTCCTTGTGACTGAATCCATCTAGTTCTTACCTTTCCTCTTCTATTCCTCTCACCATATCCACAACACATCCTTTTAACATTTATTTTCAGTTATTGTATTTCAGGGTCATCTTCAACAAACTCTTACACATTTATGTTCAGTAAACTAGATAGACACTTGATATTCACTAAAGATATTTCAAGATCATAATTCCATGCAAAAACATCTATTTTTGAATGTTAGCATTACCATTCTTCAGATAGAATTACATTTTCAGACAATTTAGATGTGCAATGACCGAACCACATTATGAGAAGAAAACCCAACAGCTCCTAGAAATATTGATGCTGGGAAATTAGCTAAATGAATTTATTAGTGAACATACTTTCTCCCGAATATCTTCTTTGTAGTCCATGTATTTAAAAAGATAAAATGATTTGTTAAAAATCAGAGTAAGTCAAATACCTTCAGGATTTGTCACAAATAATTGGAAGTTGAGATAGATGAAAGCAAGGGAAAAGTAACTTTGTTAGATTAATTTGGAGAGTTTAATAATAACAAAGGATCTCACTAAAGATTTTTGCAAGATTATCCTTGTAAAATCTTTCTGGCGGTTGGTTAGAAAATGTTTTAAATAAGGCTTTTCTATAACAGTTGATATTTGTGCACAATCATATCGAACTATGTGTATGGCTTGTCATCCTGGTATGTATGATAGTGTAGTTAACCTAGCCTAATATGGTCTGGGGTCCATTTCGGAAAATAATCAGTTGAAGTGAAAGAGGCATTTTACAACTCAAGGTTTCTTTTACAGGATTTAAATCACTGTTTCAAGAGAAATAAATTAGGAGTGATGAGAATGGGCAACTGTAAGAAACAGACAATAAGAAGTGGCTGGCAGAAAAATGTCACTTAAAAGCTTTGTCCAGTGAAGGGATGTTGTCAGGTACATTTGCTAATTAATAACTGATGCTGAGAGGTAAAAGTCAGCTTCTCGACTTTTGACAGCCCTGCTCCATGAAAAATTTTCTTCAAATGTGGTCACAGAAAAGTGGGAAGGAGAGGCAATGAGCATCCCATTACAAGCAGTCTCTCAGCAGAGACAGAACTAGTGGCATGTTTTGACTAGGAGACTGTGAGACTTCCAGTATGGAGATTCTTTTATATATTTGTGATGAAACTTGTTAATTCTGCTATTCACTTTCACATGTGACATCAGTTTTTCTTTTATAAGCTCCGTACATAATACTTTTAAACCTTTTGCACATAATTGTGTGTTTAATTGCTCCCATTTTGTATTACATTAGTAAATTTTTAAAAAATTGAAAATTTCAATGTTATCAGAATTAATATTTTAAAGAATATCAATGGTTCTACAATTTAAATAGGAATAGAAATTGTTTAAAATTTTTTTGAAAATCCCAGTGTTATCAGAATTAATGTTTTAAATAATATCAATGATTCTACAATTTAAATAAGGATAGGAATTGTTTAAAAATATTTTTTGAAAATTCCAATGTTATCAGAATTAATGCTTCGAAGAATATCAATGGTTCTACAGTTTAGGAATAGGAATTGAAACATATTTCTTTTTAATTAGTAAAAAATATTTACACGCTTACGAAGAATTTACACATTTATAAGAATAAATAAATCAACAAAATTATATGGCAGAAACTTAAACTCATTTTTACACCTTTCTATATTTTTTCCTAAAAATTCACCACTTTAGATAACATACTCATAAGAAATATCAGAAGATTGATGACAAATTGGATGAAGAAATAAGCAACATAAATGATTAAGAATTTCAAATAACAGATTAATTAGGGAAAATTAAAAGTTAATGCATATATGAAAATACTGGTGAAAAACAAGGTAGAAATTAGAGAAGTTTCTGCGAATTTGAATAACATACTCTAAGAAAAAGTAGCTATAATTTATCACTGAAAAATTTTTTAAGCTAATAAAATGAACAAAGGAGTAGTATTTATCTTGAATATCACACCTCAAACATTATACTATTTCATTCTTTTTTTATATAAGAAAAAGGGTAAACACTAATTCATGATCATATAAAACAAGAATCAAAATTTTAAACAATATAATATAGGAGCATGTATTGTCCTTCCAAAATATAAATAAGATATTTGAATATATCTTCTCCTAAGTTATAATGTACTCCAATATTTGTTTTATCAAATTTTAATTGCCCCAAAATGAGAGCTGTGAGATTTAAATGTATGAAATACTTTACTTTACTATTAATAAATAAGATATATCATAGCTGGTAGGGAAATAAATAGTAAAACCCAATTTAAGAGCCTAACCTTGCCCCAAAACAATGAATATGTAAACCATGCCGAGAGAGGAAAAAAAAGTAAATGTGTTCAATAAACATCTAGAGATAAAGTGGTATATATAGAATATAGGCAAAGTAAATACTAGGTACAAATATTTGTAGTCCTTGGAGCAGTAAAGAAAAAAGTCATGGAAGAGAAAATATCTTTACAGGTATAATTCAATACAATTCAAGAAATAAAAGAAGGTTTGAACTTATCATTCAAAAGACACTGCAATAGGCCTGTGAAACCATCCTTGAATGGACAACACAAATGTCTGATCTAGGAAAAGTTTTGAGAGCATTGCTTATCCACTTTGCTATTCATCTTTCTTTTCCATATGGTAGCATAGGCAGGTTGTGTCTATGTACCCAACATACTTTGGCTGATTGACATTTATACCTGAATGTTGTGTAGGTAAGCTTATTTACTCTGGAGGCAGACTGGCTGGATTCAAATGCTAATTTCATCAACTACCACATACTTTGGGCAAATATATAAAGCTTCATGCCTCAATTTCTGCTTCTTTAAAATGTGAAAAATAATAATACGTATCTCATCAGTTGGCATCAATAGCATGTGTTTGTTAAATAAATAAATAAGAAATGTAACTAAAATGTGTGCTTGTGAATATTGAAAACATGAGATGATGTATCTGGAACAGTTTGAATATTGTTAAGCTAGACAAACCTAAACTGGAAATACTTTTCCTATTAAGAATAATAAATAAAAGTACTTAGTAAAAAAGGATCCCACCTTTCTTATCTAAACAGTTTTGTGGAAATAAATGGAGAAAAGAATACTAGCTTTGGCTTAAAAGGGCTTTCACTTATTAACAGATGAAAATGACATAAGCAGCTCAAACGTTCTGAGTCTTTACTCTTATCTGTAAAATATCAAAATGAAAGTTGGGTTAAATTGCAATTTTCCTTTAGCATATATCTTAAGAATGACAAACATGCTTCACCTAATTTTAGCACAGTATATAGAATTTTGAATATTATATTAATTTGGAAGAGTGTACATCACAATCACAGAAATCTTTCAAGTTAATCATCACATAAAATTATGTAAGAATAAAAATATTAATGTTAAAATATTTAAGGCTAATTCATATTGTATTCTCTAAATTAAGTTGGATTAAGAAAATTTGAGGTTATTGTTTTGAATGTGTACATGAAAAATTATTGATTAATCCATTAACATCTTTTAAAGAAATCATGAAGTGGAAAAACAACCGTAAACACTTTGGAAAGTTTTGAATAGATAACTCTGCTAATTTTCTCTGCAACTTACTTTCCTCTTATCTTTGTCTATCACTTACCTACAAACTGAGCTGCTTATATCAAGTTCAATAAACATATCTTAAAGCATGCGAAATTTGCAATAATTCTTGGGATTGAAATAGTATATTATTTTATAAATCATCATTGCTTATTTTTCAAAAATGAATTAGTGAATAATTACCTTCTACTTTCATCTATGTTAAATAAAAATAGGCTATTTCTGTAGGCTAGACATTCAATAAAATAATTAAAGGCATATCTTTATAGATCTATGTATTTTTTAAAAGATTATAGCAGCACCTGTAGTCCCAGCTACTCAGGATGCTGGGGTAGGAGAATTGCTTGGGCTCGGAGGTTTTGGCTGGAGTGAACTGAGATCGTGTCACTGCATTCCAGGCTGGAAAACAGAGTAAGACCTTGTCTCAAAAAAAAAAAAAAAAAAAAAGATTATAGCAAACATATTGTCATAATTATCCAGGAATCCCACGTGAAAAGTCCTCTTCAATGGCACCGTAAAACCTGCAGAAACATTGAGCATTTAAAGAATTAGAACTCACAAATGTACTACCTATTGTTATGGACAGAATTGTGTCCTTCCCAAAATTCATATGTTGAAGTCCTAACCACCACAGATTGTGACTATATTTGGAGATAAGGTTTTTCAAGAAGTAATTGAGTTAAAAAGAGATCATAACTCTGGGCCCTAATCCAATATGACTGATGTCCTTAAAAAAGAAATGATTAGGACACAGATATGTACAGAGGGAAGGCCATGTGAAGACATATGGAGAAGAAGACCGCCTGCAATCCAAGACTAGAGAGCTCAAAAGAAATCAATCCAGCCAGGCATGGTGGCTCATGCCTGTAATCCCAGCACTTTGGGAGGCCGAGGGGGGCGGATCACAAGGTCGGAAGATGGAGACCATCCTGGCCAACATGCTGATACCCCGACTCTACTAAAAATGCAAAAATTAGCCAGGCGTGGTGGTGCGTGCCTCTAATCCCAGCTACTCAGGAGGCTGAGGCAGGAGAATCGCTTGAACCTGGCAGGAGGAGGTTGCAGTGAGCCAAGATCGCGCCACTGCACTCCGGCCTGGTGATACAGCGAGACTCCGTTTGAAAAAAAAAAAAAAAAAAAAAAAATAGAAACCAACCCTACTGAAACCTCGGTTTCAGACTTGTAGGTACAAAATAGTAAGAAAATAAATTTATCTTGTTTAAGCCATCCAGTATTTTGTTATGGCAGCCTTAGCAAACTAATGTACAATCACGTATTACTTAATGATGGGGATACATTCTGAGAAGCATTCATTGTTAGGCAATTTCATCCTTGTGCAAAGGTCATGAGTGTACCTAGAGAGTATAGCCCACTACACACCTAAACATGTGGTATAGACTATTATGCTCCTAGGCGGCAAACCTGTACAGTATTTTACTGTAGGGAATACTGTAAGTAATTGGAACATAATTATGTTTTTGTATCTAAACATAGAAAAAGTACAGTAGAAATGGGGCATAAAAGATTTAAAAATTGATATGCCTGTATAGGGCACTTACTATGAATGCAGCTTGCAGAACTGGAAGTTGCTCTGGATGAGTCAGTGAGTGAGTGGTGTGTGAGTGTGAAGGCTTAGGACATTACTGTACACTACTGTAGACTTTATAAACACTGTATACTCAGGCCAAACTAAAATTTAGTTTAAAAAATTTCTTTCTTCAATAATAAATTAACATTAGCTTACCGTAACTCTTATAAGCTTTTACATATTTTTTAACTTTTTGACTCTGTTGTAATAAGCTTAAAATACAAACACATTGTACAGCTGTACAAACATATATGTATATATTTTATGTCTTTAGTCTATAATATTTTTTCTATTCATTTAACGTTTTATTTTTTACTTTTTAAGCTTTTTGTTTGTTTGTTAAAAAAGAAGACACAAACACAAATATTAGCCTAGGCTTACACAGGGTAAGGAATATAAATATCACTTGTTTTCCAACTCCGCATCTTGTCCCACTGGAAGTTCTAACATGTTATTAGGTGATAGGAATTTCTCACCTCCATTATAATCCTATGAGAACACTGTCGTATATACAGTTCCTCATTGTCCAAAACAATGTATGAGGTACATGACTTCACCTGCTTGAAGTACCTGCTTTATGTGCCATTGACAATCACTTCCTTTTCCTCTTATGCACTCTTATCTTTTTTTCTGCTCCTATTTCTCCTTTTCCTGTGGTTCCTCTTTTTTATCTGATTTAAGTAAACAAGAGAGTATCCTGTTACTCATGTCTTGTTATTATGGTAATTCTTCCACTTTATGAATTTGTGCATACTGCAATTGAAATAGATGTTCAAACTGATTTTCAAAATAATTGCATTATTTCATTTTTTATGACGTGGGTCACATTGACAATAATATTATTCTTTATTTTTGTTGTTGTTGCTCTTGTTATTAAGTGGAATTGTGATATCGCTTTTTCTATCAATTTCTTCACTGTCTTTACAAACATAGCTCTCTCGCCTATCCCTTCGTGTAACTGTATTGCTGGCTTGCAGGACTCCATTTGAAAGGTTTAGTTATATGGTTTAGTTAGGTTTAGTTATTAGTATCTTTTATACTAATAACTTAGTAATAATAACATACTGCGTGGTGACCTATATTATATATAATTCCTACCAAAATTATAGCAACAAAATTTTCCTTCCAAATTGTCCAACCAATGCAGTTATTTGAGGCTTTATATTTAAATAAAACATTTACTTTACTTTTAGTCATAAAATCTAAGTTTCTGCCTCTGGTCATGACTGCTACCAGCGAGTTTTTCCACTGTAAACAACTAGTAAACTGGAGAAAAGAAGAAAACAACTTTTTTCATATTTGGACAACTGGCTATGAAGAAGTGATTCCTGAAAGAGGGAAACAAATGAGGTGAGCCCCCACAGTTGTCCAGGATTTTTACTTGGAGTTATTAACCATATCATAGCATTAGGAGGGGAGTTAAAACCCAAAATTACCTTCCAGAACTAAGCAAAGATATATAAGATTGAGAGGTTGACATGGCCAGAATTTGTAGAGTAGTGCTCTAGAGAAAATAAATTGATTCAGAAAAAAACCAAGAATCTGTTTAAGTCTTGCTTTTGTGTCCTTGACTGAATGCCAAGGTGTGCTATAGAGAATCAGATTCCACAAGGCTCAGAACAAATATAACTTCCAGGGAAATAACATCTACTGAGGAGCTGGCACAAGGTTAAGAGACATTTTATTTCTGATTGACAAGAATGGAAGTCTTTAAGTATCAGCTAATGTATTTAGTAGATATACCAATAAAACTAAGAGTAGGAGTAAAGTTTAACTAGACATAACCTGAATATTAGAAGCTATTTTAGATCTACAAAAGCATATCTTCAAAAGATTAATCTGATCTGCCAAGAAATAAACTGCCTGTTTTTTAAAAAATAACCTAACATTCTTTAAACAAAAATTTAAGCATTCGAGGCATAATTTGCAATGTTTAGCATGTGATCTAATATTACTAAACATCAAAAATCATGACAAGCCTGTAATCAAGAGAAAAATCAATCAATAGAAATATTTAGGACTGACAAAGATGAAGAAATAATCAATAAAAATTTTTAAAATGTCAATTATAGATAACTTTTAGGTCATTAAATAGATATTATCAACAGAATGAATAGAGAAATGGAAGCCATATAAAAACTAAAATGTAACTTCCAGAGGGAAAATGCCTATTGAGCTTAAGAGAATATTAGACACTTGGTAGAATTTGAGAACGGTGAATTTGAAAACATTGCAATACAAACTGTCCAAACATTTGAAGAATGGAGAGAAAAATATGAGTCGGAAAAATTAAGAGATATGTGAGAATAGAAGATATCAATCTTTCCAATATATGAATAATTCAAGTTTAAGTATTTCAAAAGAATTAGAGAGAAAAAATATTTAAAGAAATGATACACAAGATTTTTCTAAATTGCATGGCAACTGCATAAACAACATTATAACTAAATCCCCAAAAAACAATAATGAAAGCAGTCATACAAGTAGTATGGGGAAAGTGAGGAATTATATAAGGGAAACAAAAATAAAGATAATTGTGGACTCCTCATCCTCTAAAGTGTATTTCAGAAGACAATGGGATGACATATTTAAATTGATGGGAAATATTGTCAATGATAATAACTTCTCAAAATATCCTTCAAAAATGAATGGAAAGTAGAATAAATAAAAGGTGAGAAAGTTTAAAGCGCTCACTGCAAGGGATGTTTAAAGATGTATTTCAGGCTGAGGGCAAATTATTTCAGGTGGAAACTCTTATCTATAGAAAGAAATAGAGAGCACCAACACATAAATGTATAGGTTCATTTAATATTTTCCCAGTCATTTTTAAAGTTGGCTTAAAGGATACCTGACTACTCAATAAAAAGTGGTAACTTTTATTGTGGATCTTAATGTCAATTTGTAGAAGCATAATGATTTCAATAATAAAATGATTTGCAAGTAAATTTCTCAGTAAATGCCTGGGGATGAGAACACTTACGTGAGGTTCCTATACATGAAGCGGTATAACATTAAAACATTATTTCAAGCACTTTGACTCACCCTTGAAATTCCATAAAATTCATTCAATATGTTCTGCATTTCTGATTCTTCTTTTTTTTTTTTGGAAGATCTTCCTGCCTAAGATTCCTTTTCGTTGATTTTTTGAATTTTCAAAATTTTTTTCATTCAATTCTGAGATTAATGGGAAGAAAATAAAGAATTCTTAAAAATTTGGGAAAGGATTATATTTTAGTAGTTATACTGTAGTTATACTTTGTAAAGATTAATTTTATTGTGATGTTTATTATGAGTTTATTTAGCGATTGCCTTCGATTTTCCTGCCCCACTACGGAAAAAAAAAAAAGAAAAAGAAAACGAAAAGTCTACTTTGATCCACCAGAGGCCATTATAATGTTTCATTCTACCTGCCTTGATTATAGATATTTGTGTTTCTTCATATCATCATTTAATAATATTTAATGTCTTGGGCATTAGGCATTCAATTTATCCATATTTGGGATTCTTGCAAAAACAGATGCAAATATACTTGAGAAATAGTCATGGGTTTCATTTTGCTTCTTATTCCAGCATGTAGAAAAGAAGAAAATATGCTTCCTTTCTTATTAAAGCAGCCTTGGTAGATTAAATAAACAAAATAGCGTTGGAGTAGGAAATGTATTTAGATCTGAATTGCCTTAATTGGACATTTATATTGATCAAGTTGAATATCTAATGGCTCTATTTTATAGATTGAGAAAATAAATTTAATAACTCAGTCCCAAGAGAGGATTTTGCTTAATACAATTAACAAGAAAAAGACCTGTGTTCATTTTATTAGAGGGAGCTTTTATCATTCATTTTAGTCTACTTAATGATACTCAAGCATAGTTTGGTGCATTGATATGTTAAGTATTTCATGACACATATGCATATGAACACAGCCTTTTACAAGGAAAGAAAAGAAAGGAAAAGTCTGCACATAAGTACCCAGTGTCAAAAAGTCTGCTTAATATCTGCAATAAGTGAGAATAAATTGTATATTCATGAAGTAAGAGTTTTTCCTCCCTCTAGTAGTAACATTTTCCAAATATTTATTTTCTTTTAATGCTATTTCACATTTATGCATTTCCATACTTTACAAAGTGCTTTGTATTGTCAGAAACATGTATTGGATCCTTTATGCTTTAATGAAATCTCTTACGTTTGCTGCATGTCTCTCTCCAAGTGAATTTATTGACTAATTCACAATCACTCCTTGAAATGCAAGACCTGTGAAATTAAAGCAGACACGCATTTAAAAAACAATTTAATGGATACAGTAAACAAAGCCTCTTTTACAAGCCATTGCAGATCAAGTATAAACTATATTCAGTCATTAATTTGTCATATTTACTCTTACTCTCATCTTTAAATTCTAAATATGTGCCTTACATGAGTTACTTTTTGATCTTTCAGTGGTCATCTGTTCCTCCAAAGCCTCCTTATGCCTATGCAGTGCTTTCATAGCAGTATTTTCAGACATTTGTTATAGAACTTTCATGTTACATTATAGTTTATAGTGCAAGTCCATGCTTATTCTTAATTATCACTTTAATTTGTTCTTTTACTCTATAAGCATTTATTGTACGAATTATTTGTTAGGTAGTCTGCTGGAAAGTTCTTAAGAAAAGAAAAAGAGAAATATGTTTGTCTTTCTAACACTTGTAAACTTGTAATAATATTTTTTAATGAATGTCTGGAAAGATGGATGGATGAATCAATAAATGTCCACCCCTGCAGTATCCTTCTGCATCAGTAAAGAGGTTTTTAAATAGTTATTAAAAATAAAAAAAAAGAATTTTATTTTCTTTAACAAAATGTCATGTGTGCAAAGTCATAAATGAGTAATGACAGGAAAGTTCAAATTAAGCATGAAACAATTACCTCATAACTCATTATTTAGTCCTCACAAAATTTAGTGTCAGAGATTTTTGAAATCTTCTTGGAGTCATAAAGACATTCATAATTTTACTATCTGATTTTCAATGATCACTATCTTTTCATTTATCTTTCTAATTTTATGCATTTTACAGACAAATTATTTAGTGAAAATAAAATTAACTCCTGGATTTATTACATTTTGCAGCTGAGAAAAGAAAACTAACAAAGAATGCTGAAATCAGAAATAAAAAGCCAGGAAATATTGTCTACAATTAAAATTCTTTAAATTAGGAAATGTGATTGGTAAAATCAGTAACATGTGCAAAAAGAAAAGGAAAGAAGAGAGGTGATCCCCAAGTTTGGGAGGAGTGGAAGTAGGAATTACTGTGTAATGGGTATGGAGTTTCAGTGTTGCAAATTGAAAAAGTTGTACAATAATCTGAATATAATTAACACTACTTAAAATGGTTAAGATGGTAATTTTAAATTATGTGTTTCTTACCATAACAAAACTATAATAAAAATTGTTGACTCATAAATTTCTCCAAAACATATTTCCAGCATTCATTAAAGAAAACGTTTCTCAAACTATCAGTTTTGTACACTTGTCAAGTAATGAATGAAACAAAAAAATACCAAACACAGTTAAAAATCCCCAAATAGTTTTTATGTGACCTACTTTTGATACTAAAAATTTATATATAGTCTGCAAAATCTTCATTAACTATGCCCATGCCTCCATGTTGGTGTTATTTGAAATTCTAAATTCGATGTCTCTTGAATAATAATTTATCTTTGCCCAATGTCTTCAAATATTACATATTTTTATAAATAACTTCCAACTATTCTCTTCTGGTTTTCCAAGATGGCTGATTAGAGACATCAGAAGCTTGTTATCAGAAAGAAGCAAAGTTACAGCTGGCTCTTACTTGTAAGCACCACCTAGTGGCCTAGAGGTTGAACTGCACAGCCCAATGCAAAACCTGCTGACGTGCAGCGTTAGGGAATGAAACAACCTTCCTAAGATCTCTACCATTCCAGTCCCGCAGAAGGCAATGAGCCTGATCACACATCCCATACATCGCTATTACAATCAGTATTTAAGAAAGTCACTGCACAAGGGCCATTTATAACCAAGGAACAAATGTGGAGTCATTGCCACTGAAAGCACCCAGGACTGAAACCAAACAACAATACACAACATACAGTATAGTCACATCCTCAAAGGAAGAAAACAAAGACAAAACAAAAAACTCATCCACATGAAAGCAAATTGAAAAATAAGAAGAAAAGATAGTTTAGTCAGATGAGAAGGAACTAGAGAAACAGTTCTGGTAATATGAAAAAAACAACAACAACAGTGTTATTACACTCCCAAAGGATGGTATTAACTCCAGCAATAAATCCTAACCAAAATGAAATATTTGAAATATCAGATAAAGAATTTAAAATATTGATGTTAAAGATGCTCAATGAGATCCAAGAGAAAGTTGAAAACACACACACAAAAATCAGAAAAACAATCTAGAATATGAATGAAAATTCACTGAAGAGGTAAGTATTAAACAAAACTTCTGGAAATAAAAAAATCGTTGACAAAATTACAAAATATAGACAAAAGCTTTAACAACTAGACCAAGCAGAAGGAAGAATATCAGAGCTCGACGACAGGCCTTTCAAATTAACCACATCAGACAAAAAATAACAAAAAAAATAATTGAAACAGTAAACTAAGCTTTGAGAAATATGGGATTGGGCTGGGTGCAGTGGCTCACACCTGTAACCCCAGCATTTTGGGAGGCCAAGACAGGTGGATCACGAGGTCAGGAGATCGAGACCATCCTGGCTTACACGGTGAAACCCTGTCTCTACTGAAAATACAAAAAAAATAGCCAGGTGTTGTGGTGGGTGCCTGTAGTCCCAGCTACTCAGGAGGCTGAGGCAGGAAAATGGCATGAACTCGGAAGGTGGAGCTTGCACTGAGCTGAGATCGCGCCACTGCACTCCAGCCTGGGAGACAGAGCAAGACTCCATCTCAAAAAAAAAAAAAAAAAAGAAGAAGAAAAAATATATATAGGATTATATAAAACCTCCAAAACTATGAGTCCTAGGTATTCCCATAGAAATGCCCTAACCAGAAACCTGTGGTTTACTAAATCCTTTCTGCAAAACTTTAATTAATACATAAAGAAACTGACTTCAAATGAAATACAATAATATCACAGACAGGAATTACAAAATGAGTCAGAAACAAAATTCTATTACTTCAATATCCAGCCCAATTCTATTTTCACTAAGCAATTATGCCAATATAAATTATATTTCTCCTCTTCTACCAAAATTGTTGATAAAGAGTTTGGGAACATGCTAAACATAATATATTATTTCACTTCTAAACCCTCTCACCTTCATCCTTGGTAGAGAATCTGACTTGCTTTTTAGGTACCAAATAGTCCTGTGCTTTAGTGGAATCTGTGTTTCTCCTTTGCCTCATGTAGTGAATCAAGCTAAGTATTGACAGCAAAATGATTCCATTCTTCATCTTAGTAGTTTTGAAATAAGAATACAATACAATTTTGATTACTGGTTGATTTCTAATGGGAAATTTGAAGAAGAAATTATTGCACTTAAAAAGGATCACACAAACATATCTTATTCTGGCTTGTGGCTTCTAACATTATTGGGGTCAAGTAGATGATGTTTGGAGTTCATGATCAACCTTATAATAATGAGGGGGAAGCATGATGACCAAGGCCAAATTGTCATGGGTCCTATCTGCATGTGGGAACTTCCTTGATTTCTGACCATTTCAAGTTGCTGAAAGAATAGACTTAAACTGACAAATTTTCAGATTGTGAGAAGGTCTGAGCTTATGAATCCATTTACTGTTTAAGCCACTTTTAGTTACATTTTCTAACATTTTGAGATAGGCAACTGAAACATGACATAATATGGTGAGCTATGGGGGGAGAAGAAAAATATCTCTTTTGTTTATTCTGGTGTGCCTCATTGCTTTGGTTTAATGTTTAAATTCAACACGTATACCTCACACAAGTTGTTTCTGTTTTGTTTTGTTTTGCTGATTTGTGTGGTATCTACACACATTTCTTACAAGAAAAAATAAATTAAGTTTATAAAGGGACACTATCACAAAAGAAGTAAAGCTAAATATGCTCTATTTGACAATAACAAAAACGATACACATTCTGCAGATATCTCTGAACCTCATCCAGAACCTAAACCCAGTGCCTGTTATCCATTAATCCCCAATGTCCTTTCCTAGTTTCTGTGCACCTGAATTTGGTAGGTGGACAGAATAAAAAGCAGAAAATCCAATCCCCCAGGAGACAAATCTACGACTACCATCTCAGAACAATAAGAGAAAATAAATACTCCTCACTTTTTTATGCCAAGTATTCTGCAAAGTGCACAAAACAGTTAATTTTCAATTATCTTTTCTTATAATCCATAATTATTAATGAGCCTCCACTGTATGTCTGATGTTGAACTACATATTATTGAAAGAAAAAACTAAAACCAAATTCTCTATTAATGGTTCACATAAAGCAACTAAAGGATGAAATTATAGGAGTTTTCAGATCTGATTATAGTTGCTATTGCAGCTAAAATGAGGAAAAGAGTAATGGTCTGAATAGTTGTAGAAGACTATAAGAAAGAAAAGAATTATATTGGATCTTGAGGTTAAAAATTGGTTTAATTAGAGAAATAGAGGAGAGACTTACGAAGAAGAAGCTTTTGTAGTGCGTTAACCTATTTAAAGCAAAACACATAAAAGTGGGATAATAGAGATGAAAAACTAAAATATTAGGTAGCAGAGAATGAGGAAATAGTCAACTAGATAGTTAAAAGTATCAGCATCAAAAATGTTTATGGAAAGTAGGGAAGACAGCAATATCCTGGTACTATCTCCATCCATTCAAGTTGATGCAATAAGATCTAGTGCTTTAAGTGACACTAACAAGGTGATGAAATAATGATAGAAATGAAACTTGGAACCAAATCTCCAGACAACCATGCCATTGTTCTTTATATTTAGTAAGCAGCACAGCGACACAGACTGAATAAGATGAGGGAGAAAAGAAGAAAAAGTAGATTTGGAAGCTCTATCAGAAAGCCATTTAATACAGTTTCAGACCATATAATTTAGAGGCTTGATTACAATAGTAGGGGTAGGGATAGAATGCAAAGGGTAAATTTCTAACACTTGCTAATGATGGAAAGGCAAGCATTGTTAAGAGAGTGAAAATATGGTTTAATTGGAAGAGCCCAAGGTGAGAATAGAAGGCAATATTGCTGAGAAAAATGGCTTACGGACAAGGATAATAGTATTTAATACCTTTTGTCATACATGGAATATCCACTTATTAAAAAATAGATATGTATAAATAAAATTTTGAAAAAAACGTCCATTTTAGTCCCACTTACTCATTGTCAATCAGAGATACTCAGAGGGGTACCTGGAAAATACTATATCTCAAATATATAAACAAATATTTGTTGAATAAAAACATCGTATTATTTATAGTAGTATTATAACTGTGACTGAATGGTAGCAAGGATTCTTTGACCAAACTCTAGCCAAGTTCCCCTAAAATCTTTTTCAGGTTGGTCTTGACTTTTAGACTTTTGTGTTCATTTCTGCATTGTCCACTATTAGCAAGAATCCTGCTAAGTCAGTTTAGCCATCCTCAATGTCACATTATTCTCGTTATCTGATAAGGCTTCTCATACTCCAGCATCCTCCCGGTGATGCCTGTTTATCCTTTCCTGCCTTCAGCAGGAAGCAAGTTTGTTTGGTTTAGCCAGAATTCCCCTTTACCCTTAATGTTTGTTCTTAGTAGTTTCTCACCCATTGACCTCCGCCATGTTTCTTGGCTATAAATCCCCACTTTTACTTGCTGTATTTGAAGTTGAACCCAATTTCTCTTCCGCATTGCAACAGTCCAGGGCAGTAGTACCTAAACCTATTTTGATTTTTTCCCCCATAGAATAAAGTCTTCTCTACCAACTGCAACAAGTGCCATGAATGAATAATTATTTTAAACCATGTCATAGCAGGTATTAAAGGTTTGTGTACTCTGTGAGGACATTTTTTAGGTAAATATGATCCATGACAGTGGAACAAAAATCTATAGAAAAATAAGTAGCATTTTCTAGGGCCTAATCTATTTTGTATAAGAAGAATTTTACATGTGGATAGCTTGTACATGTAGACAGCTTAATCTCACATTTCTAACTTGCCTTTTAAACCTTTTTTGGTTATTCCAAAATAATGGGTAATTTTAATTATAATCAAATTTATAGAAAAAATTTAATAGACAGTTTTAATCTCTTAATCAGTTTTGGATTAGCCCTATGACTGTTAATTTCCGCATGGGATGACCTGAACTATTACTCTGGAATCTGAGAATGAAAACATGAGCAGCTGAACACCTGGTGAGAAAAATAGTTGGGGCATCTCTATTTCTCTTAGAAACTCTTCCTAGTGGCCAGGCGTGGTGGCTCACACCTGTAATCCCAGCACTTTAGGAAGCCAAGGCAGGCGGATCACCAGAAGTCGGGAGTTCGAGACCAGCCTGACCAACATGGAGAAACCCCCATCTCTACTAAAAATACAAAATTAGCTGGGTGTGGTGGCACATGCCTGTAATCCCAGCTACTCGGGATGCTGAGGAAGGAGAATCGCTTGAACCCGGGAGGCGGAGTTTACGGTAAGCCGAGATCGTGCCACTGCACTCCAGCCTGGGCAACAAGAAGGAAACTCCGTCAAAAAGAAAAGGAAAGAAAAGAAAAGAAAAGAAAAGAAAAGAAAAGAAAAGAAAAGAAAAGAAAAGAAAAGAAAAGAGAAAAGAAAAGGGCAACAAGAGGGAAACTCCGTCAAAAAGAAAAGAAAAGAAAAGAAAACTAGTGACCTTGCATCATGGGAATTTGTCTTTTCTTATACCTCTGAGATGGTCTGGCTCTGCTGGTTGCTCTCCTAGGTACTTCACTTTCAGAAAATGTTCTCAGAAACCACTTTCATTAGAGCTCAATCTAAAGTAAATTGAGAAAATGTGAATAGAAATTTATCAGAGAATGAATGCAAATACTCTGAGCTTTGATGCAAGAAGGCATTACATTGAGCATTTCTTAAAGCTTTTTACAAACATCAGTTTGTATAATTAATCCTCCCAATTTCTCCATAAATCATATTTCATTATCCTTGATTTACAAGCATAAAACTAAAATATAGAGGAAATGCATAGCCTGCATCGGTGAATTTTTTCTAGACACTACTTTGATCTTGCTATTTCTCTTCACTGGAGGCTTCATGTTTTCTCCTCTATCATTTCTAAATCCTTCTACTTCTGCCTCCGTAATCTAACCTCTAACTATCTAATCAAAATGTTCTAATGCTATCCAACATGTGGTTTTCGGTCTAGGAAGTCAAGTCTCTTGATTGTTCCCTAGACATAATAACAATATCCTTCCCTTTATAACTAACTGTTTTTATTAAGAATATTGCCTTTGTCCTACATTCAGATTCTGGTATTATCCCCCTCTAGTCCATTTTTCTAGGCTGTTGTACAGTGAATGTACTAATAAGAAATTCTAATGATAATATTTCCCTCTTTTATTTTTCATTTATTGGGTAAGAAGGACACCACTTATATTTGGTTAAGATCTGCTCTAATGACCACATTTTAACTCAATTACCTCTTTAATACATCTGTCTCCAGATTCTAAGATACTGGAGGTTAGGACTTTAATATATGAATTTCAGGAAGACCCAATTCAGCCCATAACAACAGACAATTAAGCAGTTAAATATAGATGTAACTTTCTTCCAAGGAATAATTTATATACTGAGGGAACTTGTTTAAATATTCTCTCTGAGCAAGTTGCTAATATATTAATTCTATAAAATGGAGATATGCCAGAGAAGATAAAATTCAGAGAGAAAATTGACATAGGAAGAGTTAAATTTGTGCTAGAATATATATTTTTTTCAGTTTTCTACAGAATTATAGTTCTATTTGGCAGAAGACCAAGCAGGAAGAAGAAGAAGAAGAAGAAAACTTAAGATGTTATTTTGCTTTTGTTCATTTATCCATCTGTCTACATGAAGCCTATGACATTGTTTTCCAAATGGAGGCCTCCTAATGCCAGAAACATGGTACTTGGAATGAAATTTTCCATGCTTAGCCAGTTTCAGTTTAAGAGAAGATGATATTACTGAGAAAATCCATTCCTTAAATATAATTAAACTTGCCAAAAACAAAAAAATTCAATAACATTGCTCAGGATATAGTTTTTAGCCTTTGAGTCTATTGTGTTTTATGAAGGGAGAGATACCCTATTTCCTTTGGTTCATGCATATTTTCAATGTTACTGAGGCTGTTAATGGCAGAGCAAAATATTAGTTTTCAAGATAGTTTACTAGACAAAAAAAATTAATGATTTCTTAAAGATGTCCTGCTTTCTCTTATATATTTTTAAACCACTATATTGAAAAGGAAATATATATAAGTTGCTTAATAAAAATAATTTGTAATTTAATTTTTATTTTTAATTTTTTCCAGCTTTACAGATATATCAACAAAAATTGCTTACAGATAAGGTATACAACATTATGTTTTATTATATGTATACATTGTGGAATGATTAGCATAATCAAGCTAAGTAACATATCCATCACCTCACATAGTTACAATTTTTTAATGTGTTTGTGGAGAGAATATTTAAGATCGATTGTCATAGCAAGTATACAATACAGTATTATCAACTACAGTCACCATGCTGTATGTTAGATCTCCAGAACTTATTAATCCTGTATAACTGGAACTGTATACACTTCGACCAGTATTTTTCCATTTTTTCCCCAATCTGCAGCCCCTCACAACTACCAGTCTACCGTCTGCTTCTATGAGTTTCACTTTGTTAGATTCCTCAAATAAGTGAGATCCTTCAATTTTTTTCTCTGACTTATTTCACTTAGCATAATGTCCTCCAGATTCATCTACATTATGACAAATGATAGGATTTTAAAATTTATTTAATGCTGAATAATACTCCATTGTGTGTGTATCTATCTACTCATCTATCTATCTATCTAGCATCTATCAATCTATCTAATCTATCCAGCTATCCATCCATCTATCTATGTATGTATATCACAGTTTCATTATCCATTCCTCCAACAGTAGACACTTAGATTGATTTCATATCTTGTCTATTTTGAATAATGCTACAATAAACATAAGGATAAAGATATCTCTTTGAGATGCTAATTTCACTTCCTTTGGATATATACCTAGCAGTGGGATTGCTAGATCATATGGTAGTTCTATTTTCAACTTTGCAGAACCTTCATAGTGTTTGTCATAATGGCTGTGCTAATTTACATTCCCACCATCGGTGAACAAGGGTTCTCTTTTCTCCACATCATTGTGAACAATGATTATCTTTTGGCTTTAAGATAACACTGGTTTTGTAAAATGAATTTGGAAGAGTTTCCTTGTTTTTATTTATTTTTTTCTTTTGGAAGATTTTGAAAAGGATTGCTACTACTTCTTTAAATATTTGGTAGAATTCACCAGTGAAGCCATTTGATCCTGGGACTGGTATTTGCTGGGAGGTTTTTGATTACTATTATTGATCTGTTCAGATTTTCTATTTCTTTATAATTCAGTCTTGGTGAGGTCTTTTATTTTAGAAATTTATCAGTTTTTTTCTAGATTATCCAATTGGTTGGTATATAGTTGTTCATAATAGTCTCTTATAATCCTTTGTATTTCTGTGGTATCAGCCTTAATGTCCCCTCTTTGATTTGCAATTTTATTTGTGCCTTCTGCCTTTTCTTCAGGTAGTCTTTCTAAGACTAATTTGCTAATTTTGTTTATCTTTTTAGAAAAGAAACTCTTAGTTTCACGTATCTTCTCTATTTTTTAAGAAGCTCTGCTTCACTTATTTCTATTTTGATCTTTATTATTTCTTTCCTTCTGCTAACTTTGGGCTTATTTTGTTGCTTTTTTGCTAGTTCCTTGAGATGTAAAGTTAGGATCTTTCTTTATTCTAGATATAGGCAGTTATCACTATACAATTCTCTGTTAGAACTGCTTTTGCTGCCCTCCACACCACCAAAAGACATAGACTATTTGAATGGATTTTCAAAAACAAGACCCAACTCTATGCTGCCTATAGGAGATTCACTTTAGCTTTAAGGATACACATTGGCTATGAAAGTGAAGGGATAGTTAAAGATATTCCATGCCAATAGTAAACCACAGAGAGCAGGGGTGGCTATACTTACAGGAGACAAAATAAATTGAAAGTCAAAAACTGTCACAGAGACAAAGAAAGTCATTATATAATGATAAAGGGTTAATTCATCAAGAAAATATACTAATTGTAAACATATATGCACCAACATTGGAGCAGCTAAATCTGTAAGTATTAAAAGAACTGAAGGAAGAAATAGATAGCAAAACAATAATGGTAGGAAACTTCAATAGCCCAGTTTCAACAATCTATAGACCATGCAGACAGAAAATCAATAAGAAAACAGCAAATCTGAATAACAATATAGATCAAATAGATGGGCCTAACAGTCCTATACAGAACATTCCATCTGATAGCAACAGAATACACATTCTTCTCAAGTACGCATGAGACTTTCTCCAGGATAAATCACATATGTTAGGTAAAACACAAGACTTAATAAATTTAAAAAGATTAAAAGCATATCAAGCATATTTTCTAACTACAACGATATAAAACTAGAAGTCTATCACAGGAGGAAAATTGGGCAATTTACAAATATGTGGAAATTAATCAACCCTCTCCTGAATAACCAATGGGTCAAAGAAGAAAGTAAAAAGAAAATTTAAAAAATCTTAAGCCAAATATGAAAACACAAAAAAATCAAAAACTAAGCATTTGGCTTGATATTTCTGAGTAATATATTCATTTGAAATGTCAGGATCTTATTTTATTTCTTATTGTATTATCATCTGGGCAATGGATATTTTTATTTCATTCTCTTTGTAGCATTCAAATGTCTTACCAGTAGTATGATTGCATGATTTGTTCAAGCAAAAATTCCTGTTAATAAATTATTATATCTTAATGTCTACATATGTATCATTTATCCACACATGCATTTTTTCCTAAAATAAATGTAATTATGTGTTTCCCATTATTTTTATTTTTTAATTATTAAAAGAGTACATATATGTGATAACATTCATATATATCATAGTATTTAATATATATATTTGATGTATTGAAATAACCCTATTTACCTCCCTAATCTAAATACAGTTTTAAAAAATCTACACTTTTATTTATTTATTGAGACAGAGTCTGGTTCTGTCTCCCAGGCCCAAGTGCAGTGGCATGATCTCAGCTCACTGCAACCTCTGCTTCCCGAGTTCAGGCGATTCTCATGCCTCAGGCTCCTGAGGAACTGAGATTACAGGTGTGTGTCACCAGGCCCAGCTAATTTTTGTCTTTTTAGTAGAGATGGGGTTTCACCATGTTGGCCAGGCTGGTCTCAAACTCCTGACCTCAAGTGATCTGCCTGCTTCGGCCTCCCAAAATTCTGGGATTACAGGTGTGAGCCACCCCTCTGCCCAAAAACCTACAATATTTAACAACTTTATGAAGTAAAAAAGCTCACTACTCAGAAATTAGACGCCAATTTTTATATGCTACTTATTTCTATCCATATGCTTACAGTTGTATTTAGATGGAATTGAGACATGAGAGTTCCCATGACCCCTTGGCAGGACTTGTGACAGGGGTGTGGCTCGCTCACTGGGCCACCACCAAGCTCAAACCCTTTGGGGAGAGGGAGCAGGCAGGTGAGCGGGTGCCCTGACTGGGGCGAGTGTTTTTGGGCTCCAGTCCCATGGCAGCGTCTAGAGGCGTGTTACAATCAATGCTCTTTTAGCAGTTGCCTTCCGTGTATCGCTAAGTGTTAAAACAGATCAGTGGAGAGTCCGGATGACAGCCTTTTACACCCTGCCCTCTTGGTCCCCGGGTTCTTGTTTGGCATCCAGGAAGAATCAGGTCGAATGACCGGTATGAAAGGTGATGAATGCAGAGGATTTTATTAAGCGGTGGAAGTGGCTCTCAGCGGAAGGAGAGCTGGAAAAGGGATGGTGCCGGGAGAAGGTGATCTTCCCCTGAATCCTGGCCATCTGAGGCCGGGCTCCTCCCAGAAGTGGTGCCATCTGAAGTTAAGCCACGCCCATCCATAGTCTCTGACGCTCAATTGCTTCTTGTCTTTTGGACGTTTAGCTGCTTTTCTCTCTGCCAGCTAAGGTCTGGGGTTTACACGGGCACAGGATAGGGGAGTGGGGCCGGCCAAAAAAGTAACATTTGGGAGGGAAAACGGGGATAACTCTTCTCATTTAGGGCCACGGTTTCCAGGCTTGAGGGTGGGGCCTTTGCTGGAGAACCGCTCTCTTCTACCCAGTATTTCCCTGCTTCCTGTTCCTATCAGAATCATTCTGAATGTATCCTTTTTTCTCAATTGGTATTGTTCTCATTTCCCAATAAACTGTTGGATCGATGCCTGTTGGTATAATATGACCAGAATTTAACAGTGCATCATTTTCCTCTCTTTCATCTTTATTATTTATACATTGATTAAAGCCTCCAAACTCTCCAAAATCAAATAAGGACAGGTACATAACTTCAGGAAAAGATGATAATTCAATATGTATTTGAAATAAATGACACTTTGCTTTTGGTTAAGTGTATTAAAAATACTTCAAGTGTGGGCACTGTGGTCTCATGACTGTAATCCCAGAACTTTGGGAGGCCCCAAGCAGGTGGTTAGCCTGATTTCAGGAGTTTGAGACCAGCCCGGGCAACACGGCGAAACCCTGTCTCTATTAAAAAACAAAAACAAAAACAAAACAAAGTCTTCATGATTTTTTCAATTGATACTAATATTAGAAGATATTTTCTGCTTTGGAGATGAGCTTTCCGAGGCATCTCTCTTTATTTGTCTTTACGTGTTATGGCTAATTTTTAACAAGATAATAATTTTTAACTTCTAAAATTTATTTTTGTTTATAATGCCAAATGACTATGTAATTTCATTGTTTTCAATTAGAACATCAATTTTTCCAGCATTGCTAATTGACTTCCTTGTTAATCTAAAATGTCATATCAGTGTATATTAATGTCTTAATTATAGAAATATTCCATAATGGACTGCCAATTCTCTATAATTAATTCATGTATTGATTTTCCACAATGTTTTGGTGATAATGAATGTGTTGTTTTAACAAGGCTGTTATATATCACTTATAATGACTACCATGATCTTCTTTTGTAATCTGAAGTTAAATTTTCTTTTTAGTTTTTTCATCTAGATACATTTAGAATCAACTTAAAAATTGAACAAATATTTGTATGTCTTCCTTGGGGTAATACCAGAAGCATGTACTATTGTTGAAAGAAATGATTATCTGTATTTGATTTTTCATTTAAAAACACCAAAAACATGATTAATTTCTAATTTCACTTAATTTTCTTAATCCTAAAGTTTATACTTTTCAGATACCTATAATTCAAACATCTAATCAACATTACTTGAGTGAAATTATGTTTTTTGTTACTGTTTCTCTAAGTGTTTTTAAATGATGCTTTTATTTTAAGAGTTGTGACAACACTGTGTCACCCAGGCTGGAATGCAGGGGCACAATCATAGCTCACTGCAGCCTCAAACTCCTGGGCTCAAGTGATCCTCCAGCCTCAGCCTGCCTAGTAGCTGGACCTATAGGCACAAGCCACTGTGCCTGGCTCAAATTATACTTTCTAATGAGTTACTTCTGATATAGCGCTAAACCACACGTATTTATGTATCATTTGTGTTTCATTGTGTCCTTTTATTAGACATTTGCGTGGATCTTTTAGGTCCTTACTAAATAAACACCTAATTTTGCTTATTAATAGCCCTGAAACTTTATTTCATATATTGATCATCCATCCACTAATGGCACACTCACATAATCTGTGTTTTTTCAGCTAATGTGACCCTGACTACAACTCCAAAGGTGTCCCCTTATTGGTGTAATCAATTTACAAATTGCACTTTGCATAAAACTGATATTGATTTATGAATGTGCATGGCACCAGTGATGAGTTCTAGGACTGATTTTTTTTTATCTAATCTCATGATTAATGTGGACTACAGAAGTCATCTGGACATAGTGCAGTCATTTTATGAACACGAACAGCTCCAGACTCTGGATGCAGCTAATATGGAAGATAAAGTCTAGCAAGAAAAATAAAACTGGGTCTGTAATGACATGATCACGACTTTGAATTAAAAATCAACCTTTAAGCATACTTTTCTCTAGGCTCTCCAATACAAAGTGTTTTAGAGTTTGAGTAGAATTTTTGTGTTACCTGAAACTAAATTTTTCTCATGAAAATGGTAAATCTCAAGCATAAGCATGATTTTGTAAAATTGAACTTCTCGAGTTTTCTAGGTTGTATATATGTAGCAGGCCCTCCATATCTGCAGGTTTGGTATCCCAGATTCAACCAACTGCAAATTGAAAATATATTAAGAAACAATACAATAATAAAAATGAACAAACATAAAACTACAGCAGAAGCACTAAATAGCATTTACATTGTATTAAGTATTACAATAATCTAGAGATGATTTAAAGTATACAGGAGGATGTAAGTTATATGCAAATGCTAAACCATTTAATATAAGGGATGTAAGTATCCCCAGATTCTGTTATCCATGCAAGAGTCCGGGAACCAACATCCTGCAATACTGAGGAACAAACATATATATATGGATGTGTGTATGTGTGTATTGGCGTACATATACATGCTAATAATATTGATTTCCCTCATTTCTAATAGTTATGTCTAAAATATTTTGAATAAACAATTATGTCCTAAAATGGTAATAGTAGATATTAGTTCCTCTTGTTTTTTTCTAGCTTTTTAGAATACATCTTTAGAACTCTATTATTAAGTTTAATAATGATTATTAGTCTAAAGTAAGTGTCTTTCATGATAGAAAAGGTTCCTTGGAGTAGTACTTTTAAGGTTATATTATTGTATTTTTTAAATGAGTAATGAAGTTATTTTGTTGAATTCATCTGAGCCCAGTTGAGGCCACAGATAGAGAGATACACTAGTTTCCATGACGTTCATTTATTCTCATAGTAATAGAATAAAGAAAAAAATATAATTATGGTAAAAAAAACTGTCCTAAAATTAACATCTGCTGTTTTACTTAAGGATTTTGTGTGTATATTCTTAAGTAGGACAGAACAAAAGTATACATTTCTAGCTATTACTGTAATCTTTAGGTGTGTTATTTAAAATTTGCTTTAAACATTCATTTATTTTGTAATATATTGCATAAACCAAAGAATATATGTAATATGAATGCTTCCTATGGTTGCAGTAGCATGAGATGTAGAAAAAATAACCATCTACTTAAAAATAGAAAATTACTAATGATGATGAATCTAAGCATATGTACATCTCTTGAAATATCTCATTATCCACCCAGCTTGCAGATAAAATGACTACCCTGAATATTGCACTTAGCATTTTTTAAAAAATTATTTAATTTTATCTTGCTTTTTTCCCTGATAGACATTATTATTTTATAGGTATTATTTACTTTTGCTTGGGACAGAACTTTACAAAAGTGATAATGCATAGAACCTTCTTCGATCTAATTTTTTCACTGAAAAAAATATTTCTGAGCTTCATATCAATGCATATAGTGGCAATTCATCCTCTTTCATCATATGATTTATCCTAAAACTGTTATATTTTCCCTTTTATATTTACATTATTTACCTATATAGAATTAATATTTATGTGTGATATGTGGTAGAAAGGATTCAATTTGTTTTTGTTTCATGTGGATAACCAGTTGTTCCAGCATTATGTATTAAATAATGTCTTATTTCCCAGTTACTTACAATGCAGCTCCACTATGTATGGAATTTTCTTTACTCTTTTATTTCCTTTTACACATAGGCCTGTTTCTAGTCTCCATGTTCTATTTCATTGGTCAATTTGATTATCTCTGTACCATTTTTTTCCTGGTTTAAAATGAGATTTTAGTCATGACATGAATTATACTTGGGACTTTGATTTTCCATATAAATTTTAGAATCATTCATAAAGTTTCCTGAAAAAAAGAAACCTAAGAGTTGTAGATATGTAATGATGAGTAACTAAGCTACTGATGGAATGATTGAGAATGTTCTGGAATAGAGTGAGGACAGGAAAGAAAAGAGGACTAAGAAAAAGCTCTTGGATTATTTAAGATCTGCTGATGAATGAGAAGTCAGCAAAAGGCAGTGAATAGAAATGATTATTGAATTCAAGATAAAATTCACATGAGTGTGATGTTACAAAAGGCCAGATAGTAGGCAAGAAATAGTTGTGAGACTTTAATAGATAAGAAAGGGTTGTGAGGAACAATAGAATGATCAAATACTCCTGCTGACATGAGAATTGACCCTAAGAATGTTGCACCTTGACAATTCTAAACCTGACTTTGGGAGAATTTTGAAGCTGTGACTCTGTGAGACTGTAATAAAATATACCTGTTAGACATTGATATTTTGATATTTTGAAATTGTGAGACTGAGATTGTAAGAGCTCTTTCTTCTGTCTTGCCCTACTCAGTTCCTAATTACTTTATGAAAAGAAATATCTAATCTTCCGATAATCTTCGTGTTTCCAATATGAAAGTGTTCTTCTTGCTTTGAATTTGAAAGTGTGTTCCAAAATGTTATCTGATATTTTGCTGGTTCCTGGTTACAGGAGCAAAGACAATCCTTTTCTGTCCATCTTTCATGTCCACCATCCCTGCCCAAACTTCAGCAACTGACAGGAGAGTGTCCTCTGCTCCCCACTCACCACTGTACAGTTTCATCTTTTAAACTTCTTTCTGTTTGTAACTCTGATGGCTTAAAAAATGTACTTTTGGTATATCTTGTGATTTCTTGTTATTTTGATGAAATTTATTATTCTATATATTATTCCATATCTTATCTGGAAACAAAATACTTCCACACAAACTTTTAGCATTATTCCATGAATTGTGTTAAGTTAGGTAGAAAAAATTTTATTTTAAGACTTCATTAAAATTTTCATTGTAGGCTGGTATACCTAACCTATTTTTAATTGTTCCATGATTACTTTTCAGGTTTGTGGAACATAAAATTAAATGCTTAAATCAGTAAGTTTGAATATATCTAAGTAGTACAGTTTTTATAACTTTAATTAGTTTTTTTAGTGGATTTGTCATAGACTGATAGTGGTATATGAAAGTCCTCTTCAAAATTTATTGTTTTGTCTGATCCTTGCATTGCAAACATTTTTTTTAAATTTAAAGTTGGCTGGTGCTATGTGTTTTGATACAGAAATCCAAACCTTTAGCACATATTATATTTTAATGCAAATAAAACAGCTATATAATTTTTTTGCTTTGTATTTTTTGCCTTTAATTTTTCTGATAGTAACAGAGCCATAACAGCCTCTCTCTCCTTTTTTTTTAATTTGGTGGGAGCAGTTGCCTTTTTCTCTGCTTTGAGTTTAAATTCTCTTTTTCAATTTGCTAGAATTATCATTTGTCACTAGAATATAATTAGAATGTTCCTACTTAATATCATGACATTTTCCTTTTAATAGTGTTATTTCTAAAATGTTAATATCTATTTTCATTAGAAATACATATTGAGATTTATCTTCTGTACTTCTTTATTCCTGTCTGGATTCTGGTACAGTTCTTAAGAATACATTTAACTATGACTTTTATAATTGATTTTATTGGACATGTAACAGGCCATTTTTTTACATGAATTTAGATAATTTTGAAATGAACAGTTTATTCCACTTTCTCTTGATTATTCCTTTGACTTGGAATATGTATACTTTGCATCAGACTTACTAAATTGTAGATTATTATTATAATATCTTCTTCCTTTGCCTTGACTTCTGTTTCCAACTTCATAATGTTGCCTTTCATATATATATATGCTAATAATATATAATAATATCTAATATATAATATAATATATAATATAATAATATATTATATAATATGTATAATATTTAATATATAATTATAATGTATTATAATTATATATAATATAATACATATAATATATAATATATTATAATTATATATAATATAATATATATTATATATATGTATTCAGTTTTCTGCAATGTCCATTTTGTTCTTCAATTCCTCTACCTCAATGGTTCTCAAGTAGAGGAAATTTTGCCCCCTCAAACAGTATTTGGTAGTTCCTGGAGATTTCCTTACCTTTCACAATTGAGGAATGCTACTGACATCTAGCAAAGAGAAGACACTGCAAATCATTCTACACCTTACTGTGCAAACCCCCAAAATGATTATCAGGATTGAACTGTCAATAGTGCTGAGGTTACAAACTCCTGTTTTAATCAGATATTGAGTTCTGTTGAATTATTTGCTCACTTCAACGAATTTTGTTTTAATCTTAGTCTTTATTTCAGCCTATTCTGATTTAGAGAAGATATGTTTCTCATATTATTGAAAGTACATAGATCTATTCTTGATTTTTTATGTCACTATAAGTAAAATATTTTCCCTTAAAAAATTTAGGTCACTTTTTACTAGTTTAATTTTATTTAAAATTAAAATCAATATATCCTTTGAATGAGGCTATATTGTTCAAAACTTATAAAGAATAGAAAACAGGGTCAATGTGTTTGGGAGAGAAACCACTGGTCTCATTGCTTGTAAAAGAAATTTCTGTTATTTATTTGCCCTATTAGATTTTGGGGAAGTACTATCCCTAACTATCAACCCAAAAATAAAACAGAAACCTATGATGTTTCAAAATTTTTCTCTTAGCTAAATACTATTTGGGTACATGAGATAGAATATGATTAGTTTATGTTTTTGTTATTCTGCCCAAATACTCTACAAAAATTAAAGAATACTTAATTTTCTTCACTGCCATCTGAAGTTTTGCCATTATTTTTAAATTTCCTGTTGGATTAGTTTGGGAGTCTGAGAGATGTCACATCATGCTCTCTTATATGATTCCACATTAATTTTATAAATCTATATTAAGGGAAATGACAATGTGTCTACTTTTTGAGAAGTACTACTAAATATCAGGCTTTTGATCAGAACTATACATACGTGATTTCTAGATATTTTTCATCAATTCTTGGGAAAGGGTTTGCTTATACTCAATTTACAAATTTAATTCATATCTCTTAGCTAACTTTTCAAAAATCACACAGTTATTATGAGGCTTAGCTGGAATTAGAATCATGTCTAATTGACTTCTGATCGTGGGCTATGTCACAATATTACATAATGTTAGCATTTATACAGAAGAGTGTTTGACAGTACATATGAAACTCCCAGTAGCAAATGAAAATTGTATGCCTGCCTCCACCTAGCCCCCTTTGCATTATGAATCTCCTCCTTGTCAAAACATGATATTTGTAAAATATGGCCATAAATCTAGAATGTTACCATACAAAACCAGATTGAGCTCTTGAAAGTGGTAGATATATATAGTTTTCATTTTGTGTGCTTATTTCATATTTTAATATAACAATAATATTACAAAATGTCAAGCTGAGTTTGTGGTTTGATTTGAATTTTTTTTTAGGCAAATATGGAAAATGTCTCCAGCAGAGGGACAAGCCATCCTTCATTCATGTTCTTTCTATTCCAGGTTAAAAGTGGTGCTTCTTTCAGGGCACTGAAATGGAAATGTTTTTGTGGGAGGAATAATACCTATTTTCGTGGGAGGAAAAGGTTCTGGATAATTCTTTTCAAAGATAATAAAATGAAGTTTTCCTATCAGGAATATATTCCAGAGATATTACTGTCAGGATAACACTTATGACATGAGCCTCTTAGGATTATTGCAATTATTTTGTCAGAGTGTTTTACTGATGGCTTGAATTTTCCTTTGAGGATAGATCATGTAGTAAAGATTTTCTTGTCAAGTAGATTTTTATTTGAATGGGTCCTGGTTCTGCTCACCGGGAGTGGTTCCCCAGTTCATAGTTTGCACAGCTGTTGGTTCCACGTGGTGGTACCACCTTCTTCTTCTACAATTTAACCTGACCATTTCAGAAAAGGGCATTGGGGTACATAGCATTTTTGGCAGCTGATCAAATTTCATTGTTTATTTTCTGTCTTGGGAAAGTTGGTGAGCTAGAAGTCTTTTTATGGATAATCTGAGTTTCCTGCAATTTTATACTACTTTCTCATTTTGTGGACTTACTATGTATTTGATTCCCATCTATAGCAACTCCCTCTGTTAGAAGCCACACACACCCCCAATCATATTTAAGACATTCTCCAATTTCTATGTTTAATTACTGGTTATTAGGGCATATTATGTTACCAATGTGTATTTTACCTTTAGCTTTGTATCACACTTTTCTAACTTAAAGGTTTTATTAGATCACATGACTATATTTCTTTCTGAGGTTTTAACTGAGTGTTATAGGCTTATCACATATTTGATCTTTATTCTGAAGCCATGTCATACCTAGATTTCGGTTTAGCCTTGAGTTGTATCCTAAATCAAGAATCTTTTGTTGCCTGGAGAAAATGCAGATTAAAAAATTGCTTTATTTTCTGTTAAAATAAAGCTCACCTAGAAAGTTCTAACTCTCTAATTCTGAATACAAACTCCCCAGTTCAGAGACGTGAGCCAAGATGGCTGATTAAACACAGCCAGGAGGAATAACCCCCACAGAAAGACTGGGACATTGGGAAGACAGGAATATTCTGAGCAAATTTTGAAGGGAAGACATTGTAAATGGATAGAAGGAGGATACAAATGCTGGGCTGAAGGGAGGGGAAGCTGGGAATGCTGTACAGGGCTGTGGAGCACCAAGACTCATTCTTGGCCTCCAGCAACTCCTGGGGAAGGAGTGAGTTTAACAGGTGAGAAGTGGCCCACTCTCAACAGGAACCTCAAGAATCTTAGCAGTGGGAGACTCCCATGGACGCTTGAGCTGATAAGTAGAGTTGCTTAAAAAGGTGGCAGAGGAAGGACTCTGGCTTGTGTGAAGCCCAGAGGATTTGATGCAGGAATGACTACAGTGAGCACAGCCATGCAGGCCCATTCTCCAAGGCTGGCCTTGCTCCTCTAGGAAGCTTTACCTATTAGGTGACTGTCACACCTGGATAGAGCAGGGCATTCTTGTCCATGGGATGGGGACAGTCTGATCTGAAAGATCCCTGTCTGCTGTACTTTCCTGATACCCTAACCTGGCTGTGCCCACTTGCATCACAGACTCAGATGTCAAATAGGGTGCTTACTGGGGAACTTCAAAATATCTCCTTTGCCAGTGGACATGCATGATCATCAGAGAACTCCTATATACCAGCCCACACTAACATGCCCCAGCCCACTTGCTTCTTCCCCCACCACAGCCTCCTACTGCTGCTTTCCCGTGATGCCTTCAACCACAGTGCCTCCCACCACTGTTTTGCCAGCACATGCATGTGACGGACCTTGACTCCCCTCCCAAACAGCATATGTGTGCGTGTGCAGCCCTCTGTCCCACCACTGCTAGTGGTGCAACCCCTCCTGAAGAACAGGTTCCTAACTTCAAAGGGCCGAAGAATAAACCTGGGGGCTCAGTACCAACACCCCAGAGACGGAACACGTAGCCCAGGAGTGCTAAGCTGAGCTGTGTCCCCCTAAAACCTTCCAAAATGAACCAGCTGACTGAGACCACTTTAGGCCACAATTAAACCCCTAAGTTTATCAATGAAAAATTAAAAAAAAAAAACCCATCCAAAGGACAGCAACTTCAAAGATTAAAGGAATATCAGCTGACACAGATGAGAAAGAGACAGTGCAAGAACTCTGGCAACTCAAAAAGCCAGAGTATCTTCTTACCTCCAAATGACTGCATTAGATCCCAGCAATGGTTCTTAACCAGGCCAAAATGGCTGAAACAACAGACATAGAATTCAGAATATGGATAGGAATAAAGATCACCAAAGTAGAAACCCAATCTAAGGAATCTAAGGAGTACAATAAAATGATACAGGAGCTGAAAGATGAAATGACCATTTTAAGAAAGAACCAAAGTGATCCGATGGAGCTTAAAAGCTCACTACAAAAATATCCTAATGCAATCAAAATTATTAACAGCAAAATTGACCAAGCTGAGGAAAGAATCTCAGAGCCTGAAGACTGGTTCTCCAAATAAACTCAGTCAGAAAGAAATAAAGCAAAAAAAAAAAAAAAAATAGAAAAGAATAATAAAATCTCTGAGAAATATGAGATTACATAAAGAGCCCAAATCTACAACTCACTGGCATCCATGAAAGAGAGAGAGAGAAAGCAAGCAACTTGGAAAACATATTTGAGAATATCATTAATGAAAATCACCCCGACCTTGCTAGAGAGACCAACATTCAAATTCAGGAAATGCAAGGAACCCCTGTGAGATACTATACAAGATAACCACCCCTAAGACACACAGTTAGCAAATTCTCCAAGGTTGACATGAAAGTAAAAATATTAAAGGCAGCTAGACAGAAGCAGCAGGTCACCTGCAAAGGGAACCCCATAGGGCTAACAGTGGACCTTTCAGCAGAAACTCTGCAAGCCAGAAGAGATTACAGGCCTGTATTCAGCATCCTTAAATAAATAAATAAATAATTTACAAGAATTTCATATCCAGCCAAATTAAGCTTTTTCATATTCAGCCAAATTAAGCTTCATAAGCAAAGGAGAAATAAGATCTTTTTCAGTCAAAATAATGTTAAGAGAGTTTGCTACCACTATACCTACCTTACAGGAAGACTTCAAGGTTGTAGTTAAGTATGGAAATGAATAACTATTACCAGCCACCACAAAAACACAACTAACTACAAAGACCACTGACACTATAAAGCAACTACACCATCACGTCTGCATAATAACCAGTTAATAACATGATGACAGGTTCAAAACCACATATATCAATACTAACCTTGAATGTAAGTGAGTTAAATTACCCCAATTAAAAGGCACAGAGTGGTAAGTTGAATAGAGACCCAAATTCTTCACTGTCTTCCAGAAATCCAACTCACATGCAAGGACAATCATATGCTCAAAGTAAAGCAATGGAGAAAAATCCACCAAGCAAATGGAGAATAGAAAAGATAAGGGTTGTTATTCTAATTTCACACAAAACAGACTTTAAAAAAACAATGATCAAAAAAGGCGAAGAAGGGCATTATATGATGAAAAATGGTTCAATTCAACAAAAAGACCTAATTTTCATAAATATATAGGCACCCAACACAGAAGCATCCAGATTTGCAAAACAAGTCCTTAGAGACCTACAGAGATACTTAAATAACCACAGCATAACAGTAGGAGACTTCAACATTCTATTAACAGTATTAGACAGCTCATCAATGCAGAATACTAACAAAGATATTTGGGACCTGAACTCAACAGTTGACCAAATGGACCTAACAGACATCTACAGAGCTCTCCACTCCAAACCAAGAGAATATACATTCTTTTCATCTGCACATGTCACATACTCTAAAATTGACAACACAACTGGTCATAAAACAACTCTCAACAACTTCAAGAAAATCAAAATCATACCAACTATCCTGTCAGACCACAGTGCAATAAAAATAGAAATCAATACCAAGAATATTTCTCAAAACCTTACAATTAAATAAAAATTAAACAATTTGCTCCTTATTGACATTTGAGTAAACAATGAAATTAAGGCAGAAAGCAAGAAATTATTTGAAACTAATGAAAACAAAGATACAACATACCAGAATCTCTGGGACACAGCTAAAGCAGTATTAAGAGGAAATTTATAGTGTGAAACACTCACATCAAAAAGTTAGAAAGATCTCAAATTAACACCCTAACATCACACCTAAAGGAACTTGAAAAACAAGAGCAAACCAATGACAATGCCAGCAGAAGACAAGAAATAACCAAAATCAGCAATGAACTGAATGAAATAGAGATGCAAAAAACATACAGAAAATCAATGAATTGAGGAAAAGTTTCTTAGAAAGAATAAATAAGATTGGTAGATTGTTAGCTGTACTAATAAAGAAATAAAAGAGAAGATCCAGATAAATACAATCAGAAATGACAAACAGAAAACTACCATTGACCACGTAGGAATACAGAAAAACCCTCAGAGACTATTATGAACACCTCTATGCACACAAACAAGAAAAGAAAATGTAGAACAAATGAAAAAATTCCTAGAAACATGCAACCGCTTCAGATTGAACCAAACTGAAAGAAATCGAAACCCTGAACAAACCAATTAAAAGTTCTAAAATTGAATCAGTAATAAAAAGCCTACCAACTAGAAAAAGCTCAAAATCAGAAAGATTCACAGCTGAATTCTACCAGTTGCATAAAGAAGACCTAGTACTATGCCTATTGAAACTATTCCAAAAAATTGAGGAGGAGGGACTCCTCTTTAACTCAGCCTGTGAGGCCAGCATCATTCTGATACCAAATCCTGGCAGAGACACAACAACAAAAAAACCTCAGGCCAATATTCCTGATGAACCCTAAAATACAACACAGAAAATAATATCCTGGATGTAGGACCCAGCAAATATTTCATGACAAAGATGCCAATAGCAATTACAAAAAAATAAAAATTGACTAGTGGGACCTAATTAAACTAAAGAGCTTCTACACAGCAAAAGAAACTATCAACAGAGTAAACAGACAGCCTACACAATGGGAGAAAATATTCACAAGCCATTCATCCAACAAAGGTCTAATATCCAGAATCTATAAGGAAATTAAACAAATTAACAAGAAAAAAATAACCCCATTAGAAAGTGAGCAAAAGACATGAACAGACAATTTTCAAAAGAAGACGTACATGGAGCCAACAAGCATATGAAAACATCACTAATCATTAGAGAAGTACAAATCAAAATCACAATGAGATCTCACCCTAGTAAGAATAGCTATTATTAAAAAGTAAAAAAGCAGCTGCTGGCATGGTTGCAGAGAAAAGGGAACGCTTATACACTGCTGGTGGTAATGTAAATTAGTTCAGCAATTGTAGAAAGCAGTTTGGTGATTTCTCAAACAACTTAAAATAGAACTACCATTTGACCCAGCAATACCATCGTTGGGTATATAAACACAGAAATGTAAATTATTCCATCATAAAGACATGCACACACACGTTCATCACAGCACTATTCACAATAGCAAAGACATGGAATCAACCTAAATGCTCATCAGTGGTAGACTTGATAAAGAAAATGTACATATACACCATGGAATACTACACAGCCATAGAAAAGAGTGAGATCATGTCCTTTGCAGCAACATGAATGGAGGTGGATGCCATTATCCTAAGAGAACTATTGCAGGAACAGAAAACCACATACCGCATATGCTTACTTATGAGTGGGAGCTGAACACTGAGTACACGTAGAGACACAAAGAAGGGAAAAATAGACACCAGGGTATGTATACTTGAGGGTGGAGGATGAAAGTAGGGTGAGAATTGAAAAACTCTTTGTCAGATATTATGTTTGTTAGCTGGGTGTCAAAATAATCTGTACGCCAAACCCCTATGACATGAAATTTACCTATATAAGAAACCTTCACATGTACCCCGGATCTAAAATAAAACTTAAAAACAAAATAAACCTCCCAACTTATTTTCTAAGCTCATCTCTCCTTCTTTTTTTTTTTTTGTAGTACTTAAATATATGGAATAAAGAGCAAGTAGCTCACATTTTCAGTATTTTGCACAGAGATAACCTTGTCTAAATCCAAAGATTAGTTGGATAAGACAATTTTACTGACACATACCCACCACTTTATAAGATGTGTCGTTATTTTTCAGCCTAAGTCTACTCCTTCCAAATGCTTTGGATTTCTAAATTTTGTTTACAACAATTGTGGATTCTTGCCTTTTAATATATATTAAAATATTACCAGACAATGATTAAACAGGATTAAGGAAAACAATTTCTCTTTATTATAATAGCATAAGGTGAGGAAGATGACAACCATTGGAAAAAGAGTCTAATGAACACCAGTCAATAAGAAGAAATGCTTTATTTATACCATCCTCTAGAATATGATGCTTTCCTCAAAGAGATTGAGGACAATTTTTTTTTTTTAGTTTTCCCATATTTTTTAAAGAATAGTGTAAGTTGCCATTTTTTATTTCTGTCTTTTTTTTCTTTTCTCTGCAGGAAAAGACAGAAATTCTCCAGCCAGCAAAACTGTATAATCAAATGTAAATATGAAGACACAACCTTACAACAATTTACTTACTTTACAAAAGAAAAATTCTTAACCCTTTTTAGTTTTTAAATAGTTTTCTTACTATAAAAATATGTGAGATAAAAATAGCTAAGCGTATTAATGGATAAACAAGAATTACTTAAAATAAGTCCTAGTAATATTTTTAACATCCAGTCATATATATGCAATTCTGTGGATTTTACAAATTGCATCTGATTTGTCTTAAAATAATAATACAATTTAATTTACATGAATGGGTAAAACATGAGATATATGCATGTCATTTTGAACTTACAATTAGGGGAGATGTTTTTAAATTAATATAATATAAAGTAATAGCCATGGACTATATCTATAAATTGGATACTTAGATTATGCCTATAAAGTTAGAAATTATTCATTAATTAATTTTAAAGTATTTATTAATTTAATTTTAAAGTATTTATTAATAATCTAAACACATTCACTACCTCAGAGTAAAGAGGCTTGTTTCATAACCAAAAGAGAATCATGAAACTCTGAAGAGATTTCCAAATGCATTTGAAAAATCTTGGCAATTCTTTGAAATGAACCTCAAAACTGAATATTAAACTTTGAGACTGCAAAATAACAATTTAGCTTCTAATGTCATGTACAAAGACAACAAGTTATAGAGGTAAGGTTCTGTCCTTGTCCATTTTATTGAGTCTACCTGGCAGTAGAAAAAAAAAATCAATGATATTTCTGGTCACAAAAGAAAGAATTTACTTAGTAAGAAATTGATTACTTTAAATACAGTCTGCAAGATATTTCTAAGTTGAAACTATGTCATAAAACAAAGATCTATACCTACTTGCTATTTTACAAAACATCATATGCCAACAATGACATTTGGTCATTTAGGGGAACTTTTGTATATACCTTTATTATGCAGGCATATCACCAAGTGTAGTTGAGAAGCACTATGGAGGAAATGTGTTTTTTTAAAAAAATGACAAACATTTTAAGATCTTCTTTTGCAGGGGGAGAGAAAGTCTTATTTGTGGATATAAGATTCTATCATTTAAAATTCAAACTATAGGACAAGAATTCTAGCTCTCCAACTTACTAGCTATATGATCTTAGTCAAGTCACTTGACTATCTTAACTTTCTCATGCAATTAAAATTTGTTAATACTATTACATGCTTAACAGCCACATTTACAGAGTTGTTTGAGATAATACATGTACATGCCTGGCACAAATAAAAACTCAATAGCTATTGGCCAATATTATTAATGTTGTTTTTGTTATTGTTATTATTATTCATAATAGTAATCACATTAGTATGTGCAGAGCAAATATCTTACTTTCTTTGAATACTTTGCACCATAGCTTTTTTGCCTCCAGGATTTTTTCTTTACTTAAACTACATGGTTGTGGTTAGAAAAACACTTAATCAGCACTTTATTGTACTTTGCTAAAAATGAGAAATAATCGTGAAGACAGAATGAGAAATAATTATGATGATAGTAAGGGGGGATCTTTTTAAATGTGGGTAGGTTTCACCTAAGCTCAAGTATTCTAATAACTGCATTTATATCAAATTTTTCTAAGATGATATCCATACTGTTCATATCAGTGGAATTCTCAAAGAAAAATCTTCCATTTCATTTAAGTCTCTGCACAGATACTATGAAATTTGAAGACATGAATTAGAAAGCCAGGTTTATTTCCTCAGAAAAACAAATGTGAAACTGCTAAATACAATGTGGTACAATTGAGGATAAGTGGTATTCGCAATTAGTATTTATTATACTAATAAGCTAAATCTCTTAACAGTCAGTAAGTTTGTAAAGTAATTTGAATGAGAATATGTTACCTCTCTGGAAAACTGTTTGACTGATGGTTTCATGATTACAATGATGAGTTGTCCATTCCAAAATTTAGCTATAAATGTTGACATTGGAGAAAGAGGTGATATTTGGACAAACTACTACACCCGTCTCTTGTCTCTCTTTCACTCCTTCCCTTTATTATTACTAATGGAATTTTAACTACATTTCTCTAACTTCGGGAGATTCAGTGGAAATATTGATACACATCTCAGCTATCTTCAGAGTTGTTCATGTCTAGTATTACTATCTATGGTGCATATTTTGAACAAATATAAATTATTATTTATGGTCAAGTACCAGCTTTGAAGACATAAACTCATAGTTAGAAAAAAAATCAGAATAATCTGTATAACATCTCTGGAACTCTAAATTTTTTCTTTTTTCTTTTTTTTTTCGAGATGGAGTTTTGCTCTTGTTGCCCAGGCTGGAGTGCAGTGGCGCAATCTCGGCTCACGGCAAACTCCGCCTCCCGGGTTTCCCAAAGTGCAGGGATTACAGGCGTGAGCCACTGCGCCCGGCCTGAAAGTCTAAATTTTTTAAAGATAGAAGTTGCCTCTATTTTTTTGACAACGCCTGCCTACCAACAAAATTATTTTTATAAGAATTTTTAATTTATTCAAAATAAATAGAAGATACAGTTTTTTTAAAAACGTTCTAATGCATTGGCTGGGCACGGTGACTCACACCTGTAATCCCAGGACTCTGGGAGGCGGAGGCGGGCGGATCAGGAGGTCAGCAGACCGAGACCATCTTGGCTAACACGGTGAAACCCTGTCTCTACTAAAAATACAAACAATTAGCCGGGCATGGTGGCAGGCGCCTGTAGTCCCAGCTAATCGGGAGGCTGAGGCAAGAGAATGGCGTGAACCCGGGAGGCAGAGCTTGCAGTGAGCCGAGATCGCACCACTGTACTCCAGCCTGGGCGACAGAGCAAGACTCTGTCTCAAACAAAAACAAAAAACAAAAGAAACAAAAATTCTAATGAGTCATACCAATGACATCGCCTTAGAAGTTATGACTGTATACATGCTCTGTCAAAATATTATCCTCTGTTGTGTTACTTTTCTGTACATATGTAGAGTAAGGAGAGGATCAAAAAGAATCTTTAAACCAAACATTTGGTAGGTCATATGGTTTGTTTTTGGATGTCCCAGTCTACCAGTTAATTCTTGTGTCGCCAGTAAAATGGAAAGGAGGCTAATAGAAACAAAACAAACAAACAGGGCAGTGTTAGTCTGCTTTGTGTTGCTGTAAAGGAATAACTGAGAATGGGTTGTTTATAACGAAAGGAGGTTGATTTGGCTCATGGCTGTGCATGCTGGGCAAGAAGTATGGTGCCAGCTTGGCACCATGGTGAAGCCTCAGGAAGCTTTTTGTCATAGCAGAAAGCAAGGGGAGCTGGTGTGTCACATGGCAAAGGGGAGAGCAAGAGAGAGAAGGGGGAGAGCAAGAGATAGAAGAGGGAGAGGCCAAGCTCTTTTAAACTACCAGCTTCGGTGTAAACTAATAGAGCAAGAACTCACTCATTACTGCAGGAATAGCACCATGCCATTCATGAACAATCCACCTTCATGACTCGAACACCTCACGCAAGGTTCCACCTCCAACACTGGAGATCACATTTCAACATGAGATTTAGGGGCATCAAATATTCAAAGTATATCAATGTCCTTCCTTTATTTTTGTTTGTTCTTTCTAGGAGACTTTAGGAGTTTCTTAATAGTTTAAAGCAGCAAAAAACTAAATTTTAGCAAGGGCCTGTCATACATTTCACCTTGAAATCAACTGCCTTGAAAGTATATTCTTAACTGTAAAATAATCATGGGGAAATAGTTGCTGCCTTCATAACAGTATTTTGAAAGTTTTTGAAATTATTTGAAAATAAAATTAACGAGTAATTTAAAAATTAATCTCTTTGTTTACTATGTATTGCTATTTACATGATTATTTATTAAATGCAGCTATGGCTTAAGATAATTTTATCACCTCTCAGGAGGTAGAAGGAAGTGGCTGTGAATTAAATAAATAAGACTTTTAAGAAATGTTATAGATAAATATTGTGCATTCAGTAACTTAAAAAATATTCTGAAAGTAACAACTCCCAATGACAGGTAATATAGCTAGTGAGTTATCTAGCAGTCTTGATGTTGTTTCCTATGCCTAAGATGACTCTTCTTTTGTTTCTCTGGAAACTCATTCTTCAATACCCACCTCTTGAATTTCCTCCTCTGCATGAATGCCGGTGACTCCTCCAGCCATTGTCTCATTTGTGCAATGGTAGAGCCTAATATTATATAGCCTGTCATTATTTATGAGTGTGAACTTTTTTGGTATGGTGAATTCTCTAGAGGAGAGACATCAATGTTATTCATCTTTAAGGTCTCAGCAATTTTGAGTTTCTGTAACATACCAGATAGTACGTGTTTTAAAATGAGATGGTCTTAGAAGATCCCCAATTACACAGTTGACTAAGGATTATTCTACTCAGCCCAGACCATAGGGGTTTGAAATATTCTCTCCTTCGGTGAAGATTGTGATATGAGGGTAGAAACATGTGAGGTGTTCTTTCTCATGTTGTAGAAACAGATACTGAAAAAAAGAAGCTCCCATCAAAAAGTTACGAATAGTACTTAAAGCAGCAAGACTCTTTGAAAATAGGTCATTCTGAATGACAAAGCTTCCTAGTTTTTTTGTGTATTTTTTCCTTTTAAAGTGAATGTTGGCACCTGTTTTTCTTTTTAACACTTCTGAAGACAACTGAGCTTAAATATCATTTTTATGTAATGTCTTCGAATTCTGAACAAAAAACATACTTTGCATTAAGTCTTAGTAGTTCTGTTAGGATACTAGTGTCCTTCATTTCACCACCATCTGAGCTAATCAGTGATCAGCTGGGTTGACTTCATTTTCATGTAAAACTGTACAGAGTTCTTTTTATTTTCTTCCTTGTGTATATTGCACCTAAAATTTTAAAAGGCATAAAAGCTATGCTCAAGTGATTTCAGATTAAAACAAAGTAGTTTGGGCAGTCAAGCTTTAATCAAAGGTTCTGTCTCCACATATTTATGTGCAAAATTCAAAAGTAATATTTATCAAATAAGGAAATCTTAAAGCCTTTACTAACAGCTATATGACCTACACTTTTGTATGTTATATAATATTTAATTCTTTTTGAGCTGAGAACTTTAGACAGAAATCTTTTCAATAAACATAGCCTTTCCAAAAGACTCCAGAAGCACTGGGCTACTCAACGTACATACACACAGGTAAGTATTGGAGTCCCACCACAGAGAAGGTAATAGGTGGATTATGTGTACATGCAAGAAAAAAAGTGGTCATGTTCCTTGCCCTCAAGGAAGTTAAAAGCTGGTTGAATTGGGATGCAGTGCTTGTAACCAATAGAGTAACTAAGAATGTAGAAATATGCAGAAGATAATGAGCAATAATTTTCATCAGTATTTCCGATGGAAATTGGAAAATTTTCTGATGGAAATGGAAATTTTTCAACTAATGAATTTGTCTCAGTCATACAACTGAGATAGAAGGTGATAGAGGTACATATTTCAGGCAGAAAAAACAGAAAGCTTGAAGTGGAAAGCGTTCAGTGCACAGATGATCATCTACTTTATCTCATCACAGTATTGGGGTGTAGGGATTATGCCATCTAAGAGTCACATGAGTAAAAATTTGAAGAGCATGAGCTTATGGGGCACTACATTCCAGCAGAGAGAGGCAAGCTTGAAGAGTTTAAGGTCCAGCATACTTGGTATGTTCCAGAAGCAAAATGATGCCAGCATGGCCAGAGCAGGGAGAGGGACAGAGGAATGGGAGATAAGGTCAGAAGTAAGGCAGAAGGGGAGGGAATCCTGCAAGGAATTCCTGGTAGGCTGTTTAGAACTTGAAATAAGCTGGGAAGCCACGGCAGGGGTGTGAGCCTATGTGTCATGGCACATGATACCCTTGCTATGTTAACTCTTACATTCATGAAGTCAAATACTTAACAAACTCAACGAAATTGTCTCAGATGACCTGGATGTAAGAGTAGAACTTTAAAAACTACTTATAAACAGATCATTATTGGATTTTCACATCTCACATATCTTTTTCCTGAGCTCTGTAGATTTCTCCAGAAACTTCCCCACCTCCTTCTCCTGAGTGACTCCCATCCACTAAGTGACTTTATGATGCTACATATTTCTAAAAATTTTATACAAGGAGCAAAAACTGGCATGAAAAAGGGTATATTATCTTCACAGACATATCTTTATTTTTTTCTCCCAAGCATTGATTTAAAATTCGTAAATATCACGTTTTTATTGCTTCTCTTGAAAAAACACATAATCCTCTGAATAATGAAATATTAAAGAAGACACTGGACTTCTGGAAGTAATGTAACATTAGACTGTCGATGAAAAGAGACAAATGCTAAAAAATATGTAAAGAGAGACCAGGCGCAGGGGCTCATGCCTGTAATCCCAGCACTTTGGGAGGTGGAGGTTGCAGTGAGCTGAGATTGCACCACTGCACTCCAGCCTGGGTAACAGAGTGACACGCCATCTCAAAAAAAAAACAACATTTTAAGAGGTCTAATCTGAGGCAAATATAAGTGGCCAAGGCCCATCATGCAGCTCCTGGAGGTCCTGATGACATATTCCCAAGATAGTTGGGTTACAACTTGATTTCACACAATTTAAGGGGACAGAAGTTATAGGTAGACATCAATCAATACACATAAGGTGTACATTGGTTTGATATGGGAGGGTGGGACGACTTGAAGCTGGAGGCTTCTAGGTCACAGGTGGATTCAAAGGTTTTGTGACTGGCAATTGGTTGAAAGAGTTATTGTCTAAAGACCCAGAATCATGACAAAGGAATATCTGGGTTAAGATAAGGGTTTGTGGAGATCAAAATTCTTATTATGCAAATGAAGCCCCCAGGTAGCCGACTTCAAAGAGAACACATGGTAAAGGGGCCGAACTCATAGTTTAATCTCTCCTGGATCAGGAAAAGACCTGGAAAGGTGTTAAAAGAGAAAATTTCAGATGAATTAGATTTAAAAGAGTTTAACTTAGCAAAGAACAATTCATGAATCAAGCAGCCTTCTGAGCCAGAGTAGGCTGAGACTCCAGTGCAGCACCGTGGTGGGAGAAAATTTATGGACAGAGAAAGGAAAGTGACATAGGGAAAACGGAAGTGAGATACAGAAACAGCTGGATTGTTTATAGCTTGGCATTTGTCTTATTTGAACAGGGTTAGAACAGTTGGCCACATTTGGTTTGCCAAAACTCATGATTTGCACAAGAGTAGGCTATGGTCTGTTTGAACCTCCACTTGTTATAGTTGACTACAGCGAAACCTTTAGGCTGAACTTAAACTATGTAAGGAGGGAGCTTTAAGCTAAACTTGATTTAGCAATTGGAAGGAGATTCTCTATGGAATGTAGATATTCCCCACAAGAGACAGCTTTTCAGGGACATTTCAAAATATGTCAAAGAAATATATTTTGTTGCAAAATACTTCAATTTCTTTCAGCGCCTACTATCTGTTATGTGATGCTATGCTAGAGTCAGGCTGGAATCTGGTATCTTATTGCTACAAAGAGTCTGTTTTGTCGGTCTAAAGATCTCTGTTTTAATATTAATGTTGGTCAGTTGTGCCTGAGTTTCAAAGGGAAGACGGTATAATGTGCCATGTTCAATTTCTACTTCTGGTCATGGCCTACATTAGTTTTTCTGATTTGCTTTAGTCAAAAATCGGGTCCGTTCAGCCAGTCAGGGAGCTTAGAATTTTATTTTTGGTTTAGAAGACTTGTAACAGCAAAATGTAAAATCAGGACAGTATGTGATAAATGCTCTATTATCAAGTATTAATTATAATAATGATTACACTTTTAATTTAAACAAATATTTACATTTACTTATATAATAATATAATACATAAATTTATTTTTAAAATATTTTTAATTGTTATTATTATTAAACCATCATATTCTCTCTTCCAATATACTTATATATATATATATATATATATATATATATATATAAAATATATATATCACAGTGTTTTTTTTTTTGAGATGGAGTCTGGCTCTGGAGTGCAGTGGTGCTATCTTGGCTAACTACAAACAAGCTCTACTTCTTGGTTTCAAGCAATTCTCCTGCCTCAGCCTCCTAAGTAGCTGGGATTACAGATGCCCACCACCATGCCTGGCTAATTTTTGTATTTTTAGTGGAGACAGGGTTTCACCATATTGGTCAGGCTGGCCTCAAGCTCCTGACCTCAAGTGATCTGCCCACCTCAGCCCCAAAGTGCTGGGATCAGAGGGGTCAGTCAACCCACCTGACCATATTACACATTTTTATTAAATTAATATTTATTATTTGAATCACTATGACAATTGTAACTACTATCTAAGTAGTGAATATATATTCCCATTTCATTTCTTGTGATTTAAAAAAAAAACTCATTTCTTCTGGAATTAATCATGATTAGTCTATGATTTTGCCACTTTCTCCCTTCTTCCTGAAAATTCTTCTCAACTGTATTCCTAATGCTACTTATCCCTATGTAGTCAAATACATCCAATAATCTATTGTTATTCCTCCAAGAAATATTTCTTTCATGGAGGGACTGCTTCATTTTCTTGTTTCTTTTAAAAGTTGAATTGTAATGTACACGTTTCAAATTACATCTCTCATAGATACACAACAAAATGGTTATCACTAAGTAAACACACTCATTTTATATATGGATGGTAATTGCCATCCATATATAAATGACTATAATGTCATTTATAATGTCTTGATGGAATAAAAGTTTATTAGAATCTATTACACAACAAATTAAAATATGGTAATTACCATCCAAATAAATAAATAAAATCTGTTAGCAATCCTGAAGCCCCTAATCTAGCTCTATCCCCTAAAATAGCTAACATTCTGATTTCTATCACTATGTAATGAGTTTTACCTTTTTTGAAATTGGTCAATTTCAAGCAGGAAAACAGAAAGCTTGAATTGGAAAGCTTTCAGTGCACACAGGATTATCTACTTTATCTCTGGTGCATCATAGCATTGGGCTGTATGTATTACGTCAGCTAAGTGATATATAGGTAAAAATACCTAAAGCATTTTTTGAAATGCATAAAAACATAATTATACAGAGTTAGTTCTCTTGATTCTGGCTTCTTATACTCAACTACCTTTTGCGGGTTCATCCTCATTGTTCTTGGTAGTAACTCTTTAGGAATTTTTAGTTCTGTGTAGCTGTGAGGTCCGATAGAGTAGCAATTAGACATGTTTGGCTATTGAGTGGTATACTGCAAGTGATCCCAGTCCAGTCCAACTTCCAGCCTGGTCTTCGAACTTACTTGGAGTGCTTTGTAGGAATCAATTCTGATAGGTCATGTCTTCTCTGGCCTCAGAGCCTATAAGATACACTGTTAAATTCCATGATTAGTGCATTTCATTTGTGTTTATTTTCTTATGTATGCAAAGATTTCTAGTTTCACTTGGACTTTTTAATTCTTCCTTTTTATTACTGTAACATGTTCAAAGAATAAACTTATGTCCTATTGCCCTGAAATCACAAAATCTTTTCTATGAGACATACAATGAATGTAAAAAACACAAATCTAGTGAGGAAACTTACCAATAGGGCTTCATGTGCCCATAGCTCTTTATGAAGTGCATACATCTCTATAATTCTATTTTTCTGAAAAAGGACAAGATTGCATAGGATATATAAAATCATACAAATTGATAGTCAAAATACAAATTAAATAATAATACCCTAGCCAGAATGAAGTGTTGATAGTATAGAAAATATTAGGAAATTAAGCATTTATTATAAACTATGAGATATACAAAGTGCCTCACATGGACGACATAAAAATTTTTGATGCCAAAAGTATTGTAGCTATCTTTTAAAGATGAAATAGCCTATTTTCCTCCCCTTTAGTTTAAGGATTCACAGAAGTTTTCTGAAGAAAATCTTGGGGTTAGTCAAGACAAACTTTTCAACCTTTTGTCTTGACAGAGGTGGCTTACTATTTACCTACACTCATGTTACTGGGGCTCTTTCTTCTTCTGGAAAGATATAATCTTAAATGGAAGATTGCAGGAGACATGATAATTCTACCAAACATTACATTTGAAAATTAAAGGTGAAGTTGGAGAATCCAGTCAGTTTTTCCTCCCCTATCAGAAGTTTTTTGTTTGTTTGTTTGTTTGTTTGTTTTTGAGACGGAGTCTCGCTTGGTCGCCCAGGCTGGAGTGCAGTGGCGCAATCTCGGCTCACTGCAAGCTCCGCCTCCCGGGTTCATGCCATTCTCCCGCCTCAGCCTCCCGAGTAGCTGGGACTACAGGAGCCCACCACCACGCCCAGCTAATTTTGTTTTTGTATTTTTAGTAGAGACAGGGTTTCACCGTGTTAGCCAAGATGGCTCTCCTGACCTCCTCTGATCTCCTCTGATCTCGATCTCCTGACCTCATGATCCTCCCGCCTCGGCCTCCCAAAGTGCTGGGATTATAGGCGTGAACCACCGTGCCCAGCCATCAGAAGATATTTTAGCTTGTTCTGTAATGGATTCCAATAAACTTTTATTCCATCAAGACATTATGAAATAATATGTATATATATAGTATATGTGTGTCTATATATATTACACATGTGCATACATATATATTTTCTTTATGTGCAAATATTTAGTATATATATATTGCAATAGATTGTAAAATCTAGTTCGTAATCCTTTGTACATTTTTTATATACAACATATTTTGAACATATAAGAATTAAGTAAAGATTATCTTAAAGTTATCACTCCTAGAATGGATTAAACTTAGATAGCTTATCAATAGGATGAATTTTTAGCTACTGCTTAGTCTTAGAAGGGATTTCAGAGAAGGTAACTGATTAAGAGTATGTCTAGGTGTGAGCAGAGAGGTCAGAAAGACATGACTCTAAAGGAACACAAGGAAAATGAACGTAACTAGTTGAAATAGGGAGAAGCCATCAAAATCCAGCATTGCTTGCTGACAATTTTTTTCTTGAAATTAATAAATGCATTTATCCACAGAGTCTTTACTAAAAATTATTTCACCAGCTATATTTGGTAGGCTTGCCATATGCTGCCAACTGATGATCTAGACTCTGGGAAAATTTTTGTGTATATGACTGTTTTCAATGTTGGAAATGCTTTTTCACACATTTTCCATGAAGTGAAATTCATAATGTTCTAAATACCTTCTAGGCAATAATTCTGCGTCTATTATCATGTCCCAGTATGTCCTTTACTTATCATAAGTCTGTTAAACATTCTTAACAGAATGATTTGAAAATGAAAACAGTTATCATGTAAACACACTTTGGCTTATAAACTATGAACTGTATGAAAAAGTAAATCAAATTATACTGTCATGAACTGATTACATAAAAGTACCAAGTTTGTGCCTGGTACATTATAGCTACTAATCAAAATATTATTTTTAGTCAGATATCATTATTACTAACATTAAAATGATTTATATAAGCATTCCAGATTACAGGACAAATTGACAAAAACAATTGATCAAATCTAAACTTCTTAACACAAGGTTTAAACAATGAAAGGAGTATTATAGTTTGAATTCAGATTCATGTTTTTTTCACTCATATTCTTTCAATCAACAAATATTTATTAATTCTCTAATAAATATCTGGCAGTGTACAAGGCATTTTATGGGTGCAAAGTTGAGTAAGACACATTGAGTTTACCAATGGTGAATTCAGAATTGAATATGAGATATGTCCATAAAAAGCTATAGAAAGTGGCATATGGACTATCTACACTGCCCTGTATTCAATCATTGTTTTATCTACTTGCCAATCTATAATCTATGATACGGTTTGGCTGTGTCCCCAACCAAAGATCAACTCAAATAGTAATAATCCCCACATGTCAAGGGTTGGGCCAGTTGGAGACAATTGAATCATGGGGGCAATTTTCCCCATACTGTTCTTGTGGTGGTAAATAAGGCTCATGAGATCTGATGGTTTTATAAATGGGAGTTCTTCTGCACAAGCCATCTCTTGCCTACTGACGTGTAAGACATGGCTTTGCTCCTCATTCGCTTTCCACCATGATTGTAAGGCCTCCTCAGCCATGTGAAACTGTGAGTCCATTAAACCTCTTTTTCTTTATAAATTACCCAGTATTGGGTATGTCTTTATTAGTGGCGTGAGATCAGACAAATACAATCTATCTGACATCTCTTGGTAATAAGATTATTTCATAAATTGACTCTAGCATATTGAATTATATCTTCTTATGATAATAAAGTTCTTGATTTTTTCTGGACTTTTGAATTTATTTTGGGGACAACCATAAATTGACTATTGATCATATTGAACTTTAAATTTCGATACCATGGATAGTATTGGTTCTGATTAACACTGTAAAATGCTCAATCCCAATGCACTATTTCCACAATATTTATGATTTTTATGCTTCAAAATGAGTACTAGAATTTTGGTGCCACAACCCTTTTCAATTCTTTTAATAAGATTATTTTTCCTGGTGTGAAATAATTAAATGTACATTATTTGCTCATCGTAACAAGATTGGAGCAAAGTTTTTGTTCTAGATCAACTTTCTGTACATTGCCAGTAATCACAATGTCTTATAAAAAGGAATCATTTTTATTTAATTTTTATTATTTAATAAATTTTTCTCATATTTTACTTTGACTTTTTAAAATAAAACACTAAATATTATATTAAATGTGATTTTAGAGACTAAAAGTGCCAGATATTATGGCATTATGAAGAATACAAAGGGTCCTTTAAGGTTTCAATTATTAATATGTGTATATTACATGAGTTCAAATAGGCTCATTTAGGAAAGTATAATAAATTAAATCTTGTCCATGTGTGAAACTCAATTATTCTAACTTTTAAAAATGGAAGGTTAAATATAAAGAGTTAGAAAATGCATTATGGTATATTTCAATGAATGTGGTATACCACAGCCTGTATTTGTGAGCTTCCAGGGCTATAGTTTGTAATGGTTCATGGCACTCCCAATAATAAGTCTGTAGGAAGTTTTGTTATAAATGTCCCAATTCTTTCATTTGCCCTATCGCAGTGCATGCTGGGATGCCTAACTGTGTGAAATCAAGCCATGGATTATCCTTTTACTGCCACTTTATCCTAGGGGACATGAACTTGAAAACAAGCCGGCTGTGCTCTGGTAATAAATTCAGAGTCAAATTTGTTTGTATTCTAGTTATAAAAATGACAAGCCAAATTTATTTTAAATTTAAAAACTTCACTTTTTGCTAAAGCACTGTAACAGTGTTTTTGGCTTGAGTTTTGCAATATACTAAATATATATATATATATATATATATATATACGTGTATATATAGTATATTTTATAACAGAAAATTTGTATTTATTTGATACATTTATTAGAATTATCTACTGGTATTATTTGTATTATTTTTAGTGTATACTCAGCTTTGTGAATGAGAAGGATCTTCTTGAAAATCTTTTATATTCAACAGTGATTCTGACATATAGTGAGTTGATTCACTTATAAAAAAGCCTAAGTCCATGTGAACTTAACACAATAAGAAATATTGAGAAATCTTCTCCTTAGCAATTTTACAATCTAAAGTGCCAGTGCTTTGAGAGTTTAATGAGATGTTTATTTTGTTATGATGAATATTGCTACTATAGTTCGTATATGACTGGAGTGGACAATATCAATATGCAATTTTTAATGACAATTAGTAAAATAAAATAATGTCCAGAAAATATTAGTCAATTTAAGTATCATATTAAAATATTGTGTATGCTGTATTTTTTTCTAGTTTAGTAGTGTAGAGATTAATAGACTAAATTTGTTCAGAAAGAACAAATTGACAACAGTTTTCAGAGGTTTTGTGTGGAAATTATTTATAATGAATGCTGAATTTAATTTTTCTCATTAAAAAGAGGACCACATCATTCAACATTTTGAATTTCAGTAACAGTTGATGGCTCAGCTCTCCAAATAAAGTCTTCTACAAATGTTATTTGATTTATTTAAAAGCTGCCTTTAAAGCAACTTCCCAAGGCAGTTTCTTAGGAACATATATCTTAAAACTCTTGAATACAAATGAAATTTTCCTATGACAGGAAGCACAGTGTTTGGATTGCAGAGTAAACTGAGCAGCAAAAGTTCTGTGTCAATTCTTTCAAAAGTCTCATAGTTCCTGGGAGACTTTAAAAATACTTCCTGTCACAAAATCTTCAATTATTTAAAAAGTATACTAAGATGTTTACCTCATATAGAAAAATAACTATAGGAATGAGTGAGGGAATAAGGAGAGACTTGTTAAGTTTTGGAAATTTAATTGAAATTTAATGCTCTTTCTAATTTCCACTGAAATGTTAATGCACTGTGAGATGATAGCATGTATTTGTTTTATGTCAGGGAAATTATCAGTTAACGTTTTTTGCATGCAAGGCAGAGCAGTGCTGTTGCCTTGGAATGGAGACTAATACTCTAAAGCTGAAAACAAACAAACAAACAAAAAAACAAACAAAAAAAACTTATTTTGTTCCTGCTACTCCCTAAAGGGAATTACTACAGGCCTTACAAGGAGAGTGCTGAACAGGTTTACCTTACGATTTTTTTCTTTACTGCCCTCTGGCTTACTCCAAGTCTATTTAAGAGAAGTAGAGAAATTCAAGGAAAAATGGCATGGAATATAGTCTTCAGACTAGAGGAAGAAAGCAATGTCTTTTTGATCCTCCCTACCCATGCTAAAGGACTGTTTACAAAAGTCACTTACTGAAAGTGGGCCATGCCTGTATGAATGACTATCGGTATAACATGACCTAGTGGGACATTTGCCTAAGCAGGACACTTGTTGATCTGCCTTCGAATTTTATTGAAAGAAAACTTGACTAAGTGGGCAGGCTGGAAAGAGAATGAAGAGATTAGTCTCCCAACAATCAACAAAATTTTATATTATATATTCTAATTATTAAGAAATTCAACTCATAATAAATACTCTCGTGTTTTATTTTGCCTTAACCACCATCTTTTTTTTTTTTTTTTGAGGCGGAATCTTGCTCTGTCGCCAAGGCTGGAGTGCAGTGGCGCAATCTCGGCTCACTGCAAGCTCCGCCTCCCGGGTTAACGCCATTCTCCTGCCTCAGCTTCCTAGCTGATTACAGGCGCCCGCCACCAAGCCCGGCTATTTTTTTTTTTTTTTTTTTTGTATTTTTTAGTAGAGACGGGGTTTCATCATGTTAGCCAGGATGGTCTCGATCTCCTGACCTCGTGATCCGCCCGCCTCGGCCTCCCAAAGTGCTGGGTTTACAGGCGTGAGCCACCGCGCCCGGCCGCCTTAACCACCTTCTTGACACTTCTCAGATCCTCTGTTATTTTCTCCTCTCATTACTCTGAGCAACAACTTTCTTTTCCAGATATTTTTAATTGGTTTGATTTTTGGGTTTTTCATTTTTTCTTACTTGAAAACACAGTCCTCTCTGTCATATGGATACCAAAACAATTGCATTAAAAAAGATAAATGAAGTTAGGTCTCGGGTGACGTGCATGTTTAAAAGTGAGTCTGCAAAATCAGTGTGTGAAAAACTTACCTGTGGTAGAATCTGGCTTCTGTATAGTGATCAATATCCTCACTTCTTGCTGCATGAAGATCTTTATTAAAAGACAATAGCCTTTTTCTAAATGTTGAAACTATGTTAACGTGTAGAGCTAAATGTTAGTTGTCAGTAATGAGAGTCTACAGCTTAATTTCTAGGTTAGTATTACAGACACCTGGATACTGTACCTCCAAACCAAACCATTCTATAGATTTCAACCTGATCTAAGATCAAGTATAAGAGAATCCAGTAATATATTTAGTATATGTAAGATAAATGTTTAATAGTTGACCACTAACTCAGGAATCTCACCCCAATAAAATTTAAAATAACAATAGCAAAGAAGGCTCTTACATGTAATTTTTCTCCAAATAAAATTAAAAATAGTATTACCAATGAATATTCTTACATATATAGTAGTAAACTAATTCTGGCATTTTTATATAATGTATACAAGTATAAATATCTGAAAAATAGTTAACTCAAAAGCAATAACCTATATTCACATTTTTCTATTTTAATAAAAGAAATAAAAATTTTATGAAAGAAATTACAACAGAAACTTTTCTAAAAACACTTTTTTGTGTGTGAATAAACACTTCCTAACTTCCTCAGATATTTAATTTGAATATTCCACAAAAAGAATCCAAAATAAAACACTTGTCTGGGATCACTTGAAAAATTCTCATATTCTTATGAAAAATTTTTCCGGGGTGTATTCAGCAGTCCAAGTACCAGAGAACAGACACACACACACACACTCTCACACACACACTCACACTCTCACACACACACACTCATACACACTCTCACGCACACACTCACACGCACACTCACACACACACACACACACACCCCTGTTTCCATGTGTAAATAAATGAGTGGTAAGATAAATATACTATTTCTGTCTTGGAGCTTTATAATCAGCTTTATTACCATACTAAGAGTCAAAACAATTCTTCACTAAGTAGTTTTTGAGATGGTGTCTCGCTCTGTCGCCCAGGCTGGAGTGCAGTGGTATGATCTCGGCTCACTGCAACTTCCACCTCCAAGGTTCAAGCGATTCTCCCGCCTCAGTCTCCTGAGTAGCTGGGATTATAGGCACCCACCACCATGCCCAGCTAATTTTTTTTTTGTTTGTATTTTTACTGCAGACGGGGTTTCACCATGTTGGCCAGGCTGTTCTCAAACTCATGACCTCAAGTGATCCACCCACCTCAGGCTCGCAAAATGCTGGGATTATAGGCGTGGGCTACGGTGACTGACCCAGAAATAAGTTTTAAGTTGAAATTAAAAAATATATATATATATAAAATATATATATATGTAGGACTGTTTTACATTGTACTTACTAAAATGCGTGGAGTTTTGAAACATACTTGACTTCAGATTTAGGGTATTACAACAGTCTATAATAGATTTGTTCATAGATATTACTTCTGTAAATATGAATTCTTGCAAGATTTTGTGAGAGTGACAAAATTCAGCTATATGTCTTTTACTTAAATTATTTGGAAATATTATGTTGAATATGGTTTCTGCTAAAATTTCATTTACTGAAAATAACATACATTTGTAAGTTAATTTATGATATCTTCTAAAAAGGCTGCTGTGGTAGACCACCACCACCTGTGATTCACTTATGAAGTCTGTCATATTCTAGAATTTATAAGTTTTGTATAGGTTTGTAGCTCAAAAGTAAAATTTTTATAATGGATAAATCTTGACTTATTATTCCCCTGCCTGAAGGCAAATCATTTTTATACATTTTTGTGAAAAGAACTTTATACTTTGAAATTTAAAAAGGCGTCACTCTTTTAAAGCAAATAAGTTATTCTTTCCTCTGTTCATCTCTACAAGATGTCATGCAAGAAACAGAACCCAAAGAAATATGTTGAAGAACATATTAAGTATGAGTTAGAGTAGAAAAATGCACTGTATTCCCTAAAATAATATTTTGACAATATTTTCCAATTGCTTGTTAATGCTTTTAGTCTAGGTTTTTGTGCTTTCTTAGAAATAGTTATAAATAAATTGACATTCTTCGTATAAATGAGCATTCAATACCCCTGAAAATAATGTAAACATTTTCCACTTATTTTAAAAGTGTATCAGGGAAAAGGAAGCCTAGCATGACTAACTTCATTTTGCTCCTAATCTCCCCGCCCCTGCAATGATCTCTTATAGGTTACTGCATTTGCTTATCTCTGCAGGTAGGCCAAGCTAACTATGGGAGGAATTTGGTTTATAGTTTAACTTTATTTTCTTTTTAAATTTTACTCTAAGTCCTGGTATACATGTGCAGAATGTGCAGATTTGTTACATAGGTATACATGTACCATGGTGGTTTGCTGCACCCATCAACCTGTTGTCCAGGTTTAAAGCCCCACAAGCATTAGGTATTTGTCCTAATGCTCTCCCTCCCCTTACCCCTAACCCCCCCACAGGCCCCGGTGTGTGATGTTCCCTTCACTGTGTCCATGTGTTCCCATCGTTCAACTCCCACTTATGAGTGAGAACATGCGGTGTTTGGTTTTCTGTTCCTGTGTTAGTTTGCTGAGAATTATGGTTTCCAGCTACAACCATGTTCCTGGAAAGGACATAATCTCATTTTTTATGGCTGCATAATATTCCTTGGTGTATCTGTGCCACATTTTCTTTATCCAGTCTATCATTGATGGGCATTTGGGCTGGTTCCAAATATTTGCTATTGTAAATAGTGCTGCAATAAACATACGTGTGCCTGTGTCTTTATAGTAGAATGATTTATAATGTTTTGGTATATACCCAGTAATGGGATTGCTAGGTCAAATGGTATGTCTGGTTCTAGATCCTTGAGGAATCATCACACTGTCTTCCACAATGAATGAACTAATTTACACTCCCACCAACAGTGTAAAAGCATTCCTAATTCTCCACATTCCTCTCCAGCATCTGCTGTTTCCAGACTTTTTAATGATCACCATTCTAACTGGCATGAGATGGTATCTCACCGTGGCTTTGATTTGCATTTCTCTAATGACCAGTGATGATTAACTTTATAGCAAGGATGTTAATAGTCCTTTCCCAAAACTAACCCCCAGGAGATAAGGAGGGTATACACAAGTAACAATGTTATGTTAAAAATTTATAAGAGCATTGTGACCTGACCAAGGACAAAGAAGTTTACCCTTACTGCTCTCTAGATGTCTGCGGCCATCTGTCACTATTGGCCTCAACCCTCTTGTTCTCTCCCCTTCCCCTAACATCAAAGGAGCTCAAAATTTCTAGTAGTTTAAGATGAGTCTTTGGGACACCAGTCCTCCATCTTCATTGTTTTCTGGCTCTCCAAAAAAAGTCACCTTCCTTGCCCCAACATCATGTCTCTCAACCTCTTGGCTATCATACAGTGAGAGGTATGAGCTTTGGTATTGGTTACAAAAGCCTTTAGTTGAATTCAAAGAAAAAATTTTGAAAAAAAATTGGTAAAAATTAGTCAGATGGAAAAGATGTGGCTACCTTCAAATGTGTAATTATTGAATGCACATTTATCTTGTTTTCTGAATGCAACATAGCATTGAAATATAAGCCATTAAAAAGTACAACATGCACGTTATCAGAGAGGTTGATATTTTTGCTTTCATGCATTGAAACAAATGTATGTTGTCTACCTAAAGGAAACATGGTGGCAAAATTAATAGATGTAGAGAGTTTATTTGGGCCAAGTTTGAAGACTGCAGCCAGGAGGATAGATTCAAGTTGCCCTGCATCTCTGCTCTGATTAGCAGAGTGAGTTTTTAAAAGGAAAAATAGGAGATAGTTCCTAAGTTGTTTACCAGAATTTACATTAAAATAATATAAAGCTATATTGATTGGCTACACATTGTTCTTTTATCACAAATTTTAGGAACATGAAGAAAATGGGTGAGTCAGCTAGTCAGGAAACTACAAAGAAGTTAAGAAAGAATAAAGTGCCTTGAAACAATGGCTCCAAAGCATGGTGGCCAGGGGCACCACTGAGGTCCCACATTCATGTCTTTCTGGGCCTGATAAATTTTGCTTACTTCACATAACTCACACTGCTCTGAGCTATTTTTCTTTTCTCAACATTTTAATCTAAATTAGATATTTCAAAGTAATGGTTTGTTATTTTAGGGTCTATTCCTTTATATCCCTCTTTGATATTGTGAAATATACATGTGGTCTTCCTCATTATTTTCTGACATATAGCTCTTAAACCCCTTGAGATTTCTGGAATGATAAGAATGTCTTTTTTTAATGCTAAGAATGTCTTTTTTATGCTAAGAAAATGACTTGTGGCTGGGGTTCCTCTATAACCTCAAAAGAGGAGTTGGTTGTCAGGCAAACCAACTGTATGATTAGAGGTTTTGGACTTTTGGTCCCACCTCCTAGGAGAAGAGAGAGGATAAAAGTTGAATTATTAAGCCAATGGCCAATAATTTAACCAATCATGCTTAGGTAATGATGCTTCCATAGAACCCAAAAGGATTAAGTTCTGAGGGATTATGGGTAGCTGAACACACGAAGCTTCCTAGAGGGTGGCGCACCCATAGAGAGCATGGAAGCTCTTTCTCCCATATCTCACACTAGGCATCTCTCCTATCTGGCTGTTCATCTATATCCTTTGTAATATCATTTATAATAAACTGGCAAACATAAGTGATTTCCTGAGTTCCATGAGCTATTCTAGCAAATTAATCAAACCCAAGGAAGGGGTACTGGGAACCCCAATTTATAGCAAATAGGTCAGAAATATAGATGGCAACCTGCTGCTTGTGATATGTACCCAAAGTGGGGGTAGTTTTGTGGGTCTGAGCCCTCAACCTGTGGATCTGATGCTATCTTCAGATAGGTAGCATAGGAATTGAATTTAATTAGAGGACACAGAGCTGGTATTTGCTGAAGAACTGATTGATTGCTTGGTGTTTGGGGAAATAGCCCTACACATCTGAGGTCACAGAGGTATTCTGTGTTGTGCAAATGTGGTAGGAAAGACAGGTATTTTTTCCTCTCTCTTTCCTCTCCTCTCTTCTCCTCTCCTCCCCTCGCCTCTCCTCTCCTCCCCTCCCCTCCCTTCCCCTCCCCTCCCCCCTCCACTCCCCCCTTCCCTTCCTCTCCTTTCTTTCTCTTTTCTTTTCTTTTCTTTTCTTTTCTTTTTCTTTTCTTTCTCATCGTCTCGCTCTTGTCACCCAGGCTGGAGTGCAATGGTGTGATCCTGGCTCACTGCAAACTCCACCTCCTGGCTTTGAGTGATTCTCCTGCCTCAGCCTTCCGAGTAGCTGGGATTATTGGTGCCTGCCACCACATCCAGCTAATTTTTGTATTTTTAGTAGAAACAATGTTTCACCATGTTGGCCAGGCTGATCTCGAACTCCTGACCTCAGATGATCCACCAGCCTCAGCCTCCTAAATACTCACCCTTTCTATTAGTTTTATGTTTCTATAGTTAATTTTGTCATTTTTATGCTATATTCCTCTTTCAATTTTCTAATTGAGTTGGGAAATAATCTATTAAATCAGATAAATCTTCTCACCTACCAACTATAGATACCATTACAGATAAATACATTTTGCAAAGTATATTTTCTCTAAATAAAAAGTAGCATTTTCTACAATAAAATTTACAAGTATTGATTCATGAAAATATTGTGATGAGAGCATCACGGTAACCTCACCCTATATTTCTCTTAGGAGAAATGGCTAAGTATTGGGCAAATTACTATCCAAAGCAACTTTATGGAATATAACTACTGTAAAAAAAGATAATCCACTGTATATCATCATTAAACTCTTTTTATGGATGGAGCATTGTAGGTCTCAATAAAACTTTGATGTCATATCAGGCATTTTTCTATTACATTACTTCTGATTCTTTCATATTTGATTATTGATTTTTGAGAGGAGAGTTAGCAAAGAAACTAGAGTGCTCTATCCATACAAAAGAGTTTAACTACATTTTATATATAATAGATTATCTTTTTTTACTGTAGTTATATTCTATAAAGTTGCTTTAGATACTAATTTGGCAAATACTGAGCCACCAGTCCTAAGGGAAATATAGGGTGAGGTTGCTGTGAAGCTCTCATCACGTTTTCATGAACCAATCCAACATAATTTTGTTTTAAATCAGCTTCTGTTAAAGACACCTCATTATATATATGGATTTGTTAATGTAATATATATATATATAATGATATGTTTTATATATAAATATACACATATATTACAAATAACTCATTATGTGCAGTATTTATAAGGAAACATTAGTCAAACAGGGTCTCACATTTTACTGACCCTGGGTAACAGGACCAAGACATTCTTTGGCTTTTGGCCTAAAAACAGTGCTATCCACTATGTTGATTTCATCAATCATCAGCTCATGAATCCCATAAATATAGTGAAGTTTCCATCTTTTTCATAGTTTCATCATGCACTGTAGATGCTATTTTAGCACTTTTCAGAGCATTCTCAGGTAAAGATCAGTGACTTTCCCCTTCTTATCTCTGGGTGTGTGCTATTGTTGATTTATTGACATTGAACTCACGTCAACAACGTTGCACTTCATGCCTGAACAAAGTCTATCTAATGCTCATATTTTCTCTGTAAGGCACATCATAGTCTTCTTGCACTTTGGAACACTAGACGGCACTTCAGCCCTACTCTTTAGGGCCATTTTAAACAGAAAATTCACTGACAAAAGACACAAAAAATTCAACAATATTTCTAAATAGATGGCAAAATGACACTCATTTACCATATGAAGGCTGAAATCAGAAGGTTAGGCTGGGCGTGATGGCTCACACCTGTAATCTCAACACTTTGGAAGGCCAAGGCTGGTGGAACATCTGAGGTCAGGAGTTCGAGACCAGCCTGGTCAACGTGGTAGAACTCTGTCTCTGCTAAAAATACAAAAATTATCTGGGTGTGGTGTCAGGTGCCTTTATTCCCAGCTACTTGGGAGGCTGAGGCAGGAGAATCACTTGAACCCATGAGGTGGAGGCTGCAGTGAGCCTAGATCACACTATTGCACTTTAGCCTGGGTGGCAAGAGCAAGACTCTTTCTCAAAATAAATAAATAAATAAATAAAATAAAAGGTGAGCACTGATTGTTCCACCTTATCTATGAATATACATACCTATTAGTTAAAATTTTTGCTACCCTTAAATGCCCAATAGTAATGATTTTGGGGTTATACATTGTATTAATCAGGGTTCTATAGAGGGACAAAACTAATAGGAGATATATAATCCTATTATTTTAGTATTCATTTTATTTTATTTATTTCTGTATATTTTAAGTGAGTACATATATACACATACATACATATATACACATACATATATATATACACACACATATATATATATACATGTGCATATGTGTGTATATATACTCACACACACACACACACACATATATATGGGAGTTTATTAAGTATTAGCTTACACAGTCACAAGGTCCCACAATAAGGTGTCTGCAAACTTGAGGAGCAAGGACAGCCAGTCCAAAACTGAAGAACTTGGAGTCCAATGTTCAAGGGCAGGAAGCATCCAGCATGGGAGAAAGATGCAGGATGGGAAGCTAGGCCAGTCTCTCTTTTTTCACATTTTTCTGCCTGCTTTGTATTTTTCTGCTGATTAGATGGTGCCCACCTAATTAAGGCTGGGTCTGCCTTTCCCAGCCCACTGACTCAAATGTTAATCTCTTTTGGCAACACAATACTTTGCATACTTCAGTCCACATTTGTTGAGACTCACTACCATCACACACGTAGGCCCATCCACAAATATGGATTCTGTTAATAATGAGGACCAACTATTGTATGATCTTTTTAAGAATAGATACAAATAACATAAATCAGATACTAACACTGCCTCTTAGAAGGAGAATCCAGTTACTAGTTTCTGTGACTCAGGTTTCCTTAGAATGGCCTCGAGTTCTGCTTACATGGTAGAGGGAGGAGAAATGGACAAGGACAGAAGCACACAGGAATCACATGAAATACCAGTTATTTCTGGCTTGTGTAAAGACAGTAGTAAATCAAAGCACATACACAAAAAGGGCAAGAAAGCTGCATGTTTAAGTGTAGATGTCCTTAGCAGAGATGAATGTATATGGAAATTAGAACAAAAGATAATTTTTAATCATGTACTAAATAGTAAAAAAGAATATGTGGTTAAAGACTTATTGTCCATTATGGGTATCAGAGACTATAATTCTTATTTTATTATGCATACATATAACTCTAAAGCCTTCAGGTTTTAAGAACAACAAAAATAGCTGTGAATTAAGTTTGGGGCAGGCTAGACATCAAAGTCCAACCTCTAATAAGCCTATCGTTTGTAATGCAAATATAAAAATAGAGCATTCCACTGCTTAAATAAGATGAATAATTGTCACAAAATGTTTTCATTTATCTATAAAGCTAAAAAGTCATTGAATATGAATATTTTTTAATTCTAATTTCCTGTTTTATTGTTAGTTTTTAGTTATAACCAGAAAAACATTAGTCACTTAATATATAGTGATTTAAAAATCATAATAAAAAGAATTTTTAAGAATAAAACTCTAAGACAATTTTAAAAACCAAAAAAAGGGTCTTATAAAAGGAATCTACAGAAAATGGATTAATTTCACATTTTTCACAAAGGTAAAGCAATTTAATATTAAGAAAAAGTATTACAAATTTTACATCACAAATAAACCAAGAGGAAATTATTTCTATAAATATTGAAGAAGAATCTGTTAGTGTATCCATGAAGAATTCTGATAGAGGCAAGAAGCAGATAAATTCCTAGGCACACAGGGGAGGGTCCTCAGTGAAACTCAGCCCTCAAACCAAAGACAAATTAAAGCCTTAAAACCAAGCTGTAGGTTCCAGGTAAAGTCCCCTAACAGAATGTGAACTTCCTCGATGCCTTTTCACCAATCAAGTGGTGCTTTTTCCAGGCCGCCCATGGAGCATTCAGCATGCACATCCCCATTCTGAGCACATAAATTCCTCAGACTCAGCCACACCTTGGGACTACCCTCTTTCAGGTAGGGGCTACACACTTCAGGTCCCTTCTTTCCTGAGAGCTGTTCTGTCACTCAATAAAACTCTTCTCTGCTTTGCTCACTCTTCAGTTGTCCATGTAATCTCATTCTTCTTGGACATGGGACAAGAACCTGTGACCTGCAGAATGGCCTATGCAAAAGGAGCTGTAATGCTTGTAGCCCTCCCACCCTCGCTGGAGCCGGATGGCTGCCCCACATGATGGAAGCAGCAGCAGGGCTGGACCAGCCTAGTAGCCGTGGGCTGGGGCAGGGTGGTGGGACTGAATGAACTGGTACACCGCCATTCATGGAAGCATGTGGATGATGGGAATGAATGAACTGTAACACCAACAAGCTGTGATCCTTCTGAGGCCCAGTCCTCGGCACCCTGAGGCAGAGCTGTTTCACTTCCTTAGGAGCTCCATGGTTGCTGGCATCTCCAAGTTTTTTGAGCACCATTGCATTCCCTTGTCCAGTAGCTGGTGCCCAAGGCAGAAGCCACTTGGGGTATGCCTGGTCCAACTGCAGCCTCACATGGAGCTGACACCTGGGGCTGTCTGCTATGCTGCAGCAGCAGGCATACCTGGCTATGTGCCATGGCCGGATCCCATGCTCACACACTCTCATTGCTCCATGTCTGGCTCACCTGCAGCAGATGTGAAATCCAGGCTGGTAGTGTGAGCTGAGCACAACCTGCTTGGCCAAGTGGGTGGAGCCAGCCCAGTGGTCACTAGAAAAACTCCAGCAGAGAACCTACTGACCACAGAAGTCTACAGCTGACAAAGCAGTACCAAAAGGATCCTCTGTCATTTCTAAGTATGAAGTCTGTACTCTAATCATTGTTGGCCATCTCTGCTCTTTCTCTGTTCAGGATGCTGTTACTCTCGCCCATACATATTTCTGTATATTTTAAGTGATATTCTTTAGAGATATCATTCCCAGTATTTTAATCTAAAACAAAAAATAAATAAATAAACCTTTGTTACCATTTATAGTTTTCCTATAAAATAATCAGTTGTTTTTCTGGTTGCTAATCTCTGAAGATTTACAGGCTGTTCATCCTACCTCTCTCCTTCCACAAACAATTGAACACATTTTGTTCATTTAAATTCTCCTTTCACTTTGTGAAATCTTAGCTTACCTTCATAGTTATAATTTTTTTACCTCTACTGTATTTATAGGTGCCAGATTTGACCTTCTTATTCTAGAGCATGCCATTCTGTTCTGCGCTTACTTGATTACAAGTTTCCTTCTCTAAAATATGTCTCATGGGGCATGAATTACGTCTCATTTCTTTTTTCTTCTATTTGAAATGTCTAGAGTGACACTACATAGTATTAAATTATGAAGACAAGCCATCCATATAAATTAATAACTTGTCTCAAATTTTTAATAATATCTAAATTAAAGTCTAGGGAAAAATGCAATGGTTTCTAAACGTAGTATTCTATTATTTCTGATTTTTTTCTAGCATTCTCCTGATAATGATATTTATTTTGTCCATTGCTTCACAGGCACCTCTACCCCAAAAAGCAGGCCATAATGAAAATAGCTAGGTTTTTTGTTGTTGATTGTTTAGTGACTATAAGGACTCAATCAAGTGGAGGATAAGATAATTATGCAATCAATCTGGGTAGGAAAATAGCAAGCACACAATGACTTTCTTTAAGTCATGCAAAATAGCTTTGAAACAAATCTAGAATTTGCTAATTATGGTTAAACTTTTTTCTTAATTTAAGTTGTATGACTTAACAGCCAGAGTTCATTTTCAACCCTAGAGCTAAACATTCTCATTGTTATGTATTTTAAATGGAACTTTACAGGCTTAAAGTTAAAATCATGACTGATGGAGTGTTGGCAAGATTTCAGTTCTAATTCTTCCAGGACTTAAATCCATTATAATAATTCTAATTAGAATAGTTATGAAAATTGAAGTACATTCTTTGCAGTTCAGAAGGTGGTGCATTTGCAATCCCTGTCAAAATATTATTTTTAAATATTGTTGTGAATAATAATTTTAAATTTAACAAGTACCATTCATAAAATACACATTTATAAATAGCAGGCCTGTTTCTATTACTTCCAACACAGCAATTCATAATGTAATGGAGTGAACATAAAATGATATCTAATCTCATTTTCTTTCCAAATTCCAAAATCCTTTGTCTATTCAATTCCATATTCAGAACATGAAGTAAAATAAGAAGAAAAGTTTCTTCTTGCCACTAACTAGAAAAATTGATGAAAGAAGAGAAGAAACAATTTTAAAGAGCTATATTTACAAAAACGAAAGTTTTTACAGAATAAGGAGAATTTTAGTATTGCAGTTCACCTAGCCCTTCATGTCTGTAACATCAGATATAAAGGAAGGTGATGATATCTAGACGTTTAAATCCTAATTCATCCTCCATAGCACCTCACTGTAGTTTGTGTCTCAGTTCAGTTTCTTGATAGACTTCTCATGCACGTATTATTATTCTCACATACTTATCATGATTGACATGCATAGTTCCAGAACCCAATGTCACTACCAAAACCTATATTAGTGAGCTGCTGCTTAAGTCATGAACTCTGGTTGTTTCTGGGCCTTGCCAATTGAACTTGATTGGGCTTGTTTTTCAAAGTGTTGAGAGTCTGTCTAGGAACTCACAGATAAGTAGATTACTTATTTTAAAAACTGGGAAGTTGTATAAAAAATACAAAAGAACCATGGAGGAACATATTGTACTTGAGTCCCCAAAGGACTGAATTATGTAAGAAGAGATATTTGAATAATGAGTATAAACTTGCCAAAGAATGAAGGTGGAAAAATTATCATCACTTTTGAAAGAAATAAAGAAAAAGGGTATGAACACTACCAAGAGAATATGAGACCAGTAATTGGTTTGGGACCTGAATATTTAAAAAGCATTTGACTAACATCAAGCACAGAAGCAAAGGTAATCCTCATACAGTCTGCTGCAAGGAATGGGTCAGAATAGGTATCTTTGTACTCAAATATGCATTAATACAGTGGAGCTGACATGAGGCATATTTTAACAAAACATTCTGTAGAACAAAGAAAAAAGCAAAGCAATTCTAAGCATCAAAAATGTCTACAAAAGAAAATTATTTATAAATAATTATACTGTTTGGTGCCTTAAAAAGTTGTAGCTTGTTCCTGTGACAGAGCTTCCAGGGGTAATAGGCACGCCTACCATTTTTAAGCTCTGCAATCCCTGCCCCTGCTGCCCTGAAGCTCAGGAGGGAGCAAAGCACTTAAGGCCTATCATTAACCTCCAGTACCATGCAACTGCCTTATGGAAAAGCTGAGACAGTTTTCCATAGCCATCCCTGCTCCAGCTATGCCTCATCGGGTGGGACCTCTTCATCTCAGACCCCAGCGACCCCACACCTGCCTGGGCTCTTGGGCCAGTAGCAGCTCTGCACTTCCTTGGGGCAGAGTTGCCAGAGGTAACAGGTAGGAGTGCCATTTTGCCACTCCACAGCCCCTGCCTCTGCTGCTGTAAGGCTTAGGAGGGAGTGAAGAGCTTAAGGACTATTGTGGATTTCCAGAACAGTGCACCTGCTTTATGAAAAAGCAGCCAGACTGTTTTCCACCTGTGTCCTTGCCTCTGTTACCCCTCACTGTACAGGGCCTCTCAACCTGGGCCCCCAGCACAACCATCCTGCCTCTATCTGAACACTTCAGTCAGTGGTGGCTTCCAGAGACAACACAAAATCATTCTGTCATTGCAGCTGCAATAGAACTGCCCTTGCTGCCCTCAGACTGGGGAAGGAACAAAGAGTGTGATTGCTTTACTTGCTCCTCCAGCATGCCAGAGTGACTGTATGAAGTGGAGCCCAGCCTCTCTTTCCTGGGAGACCACGACCCACTGCTCTTTGCTGGGCAGGGCTCCAGCTTGACCCTGCAGCGTAGCCACCCCATCCCTGCCTGAACATTTCTACTGGCAGTGGTTCTGTGCTTCTCTGGGGTGGAGCTCCCAGAGGCAATTGAAATTCCATCTGCCACTGCCACTGCAATAGTACTACCCTTGCTGCCCTTAGATTGGGGAAGAACAAAGATTATGATGGCTTTACATGCATCTCCAGCATGCTGCAGCTGCCCTACAGAGAAGAGCCAGTCTGTCTTCCCTATGGTCTCCCCGCATCTGTTCATCACAATGTAGGGTTCCCTGGATTGGGCCTGCAACACAGCTGCCCCAACTCAGGCTGATCATTCCAACTGTGTTTCTTTGGGGTGGAGCAACAAAAGACAAGTGAAAGTTCCTCTGCCATGGCCACTTTCAAGATCCCCACCCTGGCTGCCTGTGAGTTAAGGAAGACACATAAACCCTGAGCTTGTCCCAGGGCTGTGGTATGCAGCCCATGATTTGAGTGGGAGAGGAGCTCACGCTCTCAGAGTACTGAGAGGGAGCACAGCTGCAAATGCAAGAAAATACAGAGGAAACAAGTGGCTGAGCAAGAGCCTACCTATCAGCCATTAAGTTTAAGCACCACCTATGGGATCACAGCCCAAATATTAAAGCCAAAAATATTTTGCTAATGTACTCCCCCACCATCAAACCAAGGACAAAAATTCAGTGACAAATACAGATCCTGTACAAAGTTTCAGCCCTCTGAAAACATCCAGAAATGAAGACAACTGACTATCCTCAAATTATACCATAGTTAAAGGAACATCAGCCCACATGAATGAGAAAGAACTGGTGAAAAAGTCTGGCAACTCAAAAAGCCAGAGTTTCTCCTTTCCTCCAAACTGCACTGGCTCCCAGCAAACAGTTCTTAACCTGAAGGAAATGGCTGAAATAACAGACATAGAATTCAGGATCTGGATGGCAACAAAGATCATCGAGACTCAGGGGAAAGTTGAAACACATTCCAAGGAATCTAAGTTATCCAGGAAAATGAGTCAAGAGATAAAAGTTGAATTATCCATTTTAAGAACAAACCAAACCAAGAGATAAAACTGAAAAACTCACTACAAGAATTCTTAACACAATTGGAGGTATTAACAGCAATATAGACCACGCTAAGGAAAAAGATCTCATAGCTTGAAGGCAGATTCTTCTAACTAACTCAGTCAGCCAGAAATAAAGAAAAAAAAGAATTTAAAAAAAATATGGGAACATGTAGAGACAAAATCTACTACTCATTTGCGACCCAGAAAGAGAGGGATAGAGTGAGCAACTTAGAAAACATATTTGATAATATTGTGGCTGAAAATTTCCCCAATGTTGCTAGAGAGGTAGGCATATAAATTCAGAAAATTCAGAGAACCCCTTTGAGACATTATATAAGACGACCGTCACCAAGACACATAGTCATCAGATTACCCAAGAACAACATGAAAGACAAAATATTAAAGGCAGCTAAAGAGAAGGGGCAGGTCACCTAAAAGGGAACCCCATTAGGCTAACAGCAGACATTTCAGCAGAAACTACAAAGCTGAAGAGATTGGGGGCCTATGTTCAGCATCCTTAGGTACAGAAAAATTCCAACAAAGAATTTCATATTCATCCAAATTAAGCTTCACAAATGAAGGAAAAATAAAATCCTTTTCAGACAAGTAAATCTAAGGGAATTCATTCTTACCAGGCCTACCTTACAGAAGGTATTTAAGGGAGTGCTAAACATGGGAATTAAAGACCATTACCAACCACCACAAAAATACACTCAAGTGCATATACCATCTATGCCATAAGGCAAATACAAAATTAAGTCTAAATAGCAAACAGCTAACAATATGATGTCAGAATCAGATCGACACATATCAATATTAACCTTGAAAGTAAATAGATTAAAAGTACCAACTTAAAAGGCATGGAGTGGCAGGTTGGATAAAGAAGCAAGAGTAATTTTTATGCTGTCTTCAAGAGACCCATCTCACATGCAAGGACACCCGTGGGCTCAAAGTAAAGGGACGGAAAAAGGTCAATCAAACAAATGGAAAATAAAAAGAGCAGAGGTGGATATTCTTATTTTAGACAAAACCAACTTTAAACAAAAAATCATTGAAAAAGACAAAGAATTGCATTACATAAAGGTAAAGTCAACAGGAAGACTTAACTGTCTTCAATGTATATGCGTCTAACACTGGAACACCAGATAATAAAACAAGTTCTTAGAGACTTATGAAAACTTAAATAACCACACAATAATCCTAGGGGATGTCAACCCCCACTGACAGTATTGAACAGATGATCAAGGCATAATGCTAAAAAAGATATTCAGGATCTAAACTTGACTCTTGACCAAATGAACCTAACAGACATTTACAGAACAGTCCTCCCAACAAAAAGAGAATATACATTCTTATCTGCATATGGCGCATACTCTAAAATTTGCCACACATTCAATCATAAAGCAATTCTCAGCAAATTAAAAACACACACACACACTCATAACTACAGTACAAAAAAAAATCAATACAGAGATGATCTCTCAAAACCATACAATTAAAATGAAATTAAAGAACCTGTTCCTGAATGACTATTTGATAAATAACAAAATTAGGGCAGAAAGTAAGAAATTCTTTGAAACTAATGAAGACAAAGATGAAACTTACCAGAATTCCTGGGACACAGCTAACACAGTATTAAGAGGAAAGTCTGTGGCACTAAACACCCACATTAAAAAGTTAGAAAGATCTCAAATTAACATCCTAACATCAAAGCTAGAGGAACCAGGAAAACAAGAGCAAAGCAACCCAAAAGCTAGCAGAAGACAAAACATGACCAGAATCCCAGCTGAATTGAATGAAATTGAGATGTAAAAAGCCACACAAAAGATAAACAAATTTAGACTTTTATTTTTGAAAGGATAAATAAGATCAATAGACCCCTAGCTATGCTAATAAAGAAAGAGAAGATACAAATAAACACAGACAGAAATAACAAAGGAGACATTGCCACAGACCCCACAGAAATACAAAAAACCCTCAGAGGCCATTATGAACACTTCTATGAACACAGACAAGAAAGCCTAGTAGAAATGAATAAACTCCTGGAAACATACAACTGTCTCAGACTGAAACAGGAAGAAATGGAAACCCTGAACAGACCAATAATGAGTTACAGGATTGAGTTGGTAATAAAGAGCCTACCAACTAGAAGCAGCTCAGGATCCAACAGATTCATAGTCAAATTCTATTAGATATATGAAGAAGAGCTGGTACCACTCCCGTGGAAACTACTCCAAAAAACTGAGGAGGAGAGATTCCTCCCTAATTCTATGAGGTCAGAAGCCTTCTGATATTAAAACATAGCAGAGACACAACAAAAAGGAAAACTTCAGGCTAATATCTCTGATTAACCTAGAACCAAAAATCCTCAATAAAATACTAGCAAACTGAATCCCGTAGCACATTAAAAAGCTAATCCACCACTTATCAAGTGGGCTTCAGACCTGGGATACAAGGTTGCTTCAACATATAGAAATTAATAAATGTGACACAAAAATATAAAAAGAACTAAAAATAAAAACCATATTATTATCTCAGGCACACACAAAAGCTTTCAATAAAATTCAACAGCTCTTCACGTTAAAAACCTTCAATAAACTAGGCATCAAAGGAACATACCTAAAAATAATAAGAGCCACCTATGTCAAACTCACAGCCAGCATCATACTGAACAGGCAAAAAAGCTGGAATCATTCTCCTTTAGAACTCCAACAAGACAAGGATATCCACTCTCACTACCCCTATTGAATATAGTACATTTGTTGTGCAGAAACTCATTAATTTAATTGGCTGATGCTTGTCAACTTTTGTTTTTGTTGCAATTGCTCCTGGGGCTTCGCCAAAAATTATTTGCCAAGGCCTATGTTGCATAGTGTATTTTCTAAGTTTTTATCTAGAATTTTTATAATTTGAGGTATTAAATTTAGATCTTTAATCCATCTTGAGTTAATTTTTATATATGGTGAAAAGTAGAGGTCTAGTTTCATTCTTCTGCATATGGGTATCCAGGTATCTCATTACCACTTATTGAACAGGGAGTCCTCTCCCCATTTCATATTTTTGTTGACTTGGTCAAAAATCAGATGGCTGTAGATATGCAGCTTTGTTTCTGGGTTCTCTATTCTGTCCCATTGGTAATGTGGCTGTTTTTGTAACAGTATCATGCTGTTTTGGTTATGATAGCTTTATAATGTAGTTTGAAATTGGGTAGTGCGATGTCTCTGGCTTTGCTCTTTTCGCTTAGGATTGCCTTGATTATTCAGGCTCTTTTTTTGGTTCCATATGAATGTTAGAATCTTTTTATTAATTCTGTGAAGAATGACATGGTAGTTTGATAGGAATTACAATGAAAGCCTAATTTGCTTTGGGCAGTATAGCCATTTTAATAATACTGATTCTTCCAATCCATGAGCATGGAATGATTTTCCATTTGTTTATGTTGTCTCTGATTTCTTTCATCAGTGTTTTGTAGGTATCCTTGTAGAGATCTTTCACCTACTTGGTTAGCTGTATGTCTAAGTATCTCATTTTATTTGTGGCTATTGTAAATGGTATTGCATTCTTGATTTGACTCTCACTCTGAGCATAGTTGATATATAGACATTTTATTAATTTTTTTACATTGATCTTGTATCCTGAAACCTTACAAAACTTGCTCATAAATTGAAGTAACATTTTGGTGGAGTCTTTAGGGTTTTCTAGCTGTAGAATTTTATCATCAACAGAGAGAGTTTGACTTCTTTACTTATTTTGATGCCTTTTATTCCTTTCTTTTGCTTGATTGCTCTAACAAAATTAAAAGGAAAGCCATATGATTATCCAAATAGATGCAGAAAAATCTTTTAATAAAGTCCAGCACCCCTTCATGATAAAAAATAAAAATCCTTGACAGACTAGACACCAAAGGAACATCCTAAAAATAATAAGAGCCATTCATGACAGACACGCAGCCAACATCATACCAAACAGGCAATAGCTATAAGCATCCTCCTTTAGAATTGAAATAAAACAAGGATACCCACTCTCACCACTTGTATTCAACATAGTACTGGAAGTTCTAGCCATTACATTACATGAGTTTTTGGAACTAGAAAAACTAATTATTGCTGGGAAAAAAAAACTATAAAAGTGGTTGCCTTTGCTAGGGCTCAGAAAAGACTTGATTAAAAAAAGCATGAGAATACTTTCTGGACAGTATTAATGTTGTGTATCTTGGCAAGGGTTAGATTACATAAGTAGATGCATACATCAAATGGGAGCCAACATAAACATTTTATTGTATGTAAATTTTATTTCAAAAGAAAAAACTGTAAATAAAGACTTAACACTAGCTAGTAATATACATGCTAGGCTATCAAGGGAGAACTGTACTTATGTCTGAAAATTACCTTGAAATTCATTTAAAAAATTTAAATGGATTGATGTGAGGATAGAAAAACAACTAAATGGATAGATATGTGATAAAACAAATGCAGCCAAATATTAACAGTAGAATCTAAGTGATAGGTATAGATGGTCATTTCAAAGTTCTTTAAAATTTGCTGTTTGAATATTTTCATAAAAACATATTGAAAACATTAAACATACCTCTACACTGACAAAGTTATTCTATTTCTAGGTAGTTACCTAAGAGAAATGAAAACATTTATGCACAGAGCATGCTGTAAAAGAATATTTAAAGCAGCCAATAACTGGAAAAAGCCCAGGTACTCATATGAAGGTAAATGGATAAACAAATTATGTTAATATTTATACAATGGAATAACATTGAGCAATAGAAATGAACAATCTACTCATATATGCAACATTTGCATAAATCTCAAAAATATTATATTGGGTGAACAAAATATAGCACAAATTAATACATATTGAATGATTTTCACACACATGAAGTAGTACAACAGTCAAAATTAAGTTTCAGTAATACAAGTCAGTGTAGCAGTCACCTAAGGGATTGGGGATCTTTGCTTGGTGATGGAAGAATTCTATACTTTGCATGGAAACTTGGGTTATGTGGGTACATAAATTTATCAAAACTGATGTCACTGTATACTTAAGATCTGTGCATTTAAGCATATTTAAATTTTACCTAAATTTAAAAAAAACAAGAAGGAATGTGTATATGTGTCTATAACTGGAATTTCAAAGGTTCAAGAAGCTCTAAGATATATATTAAGAGCCCATTAGGACCATATTTATCAAACTGTAATGTGCACATAAATAATTTGGTGATTTTGTTATGCAGATTCTGATTCATCCATTGGGGATGTGGTCATTTTGCATTTTTAATAAGCTTCCAGGTCCTAGTAATAATACTACTGATGCACAGACTGCACTTTGATTATAGCAAGGGTTGGAGATGGAGATGTTAAAGCCAAAGAAAAACAATAATGGGGCAAATTGCTGTCTGCAAATATTAAAAGCACTCTCATGTGAAAGAGAGTTCTAGTTCCTCTCTCTTACTTTAATACATAGAAGAGAATATATGGTAAACTATTTATTAAGAAGTAAATATTTGATCAATGTAAATATATAACATTAAACAATTGGATACTCTTAATAATGCAAATTGTTGTTTTGTAATAATTGTGGCTAGAATTGATCCAGCAGGGACTTAACAACTCTTAAGAATATAGCAGAAGCCTGGCACACTGGCCCATGTCTGTAGTTGCAGCTACTCAGGAGGCTGAGGGACAGAGGATCACTTTAGCCCAGGTGTTCAAGACCAGCCTGGACAATATAGTGAGACACATGTCTCTTAAGAAAAAACAAAGAAAAACTAAAAACATACCTCTAAAAAGTTTAAACATACCTCTACATTGTGTGTGTGTGTGTTTGTGTGTGTGTGTGTGTGTGTGTGTGTTTAATTTTGGATCAACAGTCTATTAAATGGTCTGTAAATCCCTGTCATGTTTATTATTTTATTATCATGGGGAGGAAGATGCAGCTATTACAAAATAGATGTTATAACAAATCTGCAACTTGCATATATTTTGAATCCAAGAATATTAAAATGATTTGCACTTTTTAGTCAAGTATATAGACCCTTCAGAAAGTTTCATTTATATTTTTTTACATTTAGTTTAACCAAAAATATTAATATAATTAACTGAAATAAGGTTTCCTGGTTTTATTTAAGTATTTTGATAGTACATCACAATAAAAGTATCTTTAATCAAAATCTAATTTTATCATTAGAGTTTAGTCTCTCTCATTGGTCACTGTGTCTCTTCTTTGAATTTATACATAATGTTAAATTGTATTACTCTAACAAGACATTCACATACTGTGCTCATGATGTTATCAGGAGAACTTACTTTTCCCTTTTCTGGCAAAAGACATATTGTGCTACAACCAAAATAGCCTAATTTTGTTTCCTTTGTCACACTCAAACTAGGGCGATGTCATTCAGAAGAGTTAAGTATTCAAAAGATGTCCAAAATCACACAATTGTAACATTAAGTTATATCATTAAACCACCCAAGGGACCTGCTTGGAATCAATTGGTTTTATTCACAGGTTTCCAAATTTAAACTTTATGTAAGTGCCCACAATATTCACTCATTCTAAATCTTACCAATCACAAGTGGAAGCAACATTATATTTTTTCAGATATCACTTTTAAATTTTTCAAATATGTAATCATAAAACAGTTTGAAGTATGTAAACTTAAGCCACCATGAGTTGGGGAGTAGAGAAATCTGTAATATCTGTTTAACACATGTAACTTAAATGTATACATTCTTAAAATAGATGTCATAGAATATTAGATTACCTAGGGAAGCTAAAGAATGTTCTAATTTAAAATGAAGTTAAAAAGTAATTTTTTTTAATTCATTAATATTGAAAAAGCACTATAATAATCGATCAAAATTCCAAGGAAAGAGTATAGGATGACTCTATTTGTTCATAAAATCCTTGAGTATTTTTTTGTTATAATAATATTTTGTCTTTAATTTTCTACTGTTTTTACTTACACTTTATATTTGTTGCCTACTTTTGTAAAGAAATTGAAGAATGTCCTATTATAGACCACAAATGAAACAAGTCACTTAGATTTAGATGCATGAGAAAAAAAGAGAGAGAGACTTCCAATATTATACTAAGCAATATTTTTATTGAACCGATTTTAATCCTGTTTCTATCTTGACACAGAAACATAAAATTTACATTTAGGTATCAATTTATGAAAATACAAATAAAATGAATGCAAGCAATAGACAGCAAGGAACACACTTTTTTTTTGGCCTTAACAAAGTAAAAAATCATGATCTCTTTGGATTTCTTTTACAGTCAAAATATGAAGAGTTATATCAAATTTGTTAAATGTCTTCTCATGCTTCTTTCTATTTTAATTATAAAAATCAACCCAAAAAATGACAACAATGATTATAATATCCTTAGCTACTGTGGTCTACATTTTATATCAAGTTTCAGACAGATACTATTGGAGAAAATTTGGCTAATCTATCAATGCTTTCCTAGGTTAAAGAAAAATGTTTAAAGGTTGGTAAATTCAGTTGTGTTAACTTAGAAGGAACATTTTGAAATTACTAGGTTATTGATTTGAAATATAATACTGGACAATAAGAATTTGTCCATTATAAAAATAAAATTTATCCATTATAAAAATTTATCCATTACAAAATTAGTATTTCAAATATATGTATTAATATGTGTAAAATTATTAAAAAGTAAAATGAAAATGTTTTCTTAATTTTGTGATTAATTTGGTTATTTAGTAAGGGTAATTCTGTTGAAAATATTTCCATTTAAGAAGAAAGTGGGCATAACTGAAAATTATTTGATATTACTTATCATGTGTATGGTTTTATTAATAGATTAAGAGCGAACTAAAATGTAGTTTAAATTGCACAGAAGAAAACCATTTTAATTAGGAAGGTATTACAAATATTTCTTCATGAAAAATTATATATAGCCTCAAATCAAAATCTTCAGTATGTCAAAATGTCTTTCTTTTAAAATCTTTTTTTTTTTTGCCTTTTTTTTATTATTATACTTTAAGTTCTAGGGTACATGTGCACAACGTGCAGGTTTGTTACATATGTATGCATATGCCATTTCGGTGTGCTGCACCCATTAACTGTTCATTTACATTAGGTATATCTCCTAATGCTTTCACTCCCCCCTCCCCACACCCTACGACAGGCCCTGGTGTGTGATGTTCCCCTTCCTGTGTCCAAGTGTTCTCATTGTTCAATTCCCACCTATGAGTGAGAGCATGCGGTGTTTGGTTTTCTGTTCTTGTGATAGTTTGCTGTGAATGATGGTTTCCAGCTTCATGCATGTCCCTACAAAGGACATGATCTCATCCTTTTTTATGGCTGCATAGTATTCCATGGTGTATATGTGCCACATTTTCTTAATCCAGTCAATCATTGTTGGACATTTGGGTTGGTTCCCAGTCTTTGCTATTGTGAATAGTGCCACAATAAACACATATGTGCATGTGCCTTTATAGCAGCATGATTTATAATCCTTTGGGTATATACCCAGTAATGGGATCACTGGGTCAAATGGTATTTCTGGTTCTAGATCCTTGAACAATCGCCACATTGACTTCCACAATGACTGAACTAGTTTACAGTCCCACCAACAGTGTAAAAGTGTTCCTATTTCTCCACATCCTCTCCAGCATCTGTTGTTTCCTAACTTTTTAATGATTGCCATTCTAACTGGTGTGAGATGGTATCTCATTGTGGTTTTGATTTGCATTTCTCTGATGGCCAGTGCTGATGCACTTAAACAAGTTGAAGAAATATAAAAGGGATTGGTTGGAAGGATGCTGGGACATTTCAAAGAACTGAAGCGCAAACCAAACAAATAAACTCATAAACATCTGAAACCAGAGCAGTCTTTGGGACTTCAGAGAAAAGAGCTGAATAGTTAGCCATGATTATCCACTTTTTGTACATATTTTGACTCTTTCTTTGTCAGCATTTAAAAATTCCCCCAAGTGTATTTCTCCATAATGCTAAAATCACAACTAGAGTTTATGTAAGTTTAGCAAACTCAGTTCAAACTATTAGATGAGATTTCTGCTTGGCATGGATTGAATTACATACTGAAAACTGTGTCTGTTAATGAAGTAAGATCAAAGATTAGGTAAAATATTCAACCTTCATTATACTCTTAGGCCCTGAGAAAAATATACAAAAAATGTTTGGTTCCCATTCATGTCACACATGGTGGTAAGTTACAGGGAAGTAGGGAGACGGGCAAAAGGAAATACGAATATTATTTTTGGGAAACAAGAAGGGATTTTGGAAGTCAAAGTTGCAATTTCATCAACCAATAATGAGAAACATAAAATGAGTCTTAAGCCCGATTTCTACACTCAAGAGAAAAACTTTAAATATATTTGAAGATATTGACAAAAACAGCAAGAGAAACAAAAATAAGAAAGGGTAGATAAGTAGCTCATTTTAAGAGATTACAACTGTGACAGGGGTTTAAAGAAGTAGAGAACAAGTTTAAGTGTGTTCTTAGCTAATGGATTACACATCATTCAGACAATGGTATTTGAAATGACTCTTAAAAATTAATGGCAACTGTCTGCGTTAAGAAGGTGACCTCTGGTGGAGTGGACCTCATAGCAAGCCAGCATCTTGAGCATAATATTTATTTATTGGGCTATTTAATTCTAATTTAGGCACTCCTTTTTCCTTTTCTTCACCAAGACCCAGGGAAGTTATGTAACGTTTACTTTTTTTTTCTTTTTAAATTAGGGAATTCGTGCTTGTATATGTGAGAACTAATTGATAAGAGGTAAAAATATTTGCACACAAACAAGAAAGAGGATAGCAATATAATGAGTTTTTAACAAAAAGTAATCATTCAAATACCATATATAAATTAAAACAGGTATGATACATGTATCGATTCAGTCTTAATTGATGCTAGTCATACCCTTTTATAGTATTTTAAATATTTTTATCTTTTAACAAAGTTTTAAGAAAAAACATCTTATGCATGTAGCAGAAAAAATACATTTTAGAAAAGTCAAAACTAAAAATTAAATTTTAGGGAGGATGTGGAAACTTCATACTTTCTGCAAAAATTGCCGTGAACCTAAAACTCCTCTAAAAATTAAAGTCTATATGAAAAAATTAAATCTCACTTCCTGTGTCACCAAACCTCTTACTAATCCAGAGATAACAAGGATAATCTTATTCCTGACATTCCAAAAGTGTTTATGTAGTTAAATATGTATAATTTCTATAGACATACATGTGTTATAGTTTTAAATGAGATTATATTATACAACCTGTTCTACAGTTTGTAGTTTTACTTAAATGCAGTGATTTCTTTGAAATTGGTACTTACATCACCTTTTTCTTTCTTTCTTTTCTTCTTTCTTTCTTTCTTTTTCTTTCTCTCTTCTCCTCCCTTTCCTCCTTCCTGTCTTTCTTTCTTTCTTCTTTCTTCTTTCTTTTTCTTTCTCTCTTCTCCTTCCTTCCTTCCTTTATCCTTCCTTCCTTCCTCCCTTCCTTCCTTCCTTGCTCCCTTCCTTCCTGTCTCTCTCTCTCTCTCTTTCTTTCTTTCTTTCTCTCTTTCTTTTCTCTTTCTTTCTTCTTTTTTTTCTTTTTTTTGAGAAAGGGTCTTGCTCTGTTATCCAGCCTTAAGTGTAGTGGCATGATCAGAGCTCACTGCAGCCTTAACCTCCCAGGTTCAAGCAATCCTCTTACCTCAGCCTCCCAAGTAGCAAAGACTAGAGGCATGTGTCACCATGCCCAGCCAATTTTTTTTAACTTAGTGTAGTGACGGCGTCTCTGTATGTTGCCTAGGCTGGTCCCAAGCTCCTGGGCTCAAGCTATCCTCACACTTCAGCTTCCCAAAGTACTGAAATTACAGCTGTGGGTTACTGCACACAGCCAGCTTGTTTTAAGTAAGTGTATAGCATTCCATTTATCAAATGTACCATAAGTTATTTCATAAATATCCTATAAATCAACTGCTTCTATTTTTTACTGCATATTTATGCAATCATGATAAACACCTAGAGTTGGAGTTGTGGAATATATTTCTTTTAAATTTACTCTGACGATCATGCTGTACACCAAAGTGGTTGCAATAAGCCATGCTTTCACAGGTGGTACATGATCCTCTACATTTGATTTAGAAAGACTCTTTAATATAGTAAACTCTCCCAAATTTATCTCTTTGGAGTAAGTTTGATGGAGATTACTGAATAACCAAAAGAACGACCTTGTAAACAATATATTAGGGGATCTCTATTGCTTACCTTGAATTACAGTTCTATGACTTTTTTTTTTTTTTTCTGACAGAATTTCCCTCTTGTTGCCCAGGCTCGAGTGAAGTGGCGTGATCTTAGCTCACTGCAAACTCCGCATCTCAGGCTCAAGTGATTCTCCTTCCACAGCCTGCCACATACCTGGGATTACAGGCACATGCCACCATTTCCAGCTAATTTTTGTATTTTTATTAGAGATGTGTTTCACCATGTTGGCCAGGCTGGTTTCGAACTCCTGACCTCAGGTGATCCTCCCACTTCTGCCTCCCTAAATGCTGAGATTACAGGCAGCCCTGAGCCACTGCACCTGGCTATGATTTCTTTTTGTGTAAATAATAGGAAACACCAGAGCCATAAAATGAGAACCTTCCAAAGGTAAACAAATGGGCCATATTGAAAAAAAGAAAGAAAGAGATTGTTTGAGTCTGGAAAGAGATTGTTCCAGTCATAGTTTCATTGCTAGTTTACCTCGTGATTAAGTGACTCGCTTGAAATTTCTGGGCCTCGGTTTTCTCTTATGTGTAAAAAAGACCAGTCTGGGCCGGGCGCAGTGGCTCACGCCTGTAATCCCAGCACTTTGGGAGGCCGAGGCGGGAGGATCACGAGGTCAAGAGATCGAGACCATCCTGGCTAACACGGTGAAACCCCGTCTCTACTAAAAACACAAAAATCAGCCGGGCGTGGAGGCGGGCGCCTGTAGTCCCAGCAACTCAGGAGGCTGAGGTAGGAGAATAGCGTGAATCTGGAAAGCAGAGCTTGCAGTGAGCAGAGTTCGCACCACTGCACTCCAGCCTGGGCGACAGAGCAAGACTCCTTCTCAAAAAAAAAAAAAAAAAAAAAAAAATCAGTCTGTATATTGGGGAATATCCCTTCCAAGCTGATATTATGTTGAAATTTCATGGAACCCCAACTACTCTGTTCATAAAATTACATTGTCTAATGGGGAAACATAAATTTTGTCATGACATAATGAAATACCACAATTTGTCTCATTAAGATTTCCAAGATGGAAATAAAAACTGAGAGGGTGAAGAGATTTGATTAGTTGAAGTGTATTCTCTCTAGAATAGCAAAAACTCTACAAGAAAAAAGCTTCCAGTAAGAGCAATTGGTTGTGGGATGACATGAAGTTCTATGAATATTAGGATTAAAGACTAGGAGACAAAGACATAAGGTTTTTGAATTAAAAAAACAGATGTTTAAAGTTAGTAATATCAGCTTTTACTTCTAGTGTTTGATGATGTCCTTCAGTACTTGGGTTTAGCTGACATTAAAGACATTAATAATTCTAAATATGAATAAGTGCTAATCTCTGAGTCAAGTAAACAATGTCTGAGGCATCAATGTACTGTTCATGCCACATGTTTGTTATTCAATCTTGTTGAATTTTTAAAACCTCTTGAAATTTAAATTGGCAAACTCTGACATAGTTTTAATACAGCACTAGCAAAGGAGTTTCCTTAGAGAGTAAGAAATGTTTACATAGGAATTACATTGTAATTAATATTAAAACATTTAGAGATACTGTGATTATTTGAATACACATTCTTTATAACTATAGACACCATATCAATTTCTTTAAAAAATACAACGCAGAAAAGGATTTTTGAAAAATCTACATAAAAGGCACAATGAACATCTTTATTCCAGTAGAAATAGAGATGCAGATTCTGTATTAAAGTCTTCATAATCATTGAGGTTTTATTTAATTTACCTGACTTTAGGATTCTCATTTGGGGATATTAGTTCTCCTTATGTACTGTTTATCTTTCTGGTTGAATCTATCATAAATATATAAAATATATCATAAATCTGTGTTTAGATTAAAAAACCTGCTATATAAACCTTTATTTGTTTGCTTTATATCTAATAGTATAGTACAGTTTTGCTATAGAGTCTCATTGTCACTTCCTTTTTTTTTTTTCACTATTACCGCAATTGTATCACTGAAACAATACACTGCATTTTCTCTATTTTGAAATATCTGTTCAGGAAATGACAACTTAAACTGGGCAAATCTGACCGTAAAAAGAAATGTAAGCAAAATAGACACTTTTTGGAAAGCATAAAATGTCTCATATACTAATCAAATAAATTTGCTTAATTGTGTTAATGTTGTTAGCTAATTAATTATTAGACTTTTACCATTTTGAGTGGATTAATAACTTTCATCTTTGTAATTGAATTCACTGAAGTCACAAATCTTTAACTTTAGGGCCTGAAATCACACTGAAATTATATTAAAACATAACATTAACTTGATTTGTCATGGAATACTGGTCAGAAATCAAACTGAACTGTTATGCTGTTATTCACACTTTTTCACATATTTACTTCATTAGCAGCTGTTGTGTGTTTATATATGTATGTGTATAATATGCATATTCCGAGGCAATTATCATTAGCGGCTGAAATTATCAAAACTTTGAAGCCATTAACCATTATTCACATCAAATATATGAAGCATTTATTACATACAAAATACTACAATGAGAGTTTGTGGTAAACAATATTAAGGGCAGTTATAGGATGAGTTCTCATAGAGCTTAAAATTTAGTAATTCTAGCACTTTGGGAGGCTGAGGCAGGCGGATCACCTGAGGTCAGGAGTTCAAGACCAGCTTGGCCAAGATGATGAAACCCCATCTCTACCAAAAATACAAAAATTAGCCGGGTGTGGTGGTGGGCGCCTGTAATCCCAGCTACTCCAGAGGCTGAGGCAGAGAATTGCTTGAACCCGGGAGGTGGAGGTTGCAGTGAGCAGAGTTCGTGCCACTGCACTCCAGACTGGGAGACAGAGCAAGACTCCGTCTCAAGAAAAAAAAAAAAATTAGTGTGAGGAATAGACATTAAATATGCAACTAAAATACAGTGTGATAAGAGCTCTGAGAGAAGGAGAATGCAGAGTACTATCAGAAAATTTAAGAAAAATACCTAGATATAGGTAGCCTGCTAAGGCTTTTTGAAGGAGAAGGGATAGTGTCAGGAGGTGGTTGAAGTACAGCAGCATGGTCCTTTACTAACTGCCAAATTTTAACAAAAATAATTCTTGTCTGTTTAATCTTTTGTATTGTGTTTTATAAATACAGCTCCAAACTCCTAACCCCACCCTGAATTATAATGCCGTCCCCAACATTATACGGACCTTTCAGAACTGCCACTCAGCCATCGTGTCACTTAATCTTGAAATTCAATGACGAGTAGGATTGCTTCAGGAAAATCCTGGGACAGGTATCAGGGGAAAGGCATTGAACATGGTTTGGGTCCGCAAATCCAAAGCGAGACTAACCCCTTCAAAAAATGAAAATTACTGAGCATAGAGGTAGAAAATGGAGAGGATACTATGGAAGAATCAAATTAAGGACAGTCCAAATGGTTTTTAACATTTTGATACAAGAAAGAAAACGATGATTTTTGCATAACACCTAATGGAGAATAATTGATAAACTTAGAGAATTTTATATATAACTTTGAGAAAAAGCCTAAAACTATGTATAATTTTAAAATCAGTAAATTAAAAATAAAATCCACATCGCTGAAGATTCTCATGCTTTCTCTCCCTCTTGGATTATTATCTCTGCAGGAAGCAAGCTGACATATTGTAAGTAACCTTAGGATGGGAGCCTTGTGGTGATGAACTGGAGGCTGTAGCTAATAGCCAGAAAGGAAGTGAAGCCTGTCCCAACAAGCACGTGAGGGAGCTTGAATGTGGACCCCTCAGCTTCAGTCAAATCTTGAGATGACTGAAGCCCTGGCTGACAGATTATGGCAAGATCATGAGGGACCCCAAGCCACAACAACTCAGCTAAGCCACTCCTAGATTCCTACACCATAGAAACTGTGAGATAATAAATGTTTCAGCTGCTATATATTGGAGTAATATATTGCATAGTAATTGATTACTCATATACAACCCAAATGCCCACTAACAGGAGAAAGGATATATAAAGTCTATAAATCTTCAAACAATGAAATGTTACTCAGCAATGAAAAATTAAAGAGCTACTGCTCTACAAAACTATATGGGTATATCCCACAGATGTAGTGATGAACAGAAAAAGCCAGGCTAAAAATTGTACGTATCATAGGATTCTTTTCATATCATGTTTGAAAGTCTCTAGCAAAACTAATTTGTTTAGACAGAAGTCAAAATAGTGGTTACTTTGGGGAGTACTGACTTGGAAGAGGCAGAGAGTATGCTTTTAAGAGTCTGGAGATCTGTTACATCTTAACATTGAAGTATTTACATCAGGTTCATATTAAGTAGAAATTAAGTAAGCTTTATACATAAGATTTGTATACTTTATTGTATGCATATTTTATTTCAATAAGATTTTTTTAAAAAGAGCACAGGATGAAAGGCATGTTTTTAAAAACATTATATTAATATTATAAATACATATTGTATTATATTTTATTGCTCATGGAGAACATATGAAGTGATGATGGAGTAGAGCACAGACCACAGATCTCCAAGAAAAACCAGTGTCAAAGGGCCAGGAAACGAAAAACAAGTTTCACTGAAGGCAAGAAGCATCAAAGAAGAATCAAGGCAGGGCCGCTTCATAGAAACACAAGTTTGTGGGTTTGTTTACAGTAGAATGGAGAGGTCAACTGCATCGCATATAGTAGGATGGTCAGTACTATTCATTTAGGTCATTGACAAAGTGATCATTTCTGACCTTGAAGAAAGTCATTTCCTGAAGGAAAGGTAATCTATGGTCATCTCTACAAACATCTTATGCAGAAGTGATTTTCAATTCATGATATAAAATAGAAACAAATTTAAGTAAGTTTCTGGTTGCCATAAAATCTTTTCTCTAATTATATATTTCTGGCCATCTGAACACACAAGAACCTGTCATACTTAGATCAGTAAAATAAAGTTGAATTCAGGCAAACAACCTGTTATTGTCAAAATGATGCCAAATACCTCTTCAGATTGAATGCAATACTTTTCAACTAGTTATACTGTCGTCATAGGGCTATAGTTACAAAGTTTCTACCTCAGGAGCTTAGAGGCTTTTCAAACTTTAAATAATCCTGCAGCTAAGACAACAAATACATATTGTCAACCCTTTCACACCCCATGAGAATGAATCTTCTGCATTTCCAGGTGGAGTATGGGAAAATTTTATTTGCTATTACTCACAAATTTCCCATCTCTATTATAAAGTGATAAGTTGCTCTCACTGGAAAGAAAGTGGATAACCTATTTTGGAAAACATCCCTTATTTCATTATTTTAGAATATTGCTTCTATAGGTGTGAAATTAGATTGATCTTTTCTCAGGAAACATTGATCCTTTTACAGATTCTCGCAATTCAGGGATTTCTACCCTCAAACACAAGATCAAACTATCTCACCCAACAGGCAACAAATAGGAAACATACAGTGGTGTGACCTCAGGATGCTAGACAGAGGACATCTGCTATTAGGGTTCACAACCAGATGGTAGAAGATCTGTAAGTTAAAGTATTTCTCCTAAGAAAAGCTACAACTTAAAAGCCAACAACAAAACTACTTGCTATGTGGTTAAGTGTAGCTGTGAATAAGTTAACTTGTAATCGGCTTTGAGAAACTAGCTAATGTCCTAAATCTCCTTCACATATAATTCACAATTAAATTCAAGAGGAAAATATCGATTCTATTACCAAAATCTAATAAACAAACCAATTGAATCTGGTTACAGTGTCATATAGACTAAACTCTCCCATATACACACATACAAAAACATGCACACACAAAATGATTAGCTTACTTATACTGCTGGTAGTTGTATATCATATTTAGTTAAATTTCTCATTTTCTTTATACATTTAGTTATCATGTTTATTTATAACTTTCTAGCATTTACAGACAAAAAAACACCCAAAATAATTAAAACTTGTAAAATGTTGAAGTTGTTATCATACACATTATGGGTAGATTATTTTTGCTTCTCAGTGACGCTTTTATACATTTGTTCATACAGTTCAGTTTCAGTGATTTTCAGTATTGAAATTTATGAATATATTTGGTGATTTAGGATTACATTTAGTATCATAAACCTAAGCAGTTGGTCATATGTTGAAAAATAAATGTTAGGGACATAAGGCAAATACTGACAACTTTTCTGAGCATATGGAATTTTTTTTGATATGGTGGGAGAGTTAGTTATTAATCAACTAATGCTAAGGGCCACTTTAAAACTGTTTATGTAAAGAGCATTTTGAAGATTCATTAGAGTTTTTATCTTATTTGGGATATCAGGGAAGGCTTCCATGGGGAAGTCTGTTTGTACCAAGGTATTACAAATTGAATGGCGTTATTTAGGTGAAGAGGAGAGTAATGTGGATAGTTTCTAAGGATATTTATGTGTCAAATTCTACAAAATTGAGCGATAAATGAACTTGAGGATGTGTGAGAGAGGGACTTGATCTGGATGTCTTGGGTTTTATTGCTTATGCTATTGGAAGGATGATGAAGCCATTTCTTGTAACAGGATATCCTGGAAGGAATATCCTCTTGGTGTTGGAAAGTTGGAAGTTGATACAATTTGCATTTGTGTCCCCACTCAAACCTTATGTCGAATTGTAATCCGCAGTATTGGAGAAGGGGCCTGCTGGGAGGTGTATGGAACATGGAGGTGGATTTCCCCCTTGCTGTTCTTGTGATAGTGAGTGAGTTCTCATGGGATCTGGTTGTTTAAAAGTGTGTAGCACCTCTCCCTGCTCTTTCTTTCTCCTTCTCTGGCCATGTAAGAAGTGCCTGCTTCCCCTTTGCCTTCTGCCATGATTGTAAGTTTCCTGAGGCCTTCCCAGCCGTCTTTCCTACACAGTCTGTCGAACTGTGAGTCCATTTAACCTGTTTTCTTTATAAATTACCCAGTCTCAGGCAGTTCTTTATAGCAATGCAAGAACAGACTAATACAGAAGTCCATAAATTTAGTATTAATTTGTTGGCTTTGAAATGTGTTTCAACATTGATAAAATGTCAAGGAGTGGTTGGATATACAAGCCTAAAGTACAGAGGAGGTATCTGAGCTGGATATATAAACTTGAAAGTCACATGCATATAAGTAGAAACTGAAAGCTTGGAAATAGATACTGTCAACCTACAAAAAATCTACACAGTGTGATGAATAAAGAACTTCCACCTGTTTGAAAAAGTGAAATATTTAGTAGCTGACTAGAAGAGGATGAGCATGCAAATGAGAGACATATGAAGCAGCCAGAAAGGAAAGTGATAATTTAAAAATGTTGGTGTCAGTACATGCACACGTATGTTTATTGCGGCACTATTCACAGTAGCAAAGACTTGGAACCAACCCAAATGTCCAACAAGGATAGACTGGATTAAGAAAATGTGGCAGATATACACCATGGAATACTATGCAGCCATAAAAAATGATGAGTTCATGTCCTTTGTAGGGACATGGATGAAATTGGAAATCATCATTCTCAGTAAACTATCGCAAGGACAAAAAACCAAACACCGCATGTTCTCACTCATAGGTGGGAATTGAACAATGAGAACACATGGACACAGGAAGGGGACCATCACACTCTGGGAACCATTGTGGGGTGGGGGGAGGGGGGAGGGATAGCTTTAGGAAATATACCTAATGCTAAATGACGAGTTAATGGGTGCAGCACACCAGCATGGCACATGTATACATATGTAACTAACCTGCACATTGTGCACATGTACCCCAAAACTTAAAGTATAATAATAATAAAATTTAAAAAAATGTACAATTCAATTAAAAAAAAACGTTGGTGTCAGTAAAGGAAAGAGAGTTTATCAAGGAACTAACTGACAGGAGTATTGTCCAATGCTTGGTGCATGGCCAAATGGTAAAATACCATTGGATATAGCAAGATGGAGGTTATAGATGACCTAGTCAAAAGGTTGGTTTTATGGAATGATTGAAGAAGATTGGAATTAGATTAGTGTGCACTGCAAAGATTGTTAACATGAGGGGCTGCCCCTCTGGATCCACTAAAGGGTTTATATTGAGACCATGTTTACAAAAGGGTGCTCCCAGCAAATAACTGACACTAAAGGTAATAAAGTCAAGGCAATAAGGTGACAGGTGGGACTTCAATGGGCAAGTTTTGTTCAAGTACTGCCCATTGGCCTGGTCTCACCTTTATTGGAACTATGCAGCAATCTCTGACCCTTCTTATCTAATCCTCCTTTCTTACTTTTCTTTTCCTACCTGTGAGAGTCTTGCATCACTTTGTGAATGCTGATGCAGTTGGCACTGGGATGGTGCGAGAAAACAGATGGTAATATGAGATTAGTTAACTCACATTTGGTAGCTGAATTGAGCATAATCCTGAGTGCTAAGTGGGGCAAAATGGAACCTGGCCCCAAATGGTGCCCATTGGTAAAGATTTCATGGGTGGTGATACAATAAAACATCCCTGTGGAAGGGAAGGCCCTTGTTGGTGTGATGATTCAGAACTGTTGTCTAGTTACTGCTAAGTTGTATTTATTACATGCCAGCTGCAAGAAAAGATCTCGGTGCTAATCTGAGTTGATATGTTGGTGTATGTAGGGAATGAGTTATAATCAAAATGCACTCTGAGAGGCAGAGATGTTATCAGTACAACTGGGAGATGGTGTTTACTAACTTTTTCTTTTCCTTCTTTTCTACCCTTCTGAAAATGTATAAGTTGTGTTTTTAGAGGTAAAAATTTGTCTTCAGAAGAAAAGATAAACCTAGGCCACTAGTTGATTCTAAAATAAATTGCCAATCTAATTTAGAGTGTTGAATTTAGTCAAAAATATCTTTGCTATTTGATAAAGATAGGACTTATTCTGAGGGAAGGTTGTTTGAGAGCTCTAGTGTGAGGAAGACAGTATGAAGTGTCTAGGGATAGTGTTTGTGCCTGCAGGGCTTGAAATTAAAAATAAGTCATCTTTAGTCAGGTTGGTACTTCTTTATCTAAGAAAAGAGATTGAAACCATCACTGTTTCCAAGATAGAAGAAACAGATCTGAAATAAATATTTTCTACAAGATGAAATTTGGTTTTAAAATAGTAACTCTGAATTAGGATGGAATCATGTGAGTTTAGCCTTTACAAAAACAAGTGGAACGGAACTTTAAGAGAATGAAGGAGTATTTATATGGCTTAAGAGAAGTAGAGTTCACAAAACGTATTTTTTTAAAAAGCTGATGGTACAGATAAAATGTAGGCTCTTTTCAAATTTATAATAATTTACTTATATTGATATAAACAAAAACTATTTGGTATATATGGTATGATAGTATATGATGTATTAGATGTAATGTATATGTAGTAGATGATGTATATGATGCAAATTTCTCTATAACCAGAGAAATTTGTCTAGACTGCTGGGAGAGAGTGGGAAGTAGGAAATGCTTTCTTGAAGACATATCGTTCCCTGAAAAACAGGAGTGAGTTAGTCAGGTAGAAAACAGGGACGATCACTATGAAAGTTTTGAAGGTGGAAGACTAGTCAATGTTTGCAAATAAAATAGCTTGTGCAAAATCTCTAATGCAGTACAAATTTTAACAAATTTGGAGAATAGTCATAAAGCATTATTGCTAGACTACTGAGAGAGGTCAGGAGTAGGTAAGTGTGGAGAAATATGCCACACCATACAGGCTGACATGGGGGATGGCCAGGCTTACATAGGCTTTTAGAGAAAGGCTCATTAATGCTGCAAGAAATTGAACTTGATTATATAGCTGGGGGGAGTTGACAAATTCCTATATTGTAGTACGTGAGCCTTTGTGTACTGATAGATATACACACATCCCACCTCCTGACCCAGTCTAATACATGGTAAAGCATGAGCGATGCCTTTATTCTTTTCTACTTGGTGAATTCCATATACCACTAGAGCTTCAGGTGTGCCCTGTAAAATATAAGAAGTACCCTGAGAAGTCAGACACACACATTCTAGCATTATTCCTGACCTCGTGTGTACCATTATTTTATTTCTTTGCTGGTTGTGTCAGTTAAAGTCAGGCAGGAAACAGATTCACACATTATTTCAGCAGGTTGAATGCAATATAGAGAATTGATTGAACAGATATTGCACAGAGCTGTCCACGTAGCTGCTGATGAAATCAAAGGCGATACTTGATGTGGGGCCCACAGGCATTTGTTACACAAAGCTCATGAGGCCAGGACTTTCATGGGTGGTACAGCCTTATTTTGTGTTTACATGCACAGGATCATAGTTATTTTAAGCAAACAGAATGATCATGCTTAAATGGTGCCTCACTTGTTAGATATAATTACTGCTAAGTGGTACCAGACTAGAAGATATGAAAACTTATTTTCTTGCTGTTGAAGCCTTGTGAATTGGATTTTTTAGCAAGTTTGGTAGATTTTAGCAAGTTTGGAAGATTTTTGCTTTGACTGCTTTTCTTGGCCTTTACTGACACCAATAACATCAAAGGGTTCATTTTAGACTGAAGAGCCATAGTTACAAGCACATTTTTCTGAGATGAAGAAAATAGATATATGTTTTCTGGGGGTATAATAAGATTAGTTTTTAACAAATTTGAAAAACTAACAAGTGTTCTAAAGAATTTCATATGGAAATGCCTGGAAGGCAAGTTGGGTTTACTAATAAGAATAGAACTCAAGCAAAAGTCTCTTCTGAAAATACAGACAAAGCTATTAGAGCAAATGAGGAACCTTAGAACACAATGAAGAATTTTTCCATATACAGAACAGTCTCTGTAGAACACAAAATATAAAAGCCAAGACAGAGAAATAGCTCATTTAGGAATGGAGGAGCAACTAGAAAGATTTTAAAAATCCCCAGACAGAGTTATGCCATGAAAATGAAGATGACTTTTCAATAATGCAGAATATAAATAACATTGCCCTAAACATCAAATACTGCACTGGTAAGCTATGTTCTGAAGAGGATTGACTAGATTCAACAATGAAACTATTGATAATATTGAGCAGTATAGGATAAATCCAGATTGTACTGGTTTGAGCCTGAATGCTAAATGAAGAAGAAAAGTCAATGAGAGCATTCTTTCATACAACTACTGTTTAAATTGTTACAATATGGTATGATTTGGGTCTGTGTCCCATCCCAAATCTCATGTTGAATTGTAATCCTGAATGTTGTAGGAGGGGGCCTGGTGGGAAGTGATATGGATCATGCGGGCGGACTTCCCCTTTGCCGTTCTCGTGATAGTGACTGAGTTCTCATGAGATCTGGTTGTTGAAAAGAGTGTAGCACCTCCCCCGCCTCTCTCTTTCTCCTGCTCCAACCATGTAAGACGTGACTCCTTCCTCTTTGCCTTCTGCCATGATTGTAAGTTTCCTGAGGCCTCCCCAGCCATGCTTCCTGTACGCCTGTGAAACTGTGAATCAATTAAACCTCTTTTCTTTCTTTTTTTATTTTGTAATTTATTTTAAGTTCCAGGGTATACGTGCAGGTTGTGCAGGTTTGTTACATGGGTAAACATGTGCCATGGTGGTTTGCTGCTCAGATCAACTCATCACCCAGGTATTAAGCCCAGCATCAATTAACTATTCTTTTTGATGCTTTTTGATGTCCTCCACCCTGAAAAGCTCCATTGTCCCCATTCATGTGTCCATAGGTTCTCATTGTTCAGCTCCCACTTATAAGTAAGAACAGGCAGTGTTTGGTTTTCTGTTTCTGTGTTAGTTTGCTGAGGATAATGGCTTCCAGTTCCATCCATGTCCCTGCAAAAGACATGATTTCATTCCTTTTTATGGCTGCATAGTATTCCACAGTGTCTATGTACCACATTTTCTTTTTCTTTTTTTTTTTTTGAGATGGAGGTCCTCTGTCACCCAGGCTGGAGTACAGTGGCGCGATATCAGCTCACTGCAAGCTCCACCTCCCGGGTTCACGCCATTCTCCTGCCTCAGCCTCCCGAGTAGCTAGGACTACAGGTGCCCCCCACCGTGCCTGGCTAATTGTTTTTTGTACTTTTAGTAGAGACGGGGTTTGGCCATGGTCTCAATCTCTTGACCTCGTCATCTGCCCGCCTTGGCCTCCCAAAGTGCTGGGATTGCAGGTGTGAGCCACTGCGCCCAGCCATACCACATTTTCTTTATCCAATCTACTACTGATGGACTTTTGAGTTGATTCCATGTCTGTGCTATTGTGAATAGTGCTGCAATGAACATACACGTGCATGTATCTTTATAATAGAATGACTTTGCATATATATCCCGTAATGGGATTGCTAGATCAAATGGTATTTCTGCCTCTAAGTCTTTGAGGAACTGCCACACTGTCCTCCACAATGGTTGAACTAATTAAATTACCCAGTCTCAGGTAGTTATTTACATCAACGCGAGAATGGACTAATACACAATAGTTTGAATATTAGTGGAGGAGAGAAAGAGTTTGTTTGGCATTGAGAGGGAAATATTAGCAAAAATGAAGAGATTTAGCAATTTGAACAACTTCACTAAGAATCTCAAAGCTTAACCTACGGTATTTTTGCAAAATGCACCTTTTTTCTATCAGAAACCATTCTGGGAATAAAAGTAAACTAGATTGTTATGATTTAGTGGAATTCTTGATGATGCGTTGAAGATTTCTTTACTAATTTTGTGATCTATATTAGTTAATTGATTTGTTTTATAAGATGAAGAATTAGAGCTGCAGATATAAACATTTAAAAGAAAAGCTTCCCAAAATAGTCCCTTTCATATTTTACTGAAAAATAAGAAGTCAAATTTACGTATTACATCCACTGTTTGTAAAGTTTCTTTAAGAGTTTCTTCAAAAGTCTGAAGATTGAAGAGTTCTGTTCCCCAAACTCCCATCCCACACTCTATCTTATAAAGTGCAGATCATAATGGATTAATTTATAATCAGTTTCCGTGGGAACATCTGGCCCTCATATCACCTGGGGTGAAATTGTGTTTCTCCTTCTTTTGCAAAGATCTTTTAAAGTAATGATCTCCTACTACAATCTCTTATGTCTCATTGGAAACATTGAGTAGGGGGCTCAACTGTTTTGTTATTGAAATATATAAAAAATAAGGCCTGCTAATTTTCTCCTGCATTTCTTCCATCATTATTTTATAAAATATAATTTCTCTCTTTGTCCAATCCCATCAGTAGCATACTTAAAGTTTATCAATAGGGAAATGTTCCCCAGTGCAGTGAGAATTAACATCCAGCAAGGAACTGAGCTCTGCCAATCGGAATTTAGCACTGGGTTTCTGGTGCAGTACCCTAACAAAAAAGTGATGAGGTGCAACAAACAAAGGTAGTGAAAGGGCTCCAAAAAGGACACAGTAAAATGTGAGGACAAAGGAAAAATCTTTTGCCCACAAGAAATCCTGACAGGGTTATGTAAGGATATAGGGATTAATGGGATGACAAATGTGACAACCTCCCTGGTAAGTAACAAGATATATTACATTAAAATATCCAAATTATGTAAATTGCTTTGACTTTATATCTTTTAGAAACCATAGATCAAAGCTTAATTGACTATAAATGAAAAACATTAAACGATGTCATATTGCTAAAGTAACATTTTCAAAGTCTAAGACTGTAACAATTGCTTTTGTTTTTCAATTTCAGATAATTTAAAAAAGAGTCAATGTAATATATGTGCTGTATTCAATCCAAATCAGAATTATTCAAGACTGTAAGATAAATGTGTAGCTCTACATGAAAGCATTATGATGAAAATAAATTAAGCCATTATACATAAGAATTTTAGATGATGGTTAAAAATTGCTATACCTCATCAGTTATATTTGGGGATACAAAAGGCCTTTAACCTAATTCTCAAGTCTCTCAATGGACTATACATTTTTTGATCTACAGACTCTAAAGAAACAATAAGAAGAAAATAATTTTTTTGAATATGTGCAACTTTCCCCCTAATTTTCACTTGTGGTAGAGCAAAATTGACTATTTAACATACAACTAAACTAAGAAATAATTTTTAAAAATTAATGCATTATCATTCAATGCAAAATTACATTTATTAAATTATTTGTCTCAAATTGTTTTGAAAATAGCTTTTCACATTCTATTTGTCTTTAATAAATTTTCAGCAAAATCATTTTCTAATAAATGTATAATTATTTTAAACAATACAGATTGGCAAATGTTCATATTACTTATCTCATTGTTAGTACTTGGATTCAACAACCATTTTTTCCCTTGTTATGAGGCATGGACTGTGTTGATGTTTCTTTTTTGTGGTCATCTCCTATGTAAAGATTATTTTGCTGCCAGTTTTAAAGAAAAGTAAGCAAAAATAAGATACAGTGCCACCATGACATTTTGGTTTTTTGTAAATGGACTAATTGCTAAACTAAACAGAGCTTATTATATTCATAAAAAATAAATCAAATACTAGCCAATTTTGTGACTTCAAGCCCTACTATGCCATATCACTGTGCTTTTTAATATTTAAGTACTAAATATCAAATCCCCATGTTACATACGGTGAGAAACCAAAACCTCCATGAATGGCCAAGAAGCTCACATTCCTCTTTTATTTCCAATGTTTGATTCCATTGAATCTGTATTTTTCTGCACAAGATAAATGTGTCTTGTCTCCTTCACTCCCCAAAAGAATTCAATTTACAGAAGCTGTGTCATTCTCAAAGCATACAACTCATCATGAGAGTCACCTTCCAATAGATTATGCTACTGATGAATATGGCTGATTCTACATAGGAAGTCAGACTCTATGGAACCCTGGATCTGCTAGAACCAACATCTGTGAACATGGGCGATTGACTTATATAAAGATCATGAAGACTCTATGAGTTAATACATGTGCATTATCTCATTGTGTTATTTTTTGTTCTGTTTGCTGGCACATTGACGCAGCCCCCCACACCAGCTGTTTCATGCATGTCTCAGAATCTTCCACCATTCTATTATGAAGAGAAAAATCTTTTATTTTGATATTTCTCCATAGCCCAGATGGTCATGACTTCAAGAATTTACATTAAACCAGTAGTCAGCAAACTTTTTCAATAAAGGGCCAGATAGTATTTTAGGCCTTGCAGACTATGTTGGAACTAAACAATTCTACTGTTGTAGCAGAAAAGCAACCATAGGAAATACAAAAATGCACGGGTTGGCTGTGTTCCAATACAACTTTACTAAAACAGGCAATAGGTAGATCTGGCTGATGTGTCACAGTTTGACTGTCCCTACACTAAATGAAGCATGAGCACGTTTAGTTGTGCAGACACCCATGGGACATGGTTGGCTGATTCTAGCATTAAAAAGGAAGACATCTTTTAAAAAAATTTTACTGTTATGGAATATCTTATACACGTGATTTTTGTTATATAAACGTTATATGCCATATACAGTAAAACAATGACAAAAATGAGTAATTGAGGATCCAATATCTGCATTATCCAGTAGATCATTACAACACTGTTAAATTCCTCTTGCCACTTTCCAATTGCATGACTCTTTTTTCCCACTCTTACTTATTCCAGAAAGAATTACTATTCATTCAGTATTTTATCATTAGTAGTTGATTCTCATTATTCCTGGTATTTATGTTCCATGAAGTCAGGTTGAACACTGATTACAGAATACTGACCAATGCTTCTGGGGGAAATATGTATGTGGGTACACACGCACACACACACACACACACACACACAATCTCACATGGATTATGATCTTAAACAGTAAAAATGACTCATCATTTTCCCTATTTTACAAAAAAGCTAACAATGTCCAGAAGTATTAAGGGACTTGCCTGAAGCTGCCCCACTAACAGGCACCAAAGTTGGGATTCAAACCCTTCCAACAGGCCCCAGAGCTGGAGCTTTTTACTCTACACTGCATTGCACTACTGTTTGCAACCTCCGGTCATCTTTGTATGAAAGCTGAGACAAGAAGATCCTGCCCTTCCTAAACCTCAGTTAGGAACATGTGCCTCAGTTTCTCTCAAATATTTTTTTGTTCTGGTCATGTCTGCAAATGACTGTAGAAAACAAATTTTAACAAATAGGCAAACTTGCAAATACTGACTTTTAAAAATAATGAGGATCAACGGTAGTCTTGTTAAATCAATATATATTTTCTTAATTTTATATAATCTTGATCTTCATGCAATTGATACCATACTGGATACATTTTTCTTTTTTGCAGTGTTGTTGCTAAGCCACGTATATTTCTGAGATTGGTCCATTTTGATTTGCATGATTGTGGCTCATCATTTATACTCCTGCAATTAAATTTAATGTTTAGATATATAATTTCTTTATGCATACTTCCATTTCAGGACATTAAGGATGTTTTAAGTTTCTTGATATTACAAACAATCCTGGTATAAATTTTGTTCATGACATTTGGTATATAAAATTTCTATGAGGTATATTAATTTTATTTATTCTTATTCACTTGATCATATTTTATCTTTAATCACTTTACGAAAGGGTAACATTAATGGTTTTTAACATATTAATCCAAACTTTCATACAAGGGATAAAACTAATTTAGCTATGATCTTTTAGATTTTAAAACATAGCCTGGTTCAGTTTTCCAATTCATTGCTTAAATACGTTGTATCCATGTTCATGCGTGTGAGTTGTTGTATAGTTTCATTTTATTTCTAGGTGTCTTATTCTTTCCTTTTAAAATTTATTTTTATTTTTAAAATTTTATTTTAAGTTATGAGATACATGGGCAGGACGTGTAGGTTAGTTACATAGGTAAACGTGTGCCATTGTGGTTTGTTGCACCTGTCATATAGTATTCTTATTACATTTGTTTCTTGTCTAGTGTTAGTAAAATGCCTGCTAAAACTAGATAAGTGTTCTCCATTTTACTATGCTTTGTAAGGTTTGTGCATTTATTCCTGGAAAATTTGGTAAAATTTCTCTTTTTTTGGTAAAAATGTCCTGTTAAAAATATGCTCTAATATATCATTTCTTCTCTCGTTTAATATTCTTTCTAAATGATAAATTTATTCTTCCTTTATTTTCTATGATAATTTGTGAATGTATATGATCTTTTTCAATTTTTTGGTGTTTTCTTTGAAATTTTACTATAATCTATTTAACTTCAGAAAACAATCAAATTTTATATCTGACAATAAAATATATTGGAATGCTTTGATATTCATCCTCATTATAGGCCTGCGCATTATCATGATCCAACAATTTGATATTACTACTATTTTTTGACAGAATATATTTGTTTAGGTTATATAGCTATCTAAGTTTATATTTGCCTGCCATTTTTTTATTGCTTCTCAGTTTTAGATATGCTTTCCTGTTTTGAAATGCATCCCGAGTGTCTCTCTGTGTGTAAGTGTGTGTGTGTTTTTGTATATATATGTATATATGTGCATACATACATACGTGTATAGATATTCTTTTTTGGGAGGATTTGTTGATGGTAAATTTTTTCGGTCTTTGTTTATCTTGTTCTTTAAAATCAGTTTGCTGAGTACAAAACAACATGTTGTACACAATAAGTATATACAATTGCTGTCAGTTTAACATTTTTAAAATAGAAAGAAAATGAATGATATGATTCTTCAAAAAAAAAGTTTACTATGTACATAATTAAAAAATGATGATTCCATTTTCCTAACACTTTGCACATATTTTTTCACTGATTTTTAGGTCTTATTTTTGCTGTTGCAAAGTCTAGGTGTAATTTTAAGTTTTTTGCTTTATTTTGTAGATGATTTTTTTTTAACTTACTGCCTGCTGTGTGGATATATATTTCATTAATCCCATTTTAAATACAATGTTTCTGAAGTTTAGGCTTCATGTCTTTCATCAATTCTGGAAAATTCTTAGCCATTATTCCTTCAAATATATCTTCTCTACCATTTTTACGTTAGGTTTTCCCCAAACTGTTATGAGAATAATATTAGTCTTCATTATGTTCACCATATACTGTAAACCATTTTCTGAAATTTTCAGATCAAATTTCAGTTCACAAATTCTCTTTCATTTTGTCTAATCTCCAGATTAACTCTACAATAAATTTTAGTTTCATTAATGTGTATAAATATATATATACATATATACATATATTAAATGGATCTTTAATTTTCTTTCATTTTTAATAAGCTCTTGTTTCTTTTCTCATTGATGTTTTCAACTGTTATTCATTTACATATCACATACATAACTTTTATATTTTAATGCAACATTTGAATATCTTAAATCTTGTGATTTTAACATTTTGATTGTTTCTTTTTTCTCCTCATTCTTCCCTGGAATACCAGGCCAAGACTACAGTTAGGTGAATGAGGCATTTGCTCTGCTTGCAAAATATAAGGGCCCGGGTTACTTCATTATTAAATAAATAATACTTTAATATAGTGTTTTCAAAAAATCAAAATGAATGCAACATTTCATGATAAAAATTATCAAAATTTGAATGAAAACAGAATCTGACCTTGTACTTGCACAAGTCACCTCATTTGTCTCACCTTAATCAATCTGGGCACATCCTCTCTTTAACTAAAATTTTGATATTTTTATCATGGAATTTTGCACAAATTTTGAATTTTTAAACACACTATATTCAACTATTATTTATCTTGATGATGGAGAATTTTGGACCCTTTTATTTTGCACCTGAGGTGAGGGCCTCATTCACATTGTCCTCCCGGGCCCTGATATGATAATTTATTTGTTTCTGTTTTTAATTTTTTTCTAAATTCCATTTAGTTGAGTTTAATGTGTGGAAAACCTGAGGAGTTTGAATGGTGAGTAGGTGTATCCAGAGAGGATAAGTATATGTGTCTGATCTTCCTGAACATACAGTTAACATATATCCAAACACCACACCCAATTGAGGGAAAAAAATATAGGTTATAAATTCCAGCAGAAATGGTAAGTTTTTACCTTTTTTTTCTACCCAATTTAAAGAGGATATCACAGGTTTTTTATTGTCTTTCTATAACTCAGATAATGAATTTTGCGTTTCAATTCATCCTTTGAAAGTGAATGACTCTTCTCAGTTTTGTGATGGATTTTGATTTCATTCTCATCCATCCTTCCTCGCCCTTGGCTTTGCTGTGAGGCCAATATCTTTAAGTTTTTTGTTCCCCAAATCTCCTAGTTTTTGAAACAAACATTTGTCCTTCAGCTTCCACTTCCCACTATGGTTTAAATTGTGTGTGGGAGAAGGTATGTGATTGTGTGTGGGAGAAGGTATATGTTTGTGTGTGTATGCTTTTGAGAGGTCACCTGATTTCTCATAACCTTGGCAATGTAATTTAATATATAGTTACGGCAATGTCTTAGTCCGCTGGTGACGGACAACAGAAATTGTTTCTCATAATTCTGGAGGCTGGGAAGTCCAAGATCTAGGCACCAGCAGGGTCAATGCCTGGTATGGACCCATTTCCTGGTTCGTAGATGGCATCTTTTCTTCGTCCCCTCACATGGTAATGAGGCAAAGCAGTCTCACCTACGTTGGATAGAGACAGTGTTTAGATTTAAGTCACATTTATATCCTCTGAATTGGGGGAAAGCACCAGGGCAATTGCAGAAGCTGGCAAGGACCCAGTCATAGCATCCCCAAGAGTTGCAGGAATTTTGTTTGCCATGCATGGCAGTGCAGCTGGAGCCAGAGGAAGCCAGGGGCGTGTCCTGTGTGGCGCCACCCAATGGACTAATACAGAAAGGTAAACATTATTGAAAGAAGAGGAAAAGGCGATTGTGATCGAATAGCTTATGAGTTTATGCATGCATTGGATTCTAATAGACTCATGCATCTCCCTTTCCCTTTCTCATTTTGAAATTCAGGAAAATTTGATTTCCTGTTTGTCTTTGGTTACCTCACAGTGTTTCTGCTGTGAATTTTGTTCAGTCTCTTTCTTCTATGGATTTTAATCTGAATTCATGTTCTTAAAACACAGAGGAGTTATAAATAATCTCTTTTCTCTTGGAACTCTTTACAGTACACAATTCTTCTCATTTTAAATGTTTTACTACCTAATTTCTGCTAAATTACCCGTCTTAGCTCTAGCATTTGCTAACTGTGCATTTGGGCAAGTTATTTAACATTTCAGCATTCTACCTGTAAAATAGAGAGAATATAACCTACTTCAATAAGGGCATTTTGGAGTTAATTTTGGGAAATAATCTGAGGCCTACAGAAGGCCGCAATAAATATTAACTTTAATCTGTAACAAACATTTGTTGACTACCTGTTATGCTCTAGATATTCTAGAACATTGAAATATATGATTAAAGAACAGATCTTAATGCAGCACAAAATTTGGTGAAGATGAAGTGTGAGAAAGACCGTAATAAATAAATATAATATATTTTAAAATATTAAATATGTTAGAGGGTATTGTTTGCATAAAAAGCATAAAAGATTTAAGAGGGCTTTGGTGTGACTGGCGAAAGAATGATTTTGTATTATAACATAAGATATTCTGGTCGGATAATACCTTGTTGAGAAGGAGGTCTTTGATCAGAGAATGGAAGGATATGATGGAGTAGCTATGAAGATATGAAGAAGCATTAAATTCTAATCAGGAGAAACAATGTGCCCAAAGCCTTTACTACTTGCAGTGTTTCAAAATAGCAAGAAAACTTGGCTAGAGCAAAAGAAGAGACATGAAAGTGGCACAAAAAAGGTCAGTGAAGGAAAGTATCAGATTCTAGGGCTTTGATGACAGTTGTGAAAGTTTTGACTTTTACTCTGAATAAAATTAGGACCTGGTAGCAGTCAGGGATTCCCTGAGAGACAGAACCAATAGGATGTATGTATATGTATGTGTACATGAGTGTGTGCATATGTGTGTGTTTGTGTGTATGTGTGTATAAAGGACTCACACAGTTATGGAGGCTGACAAGTTTCAAGATCCGTGGTTGGCATGCTGGAGGCCCAGGAGAGCTGATAGTGTAAGTTGCAGTCGAGGCTAACAAGTTTCAAGATCTGTGTTTGGCTTGCTGTTGGCCCAGGAGAGCTGATAGTGCAAGTTGCAGTCCAGGCTGACAAGTTTCAAGATCTGTGGTTGACTTGCTGGAGGCCCAGGAGAGCTGATGGTGTAAGCTGCAGTCCAAAGGCTGGCAGGCTCAAGTCTCAAGTAAAGCCATTGTTTCAGTTCTGGTCCGAAGTCAGGAGAAGACCCAAATTTCAGCTCAAGCAGTCAGGGAGGAAAAGTTCTCCCTTATTTGGCTCATTTCTTCTATTCTGATCGTCAGTTCATGGGATGAGGCCCACCCCACATGAAGGAAGACAATCTAATTTTCTCAGTCTATAAATTCAAATGTTAATTTCACCCAGAAACACCTTCACAATAATGTCACAATAACATTTAATCAAATGGCTGGGCACTTCATGACCCATCAAGTTAAAACATAAATTTAAACATCACAGATTTTTAGGAATTTGAGCCAAAAGGTAGCATAATTTGTCTTTGTTAAAAAAATAAAATTCTCTAGTGATGTGTTATAAATCAACTGAAAGGGAGCAAGTGTTGAAGCAGGGAGGTGTTTTAGGAGGGTATTAGTAAAAATGTCAAGGAACAGTGCAGGAGTGCCTGCTGTGGAGCTGGCAAGGGGTGATAAGAATCTTAATAGATTTTGAAGACAGAGCCAACAGAATTTGGATATGGGTTGTGAAAGTACTAAAAGAGTCAAGGATAATGCTAAAGTTTTTATTTAGAAAATGCAAGGATGAAGTTGACCATTTGACATGATCTGGCTTACTGTAGCAAGGAGGTAAGCAGATTTGGATGGGAAGAGAACAAGTTTCATATTGGCCACCTTAACATGAGATGTCTGATAGACACTGAAGTTATTTTTCATTTATTTGAGACATTTGTTAATAACAAATTAAATTTTGACTCTTCCAAGAAGTTTATCAATTTTCATAGATACTCAAAAGAAGATGCAAATGTAAAAAATGTTTAACTATTCTTAGGTAGTGGGAACATATTTTCAGGGGGTGCTGTATCTGAGCATTTGCAAATCATGTCACGTATTCAGCAACCTAGTTTGACTTTACAAAGCCTTGACTTACAGTCTTCCCTGAGCACACAGCTATATGCTGGGAAGCAGGAAGGAAAGAACACAGACCAGATAGCTTTCAGTGGTATATGAATCTCTCTGACTTCGCCCCAAACTGCCTTTCCAGCCTCATTAATCATTTCCTCTGGCGTTTTTCTCCAACATTTCAGTTACTTCTTAGTAGAGTCTTTTTCCTACCCCATGTCTTTGCAAGGCTTATCTTTTAGTCTGAGAAGAGCTAGTCTCCCAATTTTCAACTCTCAAAATCTTTCATTTGAAAAATTTAAAACAATTACCCTTCCCTCTATGAAGATTTTTCTGATGTAAAAAAAAGAGGACTCTTTCACTGTGTCTTCATCACACTTTTTGAAGGTAGTGATTATTTAAAAACTTCTGCTGTGTATTATAATTTGCTATTATACGCTTTTTTTTAATACTGTGGTGTTACTGTGAGCATATGAATGATGAAAAATGTTATTACGAATATTTTTTAAAATATTCCAACACCTTGTGCGTAACAGGTGCTTAATGTTGTAGGATTATTTTCATTAATTTGAAGAAATAGAGTATTTCAATAGCAATGGATCATCCAATAAAGACTGTAGCCTTTCACAATAAGTCTATTGTTTTAGGCAACTCTTTACTTTAAAAGTCATTGTAACTTGTCCCCCGTCAATGCTTGGTACCAAAAAAATATAGAGACATCCATGTTAAGTATCAGTTGTCATACTCAAACTCATTTTCAACATTACGTGTGTATTTTAACTTCTTGCTATCAGATATTGACGCATTATAATTATGCAGTCAGAAAAAATCACATATATATCACTGACCACTTGAGTATACCAATTAAATTATGCATTTATTCATGGGTATAGACATTATTTAAAACCAATAAAGTTCATATTATGAAGCAGGAGCATGCAATTTGTATAATTAAGCTGTGGAAGGACAGGAAATTGGTTTTTAACAATTTCTAATTTGCACTATCTTTCCCATGTGAATAATCAATATCATATTTAGAATTGTTTATAGCTTCCCCAATTTATAGTCTAACCAATACAGAGATTAATTGAATGCTTACCTCATTCTCTTCATTTGCATTGTTACTAGTTATGGAACTATGGGCCATCACTATTAAGAAATAAATGAATTATTCAAAATATCATTATAATTAAATGTGTTTAAACAGGAAGAAAATATTTAATAATTGAATGATTTTTCAAAATATTGGAACAGTATAATTTTTATGATTCCTTAGACATCAGAAATAAAACATAATATTATATCACTTACTGAGTCATTCATTTGACAACCTAAACTACGCAGTTTTTAGCCAAGTATAAGAAAAGTGAAAAAACGTTGTCTAACCAGACAAAATTAATGTCATAAAGTCTATGTAGTAAAACTGATACACTTTTTTTGTTTTTGTTTTGTTTTGTTTTGTTTTGTTTTCAAATTTCTCAGTCCTTGGGCAGAACCAACTCACTCTTACTTAGCTACTTTTCTGACTCGGTTATTTCCTAATCCATTATAGAATTAGAATATATCGACAGTAGAGAGAGGCCAAAGAAGAAAAAGGGTTGACAGTCATGAGAATAGAGTCCAGACAAAATCACAAAACAAAGACTTCTGAAACGTTTCTGCATCAGAATATCAGATAATACTCTTATCATCCATATTATTTTTAAAGACGTAAATCTTTATTGAGCACATATGTATGGTATTATAGTTAATCTTCACAATAATTATATTGTAGGTAAGGGAACTGAAGCTTACAAAGGTTAAAATAATTTTCTATATTGGTTTGGATTATCTACATATGTGACTAAGCTGGGCTAAGGATCTTCTCTGAAAAGCAATAGTGTCATCACCTTGAAAACCCCTGGAGAGTCAGTTTGAGATGGTGAAATGTTGGGGTGGATTCCTGATGACAATGATCTGTTCAACCATATTTCCAAATAGAGCAAAGATTCTGAAGCAGGATTCTTAACTTTTTAATAGGATACCTATTAAATGCCTGGTTTGTGATAATCCAGATACTCAAAGCTGTGAAAAATATTATATTCATGAAGGAAAATGGGACTGGGTTTTCACTGAATAAACTGAGAAGGAAGGCTATGTTCATCCACAGGTAAACAAAGACTGAGCATTATTCACTGAAATGGAAAAATGTACATTATAAATTGGATCTTTAAGTATAAAGAGGTAATAAAGAGTCCAAAGAGCTGCTGACAATATTACTATTTGTTTTTAAAGACATCATAATCTGTGGAAATTTAGACATTATAAAACATGAAAGAATAACTATAATTATAAACTCATTCATAAAGGGGAGAAAAAATGGTAATGTTCTGTCACAGTTGTATTTTCTAGAAAATTTTGCAAAGGAGCTGATAACAAACACAAATATTGTGAAATGAACAGATATTTTAAAATCAACATAATAGCTAATGTAAGTAATCCTGAATCAAAGAAAATAAGAATAAACTCCTATTTGAAACTTATATATTTTTTTATTTCCCACCACGCCCCCTCTTGAAACTTATATTCTTGATTTCAATAACCTTAGCTAGATTTTTCTGGTTCGTTCACTCAGAGTCTCTCTTTCTCTCTCTCTCATCTATTAATTCATCCATCCATCCAACATTCCATCTGAATTTTCCAAAAAATATAAAGTAATTGTTGTTTTTCATTGATCTACATTTACTGTAGTTTTTCAGCACTTGTTTGCCCTTGAATCCTTACATCTACCTCGGCTACTTTTTATTACTTTGCTATGTAATATGGGATTACTGGGGCCGTGTTCCTTTGCAATTATAGTTGTCTGATGTCCTGTTAAGTATGACCTGTGGAAGGGATCCATGGGAGATTGTCAGTCAGTGTTAGAATATGAGATTGGATTACGCATTACGTGGATTATGTGTGAGTGGTACTGTCTACTTTGTGGATGCAATCTGTCCCAGATAAACCCACCATCTTTTCTACCAACTCTTGTCTGTCCTGGGTCCTGGATCCTGATAAAACTACCTCCTCCTTTTATGCCTCCAGCCTAGGGGTTATAGCGGCCACTGATATTGCTAATGTTTGGGCTATTCTGCTCTCCTAAATTTAGATCTTAAGCTTTTCTTTCAGTTGAGTAACCAATTATCTGCATTACTCTGTTTAAACATTCAGTTGGTCTCTGTTATCTGATTCGACTCTGGTTAACACAGCAACCTCAACATTTTATCTCTTTACTCTAAAATGTTGTTTTGGATGCAGTGTGAATAAAAAGGGTAATGGTAGAGTCTATTTTCTCTTTGGTATAAAAAGGCTCTGGCTCTGTCAGCTGAGTTTTCTCTACTCTCCTGCCTCTAAGGAATTTATTTCCAGACAAATTTTTATCATGATAAAAATAGGAACAGAGCTATTCCATTAGATGGGGAAGGATGTTGTGAGATCATTTTAGAGAATTAAGTGTATGTGTAGCTGTTGCATAGGCAGGAAATAGATGATAGAGAAAAAATGATTAATTTTAAGAAATATTACTATGTTTTACATTTATAGTGTTCAAAAACGCAAAATAAGCACAGAAAAGTTATATTAAAATGAATGTTTCTGGCACTGTGTGTCTTTGAACATAGGTATCACATGAAGTGTTCAAAGGAAACAGGAGCTGTTGCTTAAAATGGAAGTAGTGATGGTTTATTGCAAAAACCTTTCCTCTTTTTCTTCTGTGTTGTCTTTCTTCCCTGGGTTGGTTCCTATACACTTTTTCTCAATTTTGTTATTCTAAAACTGGAGTGAGTTTTACTTAGAAATTCTGAAACTGAAATTATGGTTGATTCTAAAAATGCATTTAGCAATCATATTAAAAGGTGACATTATGTTATGCTAATTATATGACAGATGGTGGTATACATTACTCATAAATATTATCTCATTAAATCCTTGCAAACGTGAGCTCAGCAACATTATTTATCCCTATTTCATAGTAGAAGAACAGGTTTAGTGGCCAATTTGGGACTCTTTATTCTGATTTCAGATCCTAATCTTTAAATGATTCGGCCATATGTAAAATACAGGACTTATTGAATGTTATGAATAGACATGTATACAATTAATTTACTAATTATCACTTTTCAGATAAAGGTAGTACAACTTGAGAGTGATGACTTGTAAGTACATCATTAATAGCAAATGGAAGCCAATAGCTCCTTAGCTCCTATGTGTAATAGAAACAAATTTTATGATAAAATCTATTTAGAGTTTTCCAGAGACAAACATTTAAAGAAAGAAATAAAAAGAGACAGAATTCACAAGCATAGAATTAGCTGAATGATTATAACTGATTATTTTATGGGAGATTTCCCTACAGAAAAAAAATACTTGTTTGACTTAAGTATAAATAAGTTTGCAAAGTAATTTTATTGTGTATCACTTCCTTTGGAGTCTAAACACAGATCACGGTTTATGCATAAAATCTTAAATAGTCACTTTTTATTTTTCTGAATTTGTTTACCCCAGTGATTTTTTACACATATCATTTATTGGTAAAAATAAAACACACTAGAAAATTATTATTGACTCAAGATGAGAAATGTACATAAATCCTTGACATTTTTCTGGGATTATGTTTCATGCTGAGTTAATGACCCAATAATTTAGAGTGATATTTTCATAACCATGTAGTTAAAATACCTGAAATCTGAGATACAATGTGCGCTCAATAAAAAAATCTATGCCTTCATTGTTGGAGTTAGAGTAGGATTTTATTTAGAGTTGGTTTAAGGCCCCCTTATCATGTCTGCTTCTGGTCCTGTCTTTCTGCTTAGCGACTGTTTTTTGCGTAAGATACATACGCTGTTCCTCCTACTCATCTCTGTCTGTTCTTCCCTTTCTGCCTAAATAAAACCCAGCTTAAAATCCTTAGGGGAAATTTGAGAGTCTCTTTTATAGTTGAGTTTTATGCTTATTTATCCTTCTCTCTGATTGTCATAGTTAAATACATGTAATTCCCACTTATTGAGACATTATTTAACCAACAATCAAAAACTGGGACAGCATCAAAAATTTCTAAAGAAAGATCTGCCAGTGTTTTCATTTCCAAATCTACAATATCAGAGACCCAGGAGCCAGAAGGAGCAACATGGTACCCAAACACCATTTAAAGGGTTTATTTTGGAAATGTCCTTCCAACCCTGCTCAAGTATTGGACTGTTGTGTTCTGATTCACCTTGTGAATATTTCTTAGTTTGTCCTCCAACTTGTTCATGAACTAGTTATGGGTTTGTGTCCCCTAAAAAGGAGTTATAAAATCTCCTTGTATATATAAACTCTTATAAGCAAGTTAAGGTGAGGTCATTAAGTCATTAATTCAATATGGCAGGTGTCCTTATAAGAAAAGAAAAATTTATGCACAAATATACACAGAGAAAAGACGTTATGTGAGGACAGAAGATGACCACATGAAGGCAGAGACTGGAGTTATACTATGCATGGAAAGATTCTCCTACAGGTTTCTGGAAAGCATAATTCAGCCAACATCTTGATTTTTGGACTTCTAGCTTCCAAAACGGTAAGATGGCAAATTTCTGTTACGTCACCTAGTATATGGTACACTGTTCCAGCAGCACAAGGAACTATATAACCCTTGACTTTGAGCACGCAACATATACAATTTTATTAATATACTCTATCTCGAGTTTGACAACCCTTCAGTTTTTTTCAGTGGGTTTGTCTCTGCTGTTACAAGTATACTAACAACAGTGCACGTAGCTCCAGCAGTTGGCATAGTCCTTGTGTCATGAATATGGATACAAAACATTCATTCACTGAATCTCATGAATTTCATTCTTAGATTGACCTTCATGTCCTCATTATTGCTCTACTCTATTTTCATATCCAACTGTAAGAAAATTAGTTCTTCTGATTCCCCTGTTCCATAGGTGATTAGAAGCAGCAAATTGAGTGGGAAGGAAGGGATTCAAGAAGTGCAGCCGGAATAGGAATTATTACGTAGCCACAAAGTGAGAAGTTTAAAACCTGTCTTAGAATGTAAATTATGTTACTAATAACTTTCTAGAGATTGGGAATTTTACTTTCTCCTTCCCTCATTTGTTAAATAGAAAACCACAGCACCATTGTTCTGACAATTAATGATGTAACATTTGACAAATAACCAGCTCAACTAGGCATATAGTAGGAATTTACTGTCAATTTGGTTATTACTCTTTTTATTTCAGAGGGTACACCAGTCTAGCATCACTAAATATAAGAAGAAAGCTTGTTCCTACCTTTTTCTTCAGTGCTATAATTGCTAAGCATGAATTTGACCTTGAATCTTTAATAAATAATTAAATTATCATTAGTAATTAGTAGGAAATTATACAACTGATTTTGGAACTTGACATTCATTTATATTCATAGGAGTACATTGGAACCATCACATACCCAATATTTCTGTTATGAAATCTTCTTAAACACTCTGTTAGTGAAATAAATACTACCTACTTCAATTACTTAGACTGTTTTCTAGTTGGTGTATCCTTGCTCTGTAATGTTTTTCAGAGTTGGTAAATTTAATTTTTGTGTTCCTTGCATTAATTCTAAATTTTATATTCCAAATGGAAGTGTGTCCAGTGTAGTATTACAAAGGCCAAAGCTTCAGATGCAAAGTAAAAATAAGAAATAAAAACAAGTTTCTCGAATTAACTTTTTTTTTTCAATTTATCCTAACTTTGAAAATGGGAATAGCATTCTCTATTCTGCTACTTCCTAAGAGTTCTAAATAGGTGCACCAAAAAATAAATCCACTAGGCATTTATACAATGCTTCTAACTTATATGTATTTGAGTTACAAGTGCTTTATAAATATAAACAGTAGCATTAGTATATAGATATGACCAGTGTAGTCTTTTTTAATCAAATATTTAATTAGTGTTAAAATTTAAACATAAAGTAACCAAGATCTAGATTTATTTGATTTTTTTACCATAGTCACAATATAATTTTAATTTCTCTTTGGATTTACTAACAAGCTTCAAGGAAGATTTTATACAGAGACTGGCCTGAAATCATAGTGTAAACATTAATTCATTTATTCAATAAATATTTATTCAGTGCCAGACATTGTACTAATTGCTATGAATAGAGTGGCTAGTAAAAAAGATCTTATTTTCCCTTGCCCTTCAGAGCTTACAATTGACCTGAGGCAAATTTGTCATAGGCATTTGTTTTATTTTCTCTTTCAGAACCCTTCTATCAATTCCAGTTTCACTGATGACCCCATCATTCCCTTACTTGACTCAACTTTGCTCTCCTTAAATGACAATAATTTGACTAGAGAGTAGACTCCAGTTTTTATTAATAAATTTATTATTGATATAATTCCAATGTAATAAGAAAATCTGGAAAACAAAATAAAAATCTTAATGAAAAATTCAAAAAAATGTTTTTTAACAACATGGGAGAAAGTTGGAATAAAAAGACCTGTAATAAGTATATATTTCAAAAATACCTATTCTAAGTACACTTAATACTAATTAAATGTAGAACTTGAGAATGAGCTTATTAAATTAGGTAATAAATTTACTATTATCAAATGAAGACTATGAGTAAACAAAATAAGCCTCCAATATTTATCCTGATTTCAACTTTTTGAATTCATGTGAATTCTCTTCTAGAAATTATGTTTTATTGAAATGAAGGAAGAGAAGAAAATATGTTGTCAGTGCTGCCTTCACGAAATGGGAATAACTTCCCTGCCATCACTACCACTGCCAACAAAGAAATAACTCTCAACAGTTCATTCCGTTAAAGAGTTGAGAATCTAATATTTTATTTCTATTGAAAACTGTTCCCTACTGATTCATTTTGTGAATTAAAAACAAATCACTCAAGAATAATTTGTATTTACATGCTGCCTTTCTTCTGAGAAGCTAAAAAGATTTAATTTTTTTCTACTTCAGTATTTTTTAAAGGTTAAAAAAATTATATTGCCAACCATTGCCCCATAATGTTAAAAATGAAAGCCTTTAAACCATTTCAATCAGTTCTGATAAATAATGCTAGATATAAAATACTATTATTAACTACACATTGATCAGAAGTTCCCATCATTAAAACAATAGCTTCAAAACTTAGAAATTTTTACTGCTGTTTTGAACAGTAGAAGTGTTTAATTAGAAAGAAGGCATGGATTTTGAAACTTCAAAACTGAAATGTCAGATAGTTACAGTAAATTTATACGCGAATAAACGCAAGAAGGAAATATGTGCATTCTACTTACCACTACCCAATATTTGTTCCTCACTGCCTATTCTATTATTTTAATGCATTGCATTATTCTTTCGGTAAAGTGTTCACTTAACTGACTGCTATGTTTTAAACAATTTTGAAAATGTGATGAGATGTCCATTCCTCATGCTGTCCAGGTGTTCCAGCTGATTGTGATGGCTTAAGTGAACACAGCAGCAGGGAGAGACGCTGTAGGGAGTAACACTAATCGTAGGAGACCACAAAGCCCAATGTAACTGCCTTTTTTTCCCTTCATTTTTTCTATTAAATTAGTCATTGGTGTATTCATAATTCTCAAGGAAAGAGGACTTTTATTCAACAATATTTATTGAGATACCCCATGAAACTTTCCTTTTTAGTCTACCTACAAATCATCAGTTGATTGTGGCACATCTTAAAATGTAACATGGCTCATTGCAGCCTCAAATTGCACTTGATTTTCTTCTTTGATTGTTTGAAACTTTTAGATCTCCTGAAGCATAACACAATGAAACCATTGTTTTTATCCATCACAATTAAAATGTCTACTCTTTTTTAAGGGAATAATTTAGGCCAGACCCTTCACCAATGTTTCAGGTTTTGGTTTTAATTTTAGAATTCATGTTGAAAGACAAAAACGTAAAATATCCGTAAAAGATGCAATTAGATGTTTTATTTACTGAGAGAGAGGCTGTCTAAACAAAACCTAAATCTCACTGTAGCTATAAGGTTGAACCATCCCAATTCATTGATTTATAAACATCTAGGGTTTCTTTCTTCCAATAGCCATCATTACAACTCTCTTGGGTAAAATAACATTTGGCGGCTCTTTAGTGACATCTGGGTTGGATGCATAGCTTTTGCATCACTCATATCTCATTATGATAATTAAGACACATTCTCCTCATTTTATTTTGTTTTTAATTTAATGTCAATCTGTATTTAAAGCTTGATTTCTCCTCTCCCTAATTACATACTGAAGTGGAGTTCATGGCTTTTCAGAATGGATGAACGAAGAAAGACTTGGACTATAAAATGAACACTACATCCTCTTCTAATCACTGGCTCCTCCATTCGTTGTGATGAGGGGTAGGGAAGAGGATGGAAAGAGCAAGTATTTCTTTACTAAACAAGGTTAGAAGCATGCTTCCTTTCTGGTTGATGGTCCTGTGTCCTGGCTAACACTGCGTGGCACTCAGTATCTTCTCTGAGGTAAGCATTTGAACACCAACTCTCTCGTGGTGCTTGTGTGGGTAGTTCAGAGAAGTTCAACAAGTACCTTCTCACTTCAACATTCCCTTGGTTTTTGAGATTTAATCCTGCTAAACCTAACTCCTACATCTGTCTACATTTTCCCAGCCAGTGCTAGTGGCCAGTCATCTTCCTGTTTGAAATGCTTGTTCTCCAGTGCCGTAAAGAAATAGCACTTGAACATAAATTTAATTTTCTCAGCAAGGTCATTTTTATATTTTCTGCATAAAGAGTACAATCTCCAGCAGTTTTGCCATGAGAGTACACCAAACAAAGGAGACAGGGTCATTTATAATCCGGCACATCCACCCTACTGCTGTGTCTGGTTTCCATTGGCTGCAATGGGACCTCACATTCTGTATTTGTCCAGATTGGCGAGCAACTTAGAACCTTTTAAAACAGGCAAAGGCAAAGGAGAACAAAGGAAGGAGGGAGTAACCTGTGGAATGCTGAGAAAGTTAAAAACACCTTCAAATAAGGAAGAGGAACAGGGTATGACCTAATGCTTGCTTGGACCAGTATAAGCAAGCCAGGGCAAATATTTAGGCTAAATTGTGGGAACCAAGAACATAAAGTACATTGATTTCTTTATTACGGCTAGCAGATATTTAAGAATGTTAGCACAGGTCTTTGAATAAATTTTGCTTCAAGAGAAGTTACTATTTATTCCTAATTAGACAGGGAGGAAAGTCTTTAAAGAGGAACCTCACTTTACTTTTTACATTCCCTATGGTCTTTTGATGCTGAGTCCCCTGACTGATATTTTTAATGGAAGGCATGGGCTAAATGGCTCAAGTCCAGATCACCACTTCAGAGTCCAGTCACTCACTAACATATCAGTAGGTCTGTTGACTAAACAGATACACAACCTAACAGCCAAATATCAGTCTTCCTGCAAGCTCGACTAATCTTTACAAGGGATTCTCTTAAAACAGCCCCCAGATCTCTCTCTCTCTCTCTCTCTTTCTCTGTCTCTCTCTCTCTCTCCCTCCCCTGCCAGGAACACTGTATTCCCTAAACGGCTTCCACATCATTCTTTTCATTCTCTTTTTGAATGAAATGAGGCCACTGTGATTAACTGTGTTGATTTTACTAAATGATTTATATGATTCTGATCTACTGGGATAGTAGGCCTCTAGAGCACACTATTCTTAGAACTCAAGACTGATTCTGCAAATATTTATTGAGCACTAATAACGTGGAAAGAATTACTAGCAAAAAAAAAGCATACAACATTTTACTCTTAGGAATGAAAAGTCCTGTGGAAAAAACTATAGCAAATAAGGAAAAGGATTTTGGAGGAAGTGGGTTTTAGAGGCTTCAATGGTGATGATGGTATTTTTTAAACCAAGATAGTTAGTGGGACACTTGCTGAGAAGAGAATATTTGAGCAGAGACATGATGAAGATGAAGGGTTAAGCTATAGAGATATTGGAGTGGAAGTAGGGGAGAGTGTCCCAGACAGATGGAAAAACAAGTGCAAAGGCCCTGAGGCAAGAACATGGTGACTTGGTCAAAAAGCTAAACATAGTATGGAAGTATTTCCTGCTACTCATTTTCAAATTTTTGTTCCTAGTTAACATCATGCTGTTCCACAATATTAAGGCCAAATCAGTGTTAAACTATTGTTGGCATGTCTTGGCTTGGGCTAATATAACAAAACTATCATAGACTGAGAGGCTGAAACAACAAAAGTTGATTTCTCACAGTTTTAGAGGCTGGAAAGTCTCCAGATTAAGGTCCAGCAGATTCAACATCTGGTGAGATCCCATTTCCCAGCTTGTTGACAGCTGTCATCTTGCTGGACCCTTACATGCCAAGAGGGAGATTATCTCTTCTGTATTTATTTTTACAAGGGCAATAACCCCATTTATGAAGGCTCCACCCTCATGAGCTAATTACCTCCCAAATGCCTCACTTCCAAATACTGTCATTTCAGAGATTATGTCTTCAACATATACATTTTGGGGGAACACAAACATTCAGTTCATACCAGGACATGACAAAACCACTTGAGCAGGATTCTGTAGTCACATTAATACCAAACTGTATTCTCTGTGACTTTTTAAATATAGGAACTTATCATTAAAAAAAAATCCCTACTGCTTAGTATACAATAGATGTTAATAATTGCTAAATGAAAGAATCAAAACCATTTATTAGAGATAGAGAATTTGTTTTATGAAAATAAGCAATTTGGCTATTTTTCTCATCCAGTTTCTACAACTGAATTTACTTTTGAGTTCCTGTTTACTGCCATGTTTCTAGTAACCTTCCCCAGTAAGTACTTGGTAATATTTTCCTTTGGTAGGTGCTTACTAATTTTCTGGCAGTATGAAAATCACTATACTTATAATTTTAATCTTAACATTAGTTTGTTTTAAACTCTTCTAAATAAAGAACAATGAAGTTTTGAGAAATAGTTTTCTTGCTGAAGGTCATAGCAGTTAGTGTTGGGAAGAATTATAGTGTTTACAGAGTCTTGGATGATGTAGACTAAGCACTTGCTCAAAGAATTGAAAAAGAGAGAAAAGGGAAATAATTTGATGCTTGGAAAAATTGGTTGAAATCATCATTTTGGATTATGTAAGGGGTTACAGAGCTTGCATCATAATATTTTCAGTGTTTGTTTTCTTCCAGTTGTTTGTATCCGCCCTTGGTTAAGTCTTGGGAAAGGGAAGGTAACAGAGCTTGGCTGTAACCTGGCTTTGACAAGTTTGGCCACTTCGGGCAATCTCTCTGAGGCTCACTCAGATCTATTATCTGTAAAATAGCAATAATTACACCAATGTTGCAGGTGAGTATAAGGGATAAATGAGAAAATCCAAAGACCTTAGCAAAAACGTATTAAGGACTCAGCAAAAGTAAACACCGCCATTCTTAGCAGAAACAAATCTGGAGTTCCAAATCATATCTGCCTCACTCTAAACCGTACACTGTGAGCCACTGTACACAATGACAGCTACATTTTTTTCCCCAGGAAGTTCACAGTGATAGCCTGGTATTAAACACAGATGTCTATTTGTGTACAGCTTCCATTCTTTATTTTTCTGTGTCTTTTACAGAAAAGGAAGGAATAGCACCAGCAAATAGGTGTTCCATTAAAAGACCAAGGCTGTTTACTGCAGTGTCTGGAAAGAGCTCTCTCTTTTTGTTTTTAATATTTTGTGAAAAAACATTCAATAATCTATTCCCTCAGGCAGTTTCAATTTATCCAAATTGCAAGGAAACATTTTAAGGTGAAAACTTCACTACTCTGGGTTTCACTTGAAAGAAAGAGGTGAAAAGCAAGGAGCGGATTTTCCCATCTTATTTGCTGAGACACCTGCAGAGAAATAATTCTCACTATCCTTGCCTATAGCCTATGGCCTTTACAAATATAACATCTGACAATGGTTTATTTTGGCCTTTATTCACAATTGGGAGTTAAATTCTGAGGACACAGTAAGTATTTACAGGTTGTGGGAAAAGAGGGTAAAAGTGGGACAGATGACAGCTGAAGTCTCTTACCAGTGTTACAAAAGATCAATCATACACAAGGACCTACTACCCAGAATTGGATAAAAATGAAATCTCTGTATTTTCTACCACATATTTCAGTAACAACAAAAACTTGGGGGAAAATAGCATGATAGTTATTATAATAAAATAATTATATAAAACTAAGTTTTTAGCAAATTCCACCCCCCCTTAAATATCTTTCACAGTTTATAAACTCCTGGCATAGGCATAATAGAAACTTAGAATTATTGCAGCCTAAAGATGTTAGTTTCAAGTATTTTTCACAATGGAATTGTTTTTCACATTAAACTAAAGAAGTATCCTAATATAAAAATATATTAAATGGGTGCTTTAATAAAATAAGTTATTTTATAAGTTCAAATTTAAAATACGTATACAATAAAAGTCAGTCCATGGGAGAAAAAAAAAAAGAGCCTGTTTCGATAAATACACAAGTTAGCAGCAGTTGTTCTGGGTGACAATTGCAGTTTTATATGTTTCAGTATCCAACTTATTTCCTCTTTTTTCCACTTACACAGTTTTGAAAATAGAAATCCACCTGAAGAACTCACAGTTAATGGAAGTAATTTTCAATAGGACTTTTGGAAACCTCAACACACCTTCTATTTAAACAAATGAAGGTATTTGAAATGGAAGTAAGAGATTTTTACATTAAATTTCAATACCCACTTTTCTCATTTCTGGTAAATAATGTAACAGAAAATACTCCAAACTGACAAAGAAGCATGAAAATCATATTCCAATATTATCAATAGATAAGGAGTACAGAACAATCTTGTTATTTTCAACAAATAACTGAGTAGTGAAGATCACGCATGTCTGAGAATTAACTAGTATATAGTTTAGCAGGCACTTATGTGCTTCCTAATAATTTTCCTAGGTAAGTTTAGATGATTGGATTTGCACACTTTTGTTAAAAAATCAAACACAGAATTTCAGTCATTCTTAAGTACATATTTTTAAGAAATTGTATTATATGCACAGAAACAGCAGGGGAAAAAGCCTAGTTTCTGATGTCAGCACAAAAATACCCAGTGATATAAATGTGCATTTACAAAATATTAGTATTTATTAGAGTTAAGCAGAGGCTTTTCCAAGATTTTCACCTTTATACTTTTAATATTACTTAAAACATGTTAAAAATAAAGTTCTCATTAGATTTAGAGAGACCATGAACACCTGAACACAATTTGAAAATCTTAGCTGGAGTTCATTGTTCTTCACCTCTAGGAGACAGAGAGACAAAGACAGAGATAGAGATAGAGAAATAGAGATATCATATTTAAAAATACTTCGTCAGAAACTAAACAAGAATTGAGATTATCTTACATTTATTTCAGCTTTAAAAAAAAATGGGCTGGGAGTGGTGGCTTACGCCTGTAATCTCAGCACTTTGGGAGGCCGAGGCGGCAGATGACCTGAGGTCGGGAATTCGAGACCAGCCTGACCAACATGGAGAAACCCCGTCTCTACTAAAAATACAAAACAAAATTAGCTGGACGTGGTGGCGGGCACCTGTAATCCCAGCTCCTCGGGTGGCTGAGGTAGGAGAATTGCTTGAACCCAGGAGGTGAAAGTTGCAGTGAGATGAGATGATGCCATTGCACTCCAGCCTGGGTAACAATAGCAAAACTCCGTCTCAAAATACATATATATACATGCAAGTTTTCTTGTCCAGGGCACATATATATATGTGTATATATATAGATATATATATAGATGTATCTATACACGTGTGCGTGTGTATAGATGTATCTATACACGTGTGCGTGTGTATAGATGTATCTATACACGTGTGCGTGTATACGTGTATACATGTATCTATACACGCGTGCGTGTATACATGTATCTATACACGCGTGCGTGTATACATGTATCTATACACGCGTGCGTGTATACATGTATACACGCGTGCGTGTATACATGTATACACGCGTGCGTGTATACATGTATACACGCGTGCGTGTATACATGTATCCGTACACGCGTGCGTGTATACATGTATCCGTACACGCGTGCGTGTATACATGTATCCGTACACGCGTGCGTGTATACATGTATCCGTACACGCGTGCGTGTATACATGTATCCGTACACGCGTGCGTGTATACATGTATCCGTACACGCGTGCGTGTATACATGTATCCGTACACGCGTGCGTGTATACATGTATCCGTACACGCGTGCGTGTATACATGTATCCGTACACGCGTGCGTGTATACATGTATCCGTACACGCGTGCGTGTATATGTATCCGTACACGCGTGCGTGTATATGTATCCGTACACGCGTGCGTGTATAGGTATCCGTACACGCGTGCGTATATAGGTATCCGTACACGCGTGTGTATATAGGTATCCGTACACACACATGTGTGTATATAGGTATCCGTACACACACATGTGTATATAGGTATCCGTACACATATATGTGTATATGTATCTATCTACACATATATGTGTGTATATGTATCTATCTACACATATATGTGTATGTATATATGTGTCTATACACATGTATATATGCATCTATACACATATATGTATATATATGTATCCCACTTTGCCTTCATTCAGTGGTTCTCAACTGGCATGATTTTGATACCTATGGGACATTTGACAGTGTCTGGAGACTTTTTGTCATCACAAATAAAAGAAGATATTGCTACTGGTATCTATTCAATAGATTCCTGGTGTGCTACCAAACGTCCTGCGATGCACAGAACAGTCCCCACAATTAAAGAATTTTCCAGCCCCAGATGTCAACCGGTCTTAAGGTTGAGAAACCTTGCATGAGACCACTAACGTTAAATCAGAACTTGCAAACCATTATGATTTTCTACTGGAATCTATATGGAAAAATTCTATTTTAATTAATTCTCATATTATGTAAATTGGAGCTCAAAATAATACTAAAACCACATAATATTTAATACCTAAATGTCTCAAAACTGCACAAATTACATACACCACAGATGTTTCAAAGTTTTTAAGAGTGCTTGGAATAATCATACAACTGTGGATTCTAATGACAACGGCATGGTTAGAGAGGCAGAATACTAACACACAATCATCCTGTCCTTCCATACTATTTGCCATTTTGCATGACTACTGATCATGCAGTTTTCTGGAGCTCTACTCTGAAGCAAGGCCCTCAACCTCCATACACTCTGGTATTTTGTTTTTACAGAGGTTATAACTTCCACGTGTTGTATCAGTAACACTATTACTCTGCTTGTTCCCGACTTCAAAACTTATCCAGATTATTTGATCTGGATGCTTTTGGACATAAGATTTTGTAGGTCATTTCCTGAAGGATGCGTTCTTCTCATAAATTATATCTCTGAAAATAACCTCCACTTTATAACTAGGAGGTCCTTTAATTATTTTTTAAAGAAAGAACACCATCACAAACACTGCAGAAGCATAGTTCTGTATGATGAAGGCTTATATCATGCATAATTACAAAGCTTCATAAATGCTTCTGCCATGTTACCCCTAACAGTAATTCATAAGAGAGGCTTTTCAGCCATCATTGAGCTATGGAACACTGGAAGTCAAAATTCGCAAGTTAATGTCTTGCCCTTTTCTGACAGCACACCAGATTTTCACACTATAACTAACACTTTGCTTCATTCAGCAACTGAACTGTTGACAAGGGCACTTAAACTAGTCAGAATAGAAAAAAAAATAATAAAAAGTACATCAGAAGCTAGTGAATAAGAAAGAAAAGTATATCAAATTAAAGAAAACAATAAAATAAAGAACTCTCAGCTTTTCATATCGCTAGCATCAAATATCCCAGTCGACTTTTTCTAAATCAGTTATGCTATGTATTAAATACAGTATATTTTTTCTCCTAACATACATATTTTAAGCTAGTTAGGTGGAAAAGTTTATCCTTAGCACCACATGTTATTTTAAAGGAAAGTTCTAGTCTTAAACTCATTCATTTAGTATTTCACTTTCTATTTATTGATTGACTTTGTTAGAAATATTTTCTGTGAAGATATTGACTTTTATGACAAGAGCAAGAAAATTTTTTTGTAAACATTAAAGACACAGCCAAATTTTTTTCTAGAGCCATTCTCTGGAAAAGGGGGCAGCATTCTAGGTGGGCTGGTGTGCATTAGCTAATAAGTTCTATTTTTAAACCCAGCAGTCATTTCACTCATCTCAATTCAGAATCTGTGCTCCTAGCCAAAGCCCATTTGCAATTTTGAGTTACTTGCTCTCAACCTGTCCAGTACATTAACAAATAAATCCATGTCGCACTGATATATGCTTCAGTTTTTAAGTTTAGGTCTTCTATCATGACGACTTACCTCTACCTTACCTCACCAATGGCATTATCATTAAGAACCTTAGAGACAGATGGAAATTGTAAATGTTAAGTTTATCAGCACAAACAAATGGAATATTTAACACAATAGGTATTATTAACATATTTGATTCAAGAAGAATACTTACAGGATCTTTGAAACTCATTATATAAAAATGCTAAGGTATCGCCATATATGCTAATATCTTAATTAGAACTTAATATATTATGCCAGGTGAGGTGGTCATGCCTGTACTTCCAGCATTTTGGGAGGCCAAAGCGGTCAGGAGTTCATGACCAGCTTGGCCAGCATGGTGAAACCCCGTCTCTACTAAAAATACAAAATTAACCAGTACAAAATAAATAACATAAAAAATTACCCAATACAAAAATTAACCAGGCATGGTGGCCGGCGCCTGTAGTCTCAGCTACTTGGTAGGCTGAGACAGGAGAATCACTTGAACCCAGGAGGTGGAGGTAGCAGTGAGCTGAGATCGCGCCCCTCCACTGCAACCTGGGCGACAAAGTGAGACTCCATCTAAAAATAGATAAATAAATAATAAAAGTAACAATATATTCAATTCTTTCTTTGTAAATAATTCTGTAAGGAAAAAGAGTACCTTGGGAAATACAAACCAAATACATGGATTCAAGTCCTTTAAAACCTAAAGTATAAAGTAAATTATATTTGTAATTAGGAAAGTGTATTTTTAAGATTGCCACAAAGTTGTTCATACACAAGGAATAGAGAAATTGCATAAGAATAAATTCCTTTCAGTGAAAATGTAGAGCTTCCATGTGATGGAAGCCTTCTTATTCTATCACCAGAACCTTAAGTTTTCTTGTCCAGAGCACATGTTCTGCATTTAGAAATGACTGCATTTGTATGTTATATCAAAAAGACAAGCACACTCATGTTTATTGCAACACTATTAACAATAGCAAAGTCACAGATCAACCCAAGTGTCCAACAATGGATAATTAAATAAAGGGAAGGTGGTTTATATACACCATGGAACACTACACAGTCACAGAATAGAATGAAATTATGTATTTTGTAGCAATGTGAATGGAGCTAGAGACCATTATTCTATGTGAAATAACTCAGAAAATCAAACCTGTATGTTCTCATTTATAAGTGGGAGCTAAACAGTGAGTAAATATGGCCATATAGAAGGAAATAATAGACTCTGGGAACTCCAAAAAGGGGGAGAGTGAGGGAGTGGTGAGGGTTGAGCAATTACCTGTTGAGCACAGTGTTTACTATTCAGGTGATAGGTAAACTAAAAGCCCAAATCTCACCATTATGCAATATGTTTATGTAATGAACCTGTAAATATACCCTCTGAAACTATAATAAAGATAAATAAATAATAAAATATTTTGTAATTTAACAAAAGAAAAAACAAAAATTACTAAAATAAAAATGAATGATTTAATTAATAAATGCATTTTATTCTCCAGAATTAACATTATTTTATTACTCTTTAATTTTGAGGCAAGATGGCACAATGATTAGAAAAATAAGCCAGGTAGCATGATGCCTCCAGCTTTGTTCATTTTGCTTAGGATTGTCTTGGCTATATGGGCTTTTTTGGTTCCATATGCAATTTAATGTAGTTTTTTTCTAATTCTGTAAAGAAAGTCAATGGTAACTTGATGGGGATAGCGTTGAATCTATAAATTACTTTGGGCAGTATGGCCATTTTCACGATATTGATTCTTCCTATCCATGAGCATGGAATGTTTTTCCATTTGTTTGAGTCCTCTCTTATTTCTTTGAGCAGCGGTTTCTAGTTCTCCTTGAAGAGGTCCTTCACATCCCTTGCAAGTTTGATTCCTAGGTATTTTATTCTTTTTGTAGTAATTGTGAATGGGAGTTCACTCATGATTTGACTCTCTGTTTGTCTGTTATTGGTGTATAAGAATGCTTGTGATTTTTAAACATTGATTTTGTATCCTGAGACTTTGCTGAAGTTGCTTATCAGTTTAAGGAGATTTGGGGCAAAGACAATGAGGTTTTCTAAATATACAATCATGTCATCTGCAAACAGAGACAATTTTTTTTTTTTTGAGACAGAGTTTTGCTCTTGTTGCCCAAGCTGGAGTGCAATGGCATGAACTCAGCTCACCGCAACCTCTGCCTCTGAGTTCAAGCGATTCTCCTGCTTCAGCCTCCTGAGTAGCTGGCATTACAGGCATGTGCCACCATGCCAGGCTAATTTTTGTATTTCTAGTAGAGACAGGGTTTCTCCATGTTGGTCAGGCTGGTCTTGAACTCCCGACCTTAGGTGATCCTCCTGCCTCAGCCTCCCAAAGTGCTGGGATTACAGGCATGAGCCACCGCGCCCGGCCCCTCTCTTCTTACTTGAATACCCTTTATTTCTTTCCCTTGCCTGATTGTCATGCCCAGATCTTCTAATACTACGGTGAATAGGAGTGGTAAGAGAGGACATACTTGTCTTGTGCTGGTTTTCAAAAGGAATGCTTCCAGGTTTTGCCCATTCAGTATGATGTTGGCTGTGGGTTTGTCATAAATAGCTCTTATTATTTTGAGATACGTTCCATCAATACTTAGTTTATTGAGAGTTTCATGCTATCTGACTTCAAACTATACTACAAGGCTACAGTAAACAAAACAGCATGGTACTGGTACCAAAACTGATGTATAAACCAATAGAACAGAACAGAGGTCTCAGAAATAACACCACACATCTACAACCATCTGACCTTTGAAAAACCTGACAATAACAAGCAATGGGGAAATGATTTCTTATTTAATAAATGGTACTGGGAAAACTGGCTAGCCATATGCAGAAAACTGAAACTGGACCCCTTCCTTTCACCTTATCCAAAAATTAACTCAAGATGGATTAAAGACTTAAACGTAAGACCTAAAACCATAAAAACCCTGGAAGAAAACCTAGGCAATAGCATTCAGGACATAGGCATGGGCAAAGACTGCATGACTAAAATACCAAAAGCAATTGCAACAAAAGCTAAAATTGACAAATGGGATCTAATTAAATTAAAGAGCTTCTGCAGAGCAAAAAGCTATCATCAGAGTAAACAGGCAACCTACAGAATGGGAGACAATTTTTGTAATCTATCCATCTGACGAAGGGCTAATATCCATAATCTACAAAGAACTTAAAAAATTTACAAGAAAAAAGCAAACAACCCCAACAAAAAGTGGGGGAAGGATATGAACTGACACTTTTCCAAAGAAGACATTTATGTGGCCAAAAAACGTATTAAAAAAAGAGCTCATGATCACTGGTCATTAGAGAAATGCAAATCAAAACCACAATGAGATACCATTTCACACCATTTAGAATAGCAATCATTAAAAAGGAAACAAAAGATGCTGGAGAGGATGTGAAGAAATAGGAACACTTTTACACTCTTGGTGGGAGTGTAAATTAGTTCAACCATTGTGGAAGACAGTGTGGCGATTCCTCATGGATCTAGAAGCAGAAATACCATTTGACCCAGCGATCCCATTACTGGATATACACCTAAAGGATTATAAATCATTCTACTATAAAGACACATACACATGTATGTTTATTGCAGCACTATTCACAATAGCAAAGACTTGGAACTAACCCTAAAACCCATCAGTGATAGACTGGATAAAGAAAATGTGGCACATATACACCATGGAATACTATGCAGCCATAAAAAGGATGAGTTCATGTCTTTTGCAGGGAGATGGATGAAGCTGGGAACCATCATTCTCAGCCAACTAACACAAGAACAGAAAACCAAATGCTGCATGTTCTCACTCAAAAGTAGGAGTTGAACAATGAGAACACATGGAGTCAGGGAGGAGAACGTCACACACCAGGGCCTGTTGGGGGATGGGTGGCGAGGGCAGGGATATTAGGAGACATACCTAATGTAGATGATGGGTTGATGTGTGCAGCAAACCATCAAGTCTCATGTATACATATGTAACAAATCTGCACGTTCTGCACATGTATCCCAGATCTTAAAGTATAATAAAAAAAATTATTTCAGAAATAAACTCTCTAAGAAAATATTTTAAAAAAGAAAAAGAAATACCAACACAGAGAAAAGTACAAAGAAATGTATGAAAATGAGAAATATCAACACCCAGGGAATGGCTTCTTTGAAAACACTTTGGCAGTTCCTCAACTGAGTTACCATCTGGCCTGGTAATTGCATTTCTAGGTAAGCATCCAAGAGAATCAAAAATGTATGTTCACACACAAACGTGTACGTGACTGTTCATGCAAGAAGCACTACTCATAATGACCAAAAAGTGGAAACAATTCAAATGTCTTTCAATTGATGAATGGCTCAACAAAAATTATTCAGCCACAGAAAGGAATGAAATACATTGATCTATGCTATAACGTTGATGAACCTTGAAAACATACTAAGTGAAAGAAGCTTTCACAAAGGAATAAGTATTGTATGATTCAATTTATATGAAATGCTCAGAACAGGGAAATCTGTAGAGTTAGAAAGTAAATTGGCAGGTGTGTAAGGCTGGCAGTTTGGTTGGGTGGGGGGGGTCACAGGGAGTGATTGCTAGTGGTGACTAATTTTCTTTTTTGAGTTGATGAGAAGGTTCTAAAATTGATTGTGGTGATGGTTGTACAACTCTGTGAATATCATTGAACTGTATACTTTAATTGTATGTAATATAAATTATAACTCAGTAAACCTATTATTTAAAAAAAGAAAAAAGCATATTTGGGTTTTACTCTTGTTCTCAATATATCAGTCAGCCAGGAGTTTCCATATCAGTAGAGTAACACTATTAATAGTATCTGGAACATAGAATTGTTGACAAATTAAATGAGATAATGCAGTAAAGAAGTTAGTACTTTGCTTGCCCATAAAAAGCCCAACAAATGATACTTACTATTGTGTTGGCTTGAAATTATGAATAACTATGGCGTTTAATGGTATTCAACAAGAATTGTTATGATTGTAGGTATATGGTAATTCTATTCTTTCATGGGTCCCCCAGTATGAAAAAGAATGCTTCCTCCCAAGAAAACCCAAAATCACATTAAAAATGTCTAGAATATTCAAAGAAGGAAATTGATTGTTTCCTGAAAGAATATGAATAAAGCCTACTCTATTTAGAAAGAAGTGAAGTATTTCTACAGCTAGTCTAAGGGCTCAAACGATAGATCTAGAATTGTCCATAACTGGTAACAAGAACTACAAATTCAGAGTAAATTATTTCCTACTAGATCAATCCGTGTGACACAAAGGAAAATAGAAATGTTATATAAAGAAGCTCTGGAGCCAATAATTATAGAGATCAGCTCTTAACTATACTTATCGTTTCTTTAATAAGGAAGACCAAAGACAGATCATGGTTTAGTCTTTCTTTTTCATCAAATAAAATAAAAATCCTAAGGTGCATATCAATCTCCTTATTTTGGACATATTTCATCTCAAAGATTCTTTATTTATCAACCTAACACATAATTATTGAGATTTTATTCTGCACCATCCGCTATGCCAGGAAGCATTGAGAATATATTGGTAAACAAGACAGACTTTGACTCTGCTCTTGTAGGCACTGCAATATAAATGGGAAGATAGATGTTGAATTAGTATGTTCAGTATTGAGTAAAAAGTTAACAAATAGGGGTTATTTAGGATTAAAAGATAAAAGAAACAAGGAAACAAGGGTATACTAGATATAAAAATAGCATTTGGAAAAGTCTAGAGTCAAGACTAAATGTGGCCCCTTTAAATAACTGCAATAATGGCAGTATGTCTGGAGATAGATTAATGATGACATTTTAGTGAAGAAAGAGGAGTAGGCAGGTACTTGATCAAGAAAACAGATTATTTGCAAACGGAAAACCAATTTAAGTTTTTGTAAATTTTAAGTATTTGTAAATGTCTTTCAGTCAAGGGGTACAAGTTGGCACGTGTGAAACTAGCTTACCAGTTGCTATTCTCTCATTTAAGAAACATTTATTGAGTGCTTAACACTTCCCACATATTGAGATACATGCTGGAAGTAGAAAATGTTAGCAAGAGACGCAGCAGGAGACGTACCTGGCCTAATAGAACTGCCATCTAGTGGTAAGAAAAACAAACTAGTAATTACAATAAAATGTAATACGAACGGTGATACAAAGCAGGGAGACATGCTATAATCTATGAATTGCCGTCTTTGAGGAGGATATGAGTTTTAAATGAGTTTTAACTTGAGACATAGTGTGTGTAAAAGCCCAGGGTAGGAGAAAGGGCTTAACAAGAGAAACAGTATGACTGTTGAAGTAGATGAATTTGACACCATTCAAATACTAAAGATAGTTGAATATCTCACTTAAAGGAAGCAATGAAGATGGATGAGACTAGAGTCGTAGGTGAGAGTCTAAATGATTTCTGTCGCCATTTATGTCTTTTCAACATAATAGGAAAGGCAATTGGAAGACCCTGAAGGGTTTTCAGAAGACCAGTACTACTCTAAAATGTATTTAGGAAGGGATTGCCTAATTGCTGAGTGGAGAATGGAGTGTAAGGGAGCAAGATTGGAGGCAGGAGGTCTGGAAGAGGCTTCTGTAGTAATACAGCCTAGGAATGCTGATGGATGTGATGGTTGTGGAGAAAACAGGCAAAGTTAAAAGATAATTAAGATGTTCAATAGGACTCAGTGAATGGTAAAAGACAACTTGTGAAAAAAGGGAAGAAGCCATAATTCTAAAGCCCAGAGTTTGCAAAATAAGTCAGGCATCTTTACTTCCTGGTTGCTGTCTAAATAAAACATCAATATGTAGGTGCTACATATTAAAATATATTCAACAACTTATACCTGTAGTTTGAGGTTCCAGGGGTACATACAAAATTTGAGACATGGTTTGTTACAATATACTTAAAATATGACATTCTCATGACACTGATCACTTAAAAATGAAAAAATAGATTAAAGAAAAATAAAGTCATTGTTAAAGGGTAAATGTACTGATGACATGACAGTTACAGAATATAATACTTAGGATTGAATTTTGAAGCTTTAAGATTGCTAAAGGTTCAAAATGGCTAAAGAATCAAAATTAGAATGGAAGGTTTTATTATAAGTTCTACTGATGTGGGCTTAGTATCTGAAATTACAGAAACAGATGCATGAATTTTAAAATCAATTCACATCTTTTTTTATTATGGTAAACATATGTAGTTTAATATTTGCTATTTTAACTAATTTTAAATGTACAAAATTCAGTGGCCTTGATTTCATTCTCAATGTTATGCAATAATCACCACTATTTCCAAAATTTTTCATAACTCCAAAAGGAAACTCTGTATTTGTTAAGCAATAATTCCTCAGAAGTCTCTGGAAACTTCTATTCTACTTTATGGCTCTATTAATTTGCCTATTCGAGATATTTTATATAAGTGTAATCATGAAATATTAGTCTTTTGTGTCTGGATTATTTCTCTAGGCATAAGATTGCAAAGTATATCTATGTTTCAGAATGTATCAGAGCTTCATTACATTTATTGCTAAATAATATTCCATTGTATTTATATACCAGATTTTGTTTATGTCATCATTTGTCAATGGCCACTTGGGTTGTTTCCACTTTGGTGTATTGTGAAAAATGGTGCAAGGAACACTGGCATACAGCTATCTGCTCGAGGCACTATTTTCTGTTCTTTTGGGTGTATACCTAGAATTGGAATTGCTGGGTCATGGTAATGCTCTGGCTAATATTTTGAGGACCTGCCAAACACAGAAGCAATAGCATTTAACATTATCATCAGCAATACATGACGGTTCCAATTACTCCACAGCCTCACCAAAACTTGTTATTTTCCTTTTTTTTTTATACTCTAAGTTCCAGGGTACATGTGCACAACATGCAGTTTTGTTACATATGTATACGTGTGCCATGTTGGTGTGCTGCCCCATTAATTCATCATTTACATTAGGTATTTCTCCTAATGCTTTCCCTCCCCACTCCCCTCTCTCCCCATCCCACAACAGGCCCCGGTGTGTGATGTTCCCCTTCCTGTGTCCAAGTGTTTTAATTGTTCAATTCCCACCTATGAGTGAGAGCATGCGGTGTTTGCTTTTTTTGTCCTTGGCGATAGTTTGCTGAGAATGATGGTTTCCAGCTTCATCCGTGTCCCTACAAAGGACATGAACTCATCATTTTTTATGGCTGCATGGTATTCCATGGCATATATGTGCCACATTTTCTTAATCCGGTCTATCATTGATGGACATTTGGGTTGGTTCCAAGTCTTTGCTGTTGTGAATAGTGCCACAATAAACATACGTGTGCATGTGTCTTTACAGCAGCATGACTTATAATCCCTTGGGTATATACCCCATAATGGGCTGGCTGGGTCATATGGTATTTCTAGTTCTAGATCCCTGAGGAATCGCCACACTGTCTTCCACAATCGTTGAACTAGTTTACAGTCCCACCATCAGTGTAAAAGTGTTCTTATTTCTCCACATCTTCTCCATTTTTTTTAATTAAAGCATCTTAGTAGGTGTGAAGTCGTATGTTGGTGTAGTATCAACTTGCATTTACCTAATAACTAATAATGTTGAGCATTTTTCAGGTGCTTATTGGCAATTTATATATCTTCTCTGAAGAAATATTTGTTCAAGGACTTTGTTCATTATTAAATTGAGTTATTGTCTTTTGGTTGCCGAGTTGTAGAAGTTCTTCATATATTCTAGATATTAAACCTTTATCAGATACATGATTTGAAAATGTTTTCTTCCTTTCTGTAAGTTGTCGTCCTACTTTCTTGACACTGTCCTTCAATGCACAAAAGTTTTTTGATTTTAATGAAGTCCAATTTATCTATCTATAAAATTTGAGAAGTAGTACGGATCTTCTCAAAAGTTTATTTTTGGAAAAAAGGAGAACAAGTATTCCTATAGTATAGTAACTGCTAAATAATTGGATTTCATTAAATATCATACTTCTAAAAATATTATGCATTTATGATTCTAGATAATTGAGCTATGCTTATTTAATTGATATCATTTTTTAAAATAGGTTTAGCATTCCAGTATTGTACAAACTTTGAGATACTGTCAAAAGTCTTTCTGCCACCAGTTTTTTTAATTTAAATATCCAGGTACTAAAATAGTCAGATAATGCCATAATAATTTTAGCCCTTTAATTGTGAGCTTTCTTCATTTTTACAAATGGCCTGGCAGGCCTGAATGACCCAGCTCCTCTTTTGGAGATATAAATAACAGGTTAGTCTGCACTTGCATCAAAGAATACGTCAAAAGAAAGCGATTTCTTTCTCTATACAACCCCTCCTGGGTCAATTGGAACTTCCTTTTTTTATTTGCGATGGATTCAGGGATCAGCTGGCTCTGTTCCTTGTAGTAACGTTAAACAAAGAAGTCCTTTGGACAAATATTTTTCATATGAACTTTAGAAATACTATATATATTTTTATTTAAAAGATTATGAAATTTATCTTCCGGAACAATTATTTTTCATCAACTTTGAGGTGTACTAGTCACAATTAATTTTTCCATATTTTGCCAAAGAAACGGAAAAATTCATTAAATTTCTGAAGCAAACGTTTACAAACAAAATTTAAATTTTTGTTTGTTTAGCTTAGAAAAATAAATTTAAGAGAAACTATCTTTCTAACTACATAATGCTTGTTAATAAACTTTACTTGACTGTGTTAATACATTGATGTTTTGGTTTAACATACAGAAAGGGCTTTTATAATTGATATCAATAAATTTAATTTTCAGCAGTGAGAATAAGTGAAGTCCTATCTTCTTAAATAAATGATTTGTAATAAAATTTTATTTACTTTCTTGTGTTCATAGATGTCTTTTTCTTTTCCTTTTTGTATTTCTAAGCATAGCAAACTTTTCATCTAAGTAAATGTTGAATGGTAAATATAATCAAGACATAGATAAAAAAATGTGAATAGTTTAGTGTCTAAAAAAGAAATCGTCAAAGATTGTTAACATTATTTTCTATTCTGACCATTTTATAATTGCTTCCTGTCTGGCAATTTGATTTTTTAAACATTACAGATATTCTTGAAATGAAAGCATCTGTTTGTTTTGGCATGAATTAATAATGAATCAACATGCTTTCTTAACATTTATAGATTTATTGAATTATAATCTGCGATAAAAATTGTACAAGAACATTTCTTACGTGCCATAACAGAGAAATAAATTAAACCTCTTGTTAATATACAGTTTGGCCCATTGCAACACTCAAAGAAGACTCATACATTTGTAGCAGTTTAGTTAAGAATTTCACATTTATTCTGGTTATGGCAAAATAGCCCTGAGAGAATTTGTAGCGAAAAAGTAAGTGTTTAGCACAGTTCTGGCATCTCTTTTACACATGCACACACACACACACACACAGGCTAATAGTTTCAAATATATGCTTATGTATAAATTAGTGTAATTTTTTTACACTCTTGGATGAATCACTTTGTGAATTTTATGATTAAATAGTCCCCTTCACATGAACTTTTACTTCACCAATTCTGGAGTATGAAAATGACTGGCAAGTATAGCTATCTGAAAACAGATCAAATTATAATATAACATAAAAACATATCACAGGAAATAAAATGCTTGGGTTCAAATACCAGTCGAATCACTTTACTATTTGTGTTAATTGTTATGATTAATTTTGTGTGTCAACTCTTCTGGGCCACAGTATACCCAGATATTTGGTCAAACATTCTTTCCATCAAGGTGTTTAAAGATGTGATTAACATTTTAAATGGTGGATTAAGTGAAGAAGAGTGCTCTCTCTAAGATAGGTGGGCCTTGAATAGAACAAAAAGGCTGACTACCCTTCTCCCTCCCAGTAGAAGAGAATTCTTCCTGCCTGACTGCCTTAGAATGGAGACATCAGCTTTTATTCTGCCTTCAGACTCAATCTAAAACATTGTATCTCCTGTTCTGCTCTCTAGCTTGCCAACTCACCTTGCATATTTGGGATTTGCCGGCCTCCAAAATCATATGAAACAATTTATTGTATTTTTTGTTGTTGTTGTTTACTGTAAGGTCCTCTGAGTGGGCTGCACCATGGTCAAGTGATCCTGACATCCTAACCTCCCCCTTATGATAATATGATAATGTACTTTGTGATATTTCCAGTCCTTGTGAATGTACTTTGTAACATTCTTCCCCGCCCTTGTGACAATACATCCTCCCCTCCCTTATGAATGTACTTTGTAACATCCATCCCCTGCTGGCAAAAATTGCTCCTGACTCCACGGCTTATCCCAAACCTGTAAGAACCAATGATAATCCCACCACACTTCGCTGACTCCTTTCTCGGACTCAGCCCACTTGCACCCAAGTGGATAAACAGCCTAGTTGCTCACACTAAGCCTGCTCAGGTGGTCTCTCCCTCCGGCGAGCGCTGTGGCAGCCCCAGTTCCCGCTCATGCCTCTCCCTCCACACCTCCCCTCAAGCAGAGGGAGCCGGCTCCGGCCTTGGCCAGCCCAGAGAGGGGCTTCCACAGTGCAGCAGTGGGCTGACGGGCTCCTCAAGCACGGTCAGAGTGGACTCCGAGGCCGAGGAGGTGCCAAGAGCGAGCGAGAGCTGCTAGCACGTTGTCACCTCTCAATATTACTTTAAATTTTGCTGATATCAAAGCAAGTAACTATTACCTGATCAACTATGTATTTTTAAAAGTGAAATTACTATTACTAAAACATATATTTCTAAATGTTGTTTGTTTTACCTTTAGAAAGAAAAGAATCCATGGACTCCTTCAAATCAAAGGGAATATAAACCTTAAATTAATATCCCAAGCCTAAAGTGGTTTATGGTCACTCAATTTAAGGGATTTTAGTCTAAATGCAGCATGACAAGGTGAGAATGGAAGATCTCAGTAATGACTCACCAAACCTTTCATCGTCTTTCAAACATCAATGTGATGGCAGAAGCAGAGATTAGAGTGACTGTGGCCACAAGTCAAGATACACGTGCAGCTCCAGAAAGTGAAAGTTAAAAGATTCCCTCTTAGTGTCTCTGGCGGGAGCTGGTCCTGCTGATATACCTTGATTGCAGACTTCTGGCCTTCAGAAATGTGAAAAAATATCATTTTATTATTTTAAGGCACACAGTTTGTGATAATTTCTTACAGCATCCTCAGGAAACAAATACACTGCCCTTCATCAGTAGCGATTCCTGATAACTCTTTAGATGTTAAATTAGTGATTCCAGATGGAATCTAACTGCATTATCCATAACTAGATTTTTTCTTTTATAGAAAATATTCATGCAATCATCACTAGTTTTATTTACATGTAAAATTTACCTTTGCAATAAAATATCATGTTCTAAACAGATAACATTTAATCATACACTTACTATGCCACCTATTTTTCTGTTGGGTTGTTTTGATGACAAGAAACACACTACAAAAATGAACAAAATTAATGAGAAATTATTGGAAAAAAATACACATTGGATATAATGAAAAGTGGAATATCTGATGTAAGGCAAGGCATCAAGGGAATAGTTGAACATCCAGACACTGGTGGAGGGTACAGCACTGAGTTCCAGGGTTGCAACTGGCAGAGCGTTCATGAGCAAAACCAACAATAGTGGCCTGCTTTAGTGCTGGATCATTGACTTGGACTGGTTCCTTTTGTTTCCTCTTAGTTTTTTTCTGTTTGAAATTCTTAATTCATGCTCAAATTTAAATTCTCTTAAAAACATAATTTTATTTAACAGCCAAACTTTGCTTTATAGCCACATAATAATTGTTTTCCTTCATGTATAAATATTTTGAATTGGCTGGCTCTTACAAATTGAGATTAGTAGCCAATCATTCAGGCAATATCCAATAACATTTGTATAGAATTATTTTCAAAAGTCTTATCTACCTAATATAGTTCCAAACTATTAAGACAAATTTTATTATTATATTGTCCTATAAGATAATAAATATTTTTGAAAGTACTGTTGGAAAAGACAGAAATACAATTTGAAGTATCTCCAAAACAAACTTTTGTGACAGACTAAAACAGTGTATAGTTCATCGGTTTTTAAAATCTGATGTAGTAGTTTGTATAAAAAGTAAAAATAATTTTTAAAAGGGAAATTTTGTAAAATATTTTATAGTAAGGCTATACTTTTTTAAAAAAATTGGAATACTTAATAGCTAATATAGTGTCTGAATATTTCCAGACAGCTGGAATCTTTTTGTTGTATGGTTGAGCTAAAAGATAACAGCTGAAAATGGACATGATTAAAATATATGAAGTGAAAAATAGTAACAGTATTTGTATACTTTTTAAATAAAGGACTCTATATTGAAACTATAGAGTAGAAAGTTTAAGAAAGAGGGAAATATTAATGTATACAAAACTCAGCCACACAATAAAATTTGTTATCCATAAAATTTCTTTAGTAATAAAATAGCACACTGTTTATCTGAGTGGACATGAAGGAAAGAATGATTATTTAACAACTTTTTCCATGATAGCCGAATCAAAGTCTGTCTAGACCAGAATAGAAGCCTGACTTTGCATGACTAAACCTAAATAAAGATGAGCAAGTATATTCATTCACTCATTCCAGTGCAGTTTACTCACATAGCACCCGTAAGTATCAGGTGTGATGCTACTAACTTCCCTATGGAGCTTATGGTCTAGTGATAGTATTTGATGTATATAGAAAGAGCTAAATAAAAATCAATGTGCAAAGACATAAAGACCAGAAAAACCTTTAAATCAGCCTGGATGACAATGAATCATGAACAACTGTTCACAATGACTAAGGTTATCAATCTGCATTTCTCAGGCTGAGTCTGGAGGAAACATAGTGTGTCGTGTAGAACATGGGCTTTGGAATAAGATTTCTCTTTTTGAATCCTGTCTCCACCAGTTATATGACTTGCCCTAGAGCATGCTATTTGAACAGCTGAGATTACTTTATCTGTAAGGTCAAAATAACAATACCACTTATCTCACAAAGGTATTTATAAGAGTAAATGATGTAATGGATCTAAAACACAACATGTATTCAGTCCACGATAGGTCCTTGTTGCAAGCTGGGCCCACAGGAAATCAGCTCTGAGACAGAGATTGGCATGTAGTAGTTTTTAGGATGAACATTTATAGAAAAATTGAAAGAAGGGTAGTAGTCAGAAAAAGACTTAAGTCTACCTCACTAGTAAAAGCTGGTATTTTAGAACCCAACATCAGCTGATGGTCTTCTACCACCAACTATTTCCAAAACCTGTTGATAACCAAGAGGTAATACTGGCAACTGTCCCAGCAGCTGGAAGAATAAGCCCTGAAGTCCTAAAGGGAAGATCTTGGATGCTCCACACTGGACCCACTATAGAATTCAATGAATGTTAACTATTCAGTATTAGGTATTGCTATTTTACTCTGAGTTTACGTGGACTTCAATTATATAAGAGAGAGTTAAAATGCTGATAGAAATTCTGGAGTGTTCAAGCTTTAGCAATAATACCTGCAACTAGTGATGTTAAAAATAAGCCTTGAAAATATTGATCTACTTTGACTCAACAATTAGATACCTAAGAATGTATCCTAAGGAAATAATAGGGATGAACAAAAATCTTTAACTTTGAGATTGCTTATTAAAGCATTATAGTAGAAACAAAAATTGAAACAAGTTTCCATGTCCAGCAATAGTGAAAGAATAAGTAATACATCCATTATTGAATATTTTATGATAAATCCATCGAATAGAATACTGTTCAGTTACTAGAGCTAATACTGTTAACAAAAGTTTATTGACATAGGAACACATTCATGGCATGGAAAGTGGAGGAAAAGCAAATTACAGAGTCTATATACTGCATAATATTTTTTGATACACACACAAAAATTTAATCCAAAAACTCAGTGATAGTTATCTCTGAAAGCTAGGGTTACAGGAAATTATACTTTCTTGTTTTACTTATTGGTTTGTTATTCTTTTCTTTCATTATTAAATATGGTATTCATACGAAATAGTAGTAATAATTAATATAGATAAATTACCCAGTCTCAGGTATTTCTTTGTAGCTATTCAAGAATGACCTAATACAATAATGTATATGTATGCTTACAGAACAATGATAAAAGGAAAACACATGTACTCACCTCCAAACCAATAAAATAAAAATTATGTAATGCCCTGTGTACAAGATACTATACTATACTAGCATAATAATGACCACAGTAAAAAGTGAAATTAATATAACCCCAATACCCTTAAAGTGCCTATATCACCTCATACAAATAAGAAATATGAATGTGGTAGAATACAAACAGAAATTTGGGAACACTCTTAAATTGGTCCAGAGGTAATTTGACCAAGGTTTCATTGAGCTAAGGTTACATATGGGCTTGTTTAAACTGAGAGGCAGTATGGTTTGGTAGTTCAAAGTGAAGGCTCTAGAGTAATTTTTCTAGTTTCATATCTAATATCCAGCAAACAGGATATTTGTGTGTTTTGCCATTAAGCTATCTTATTTTTACAATGTAGTTTTTCAGTCTAAGTTTCATACTTTGCACTCATACTTCTTATCATTCTACTCATTTCAGCATCTAACTATTAAGATCATGTGTTTTTATAATATTATCCAGAGTGTTAGCTAATTCTCTGAGCTTTGTGCTCCCCCTTTCTTTTTCAGTGCAAATAAAATGTAGGAAAAAAGCAAGGACATTAACTTTGGAGGCCAAATAGGAGATGTGGAAGAGTGTCACCCATATCTTCCTTTCAGGACCTAGACTCTCATCAACCCCAATCCTCTCAACTTCCAGGACTTCCAGTTGTGGACAGCATAGTTCATTTAGGTATTTACTCAATGGTCTCCTCCTTAATGGCCTTAAGATCTCCACCTTAAAATTCGTATCTCCTGTCCCTGACACTGTCTTTCTCTGCTGTATTTTTCCTTACATATATGACCACCATTTTTTTTCTTTGGCCAGTATCCCTGCAATGGATTGTAAACTATGAGTCTGAGGATGTTTGTTAATTTAGCTCGGTACTGTATCTCCAGGGGTTATAATAGTGCATTATGTAAAGTAAATATTCAAACAATATGTGCTTAAAAATGCGTAAATGGAGAGGAATGAAAAATAATTGGTCGAAAAAGGTTTACCGACAGGACCACTTTAAAGGGCATGCATCCAGTAGTATTAATCAAGCATATATTTGAATGCATCTTTTTCAATAAATAGTCACTCAACTATATATATTAGATACATACTGTATTTCAGGGAGCATATTAAGTATTAGGGCTGCAACAAAGAACAAATAGGCAAAACTCCAGCTCTCATAGTGATAACATTTTAGCTCACTTTCCAGCACTATGATTACAGCATTGTGTGTCTGAAAAGATGCTGGGGATGGGAATGAAGCAAATATTACACCAATGTCACTAAAAAGAAATTTTATTTTGCAGCTAATTTTTCTTTGAAAATACCTTTTCTTGGAAATAGATTTGGTCCAGGGAACCCATACTGTCAACTGTTTTCAAGACTTAAATCAGTATTTATTGACCATCCAAGCCACACAAATATAGAAGAAAACAATTATACTATGGTTATTTCATTGCTATTTTAAAATGGCTCCAAATCTGAGAAATGTTTCCTTCTGTCTGATATGCTAAAGTGCAACATTAGTCATCTACTATGTATATATCACTATATTATCACAAAAATAACAATATTAAATGCAGGATTTTAGAGGAATATGCACGCTAATAAAATGAACATTTCAAAAGCAACATTAAAAATGTATTTTAGCTAGCAATATTCATATTTGCATATATTCAGCATAATAGCTTAATTTTAAAATGTCTTGCATTTTTCACCCCATTTAACAATTCCTCGTATTTTTAAAGGGTAGTGTGGTGAATTAATGTAGGAATATTTGCATTATCTTATAAATAACATATGCATTGTTAAACAGGGGAAAGGAGCCAAGTCCTTGAAAACAATTTTCACACATCTATTAGTCATTTGATGACGTGTTTTTTCATGCACTTACTGCATTGCTTCTTTACATTTGTAGAAAATGACTACTACCAAGATACATAGCAAATTCTTGGTGCCAAAAATAAAATGTGAGTTTCCTTAAGATGTTTTTATCCGTAATTTTAATAACACTTTCAAAGATTCAAGAAAACTATGCATTCTTAAGAATGCACTCTAACTTTAACATATTTAATATAATATATAAATTACCTTACATATATACTTATATTTTTTATATACACATATACTTTAGGGCCACTAAGTTGAAAGCTACCATAGAATACATATAACAGATATGAAATTAAAAGAATCATAGTAGACATAATAATGAATATTACAAAATGTTGTATAGAAAGGGACATTGCCATTTTACAGTAATATGGAAAAAATAAAATTATCAAAGACTATATCATAGAAAATCACTGTATATTGACATCATAACTAAAACTGTTATATCATACCAATGAAATAGACAAAATTTTTATTGCTCTAAGGAAACTTACAATTTAAGTAGACAAAGCTAAGAAATAATTCCAGAAAATGAGAAGACAGAACAAGTCATAGATAGATAGGTCACATGCAGACACTGAATGTTTTAAGAATTCACAAAACTGACAGTTGTTTCTTATGATTTCAGCAACTATCTGAAGCTGATTTGCCAAAAGCAGTGCACAGCATACAGTGGTAAAATACTGACACATATTTGCCAAGCAGATACATGTTGAAATTTTGAATGTGAGCCTTAACTTTGAACAAGGCAGCTGAATTTTGCACACTTTGTGAAACAGGAATAATAAAAATACAAACCTTATATGTGTTCTATGAACTTAGGTGAAATAGCTCATATGAATATACCTAGTGTAGAGCCTGCAAAGGTTAAATACTTACTAAAGTTATCATTCTTATCATTACTACTGTTTTTATCCATTGGATGGGTAAGGATCCTGTCTTTTGCCTTTTGTGTGGGAAAACACAGACCCAAACTGATTCCCAGAATCCTCCACTTGAATTAATATACTCCAGTTACACACCGTAACTTTCTTGATAAAGTATACTTTATTGACAACCTTCCATTTTCTGTCTCACTTCTCATTCCCTACTGTTGTTTCATTGATCACTTCCCAAATATTGTCTTCGAATCTTTGTTTTAAGGTCTTCTGAGTATACCAACAAACACAGATTAGAAATAAAGCTTTAATCAATGTCATATACCATGGAAAAGTTGAACTCTATTCACTATGAAAGTATAAAAGAATTTAAAATGTGAGTGTCTTTGGGAGGAGGTGAATTTGGGGGTTGAAAGTTGAATAGAGTAAAAATATAAACCCTGGAGAGAAAAAGAACACCTAGGAATTCACTGCAATTGAATAAAAGTATGGTGGTGAGGATCTGAACCAGAGTAAAGTAGTAAAAGTAAAGAAGTGCAAAATTAGAAAAGAAATAAAAACAGCTAATAGGAAATAACCAATAAGACTTAGTGGTAGGTTAATAGGGTTAAGGGTTTGGCAACAGTGGTCTTTCATACACTGAATCAATTGATTATTAATGTATGTTTTGTTAAAAATCACATAAAAGAGCAGGTAATCGTTTCTTGTAACGTTTCACAAGAGGTGTTATGACTTCTTATTTATTTCTAAGAAAACAGAAACGAAATGTTCTACTGAGACAGAAAAGGGAAGTAAGAAAGAAAAAAACATACAATTTTCTAAAATCACATAAAAGAACAGGAAATTAATGGGCGTAGAGCTTGTCAGTCTCATATAGTCACTCACAAGGAATCATTTTACCTTTATTCTGAGACATCATTTGAGTGTTTGGAGTCTTTCTGTACTCATTAACTACTTCCCTGCTCTTCCTTTCAAGGATTTTGTTATTTTGTTTCTAGGTTAGTATGCTCTTCTATTAAGTGCACTGAAAGACACAGATAAGCTGGTAGCTATAATTATATCACGAGGAGTAAGAAAGAGAAAACAGGTGCTACAATAAATGAAAATTGGCCCACATATCTGATTTTGGCAGAAGAAATACTCATCTTTAGGAAATAAAGAAGCACACATTTACTATATGACATGATTTCAGGAATACAATGAGTGCCCTTGAAATATCTTTCAAAACCAGAAGTAACAATTAAATTTTAAAGCTCGTCTGTTGCCATTATTTCTTTGGATTATTATTTTTCCACCTTACTGTTTTAAAATTCAATATGTGGTATACGTTCTAAGAAGGTGAATTGGAGGCACAGTTAGCATGCCTCTCTCAGTTGGAAAGAGAAAATAGTGTGTAGAGCTTCACATTGTGAACTTTGCAATATAATCTTGAGTGGTAATGAGCTCCTTTACCAGAAATGAGAGGCAAGTGGGAAGTGTGCTGCAGGAGCATGGCGCCTCTGCTTTGCAGGAGAACTGGGAGGGTTGTAGCCTGAAAGCTAAAGTTGCTGTCTCTATGGGAAAGGTTTATGTCCTGGGGCAATTTTGATTTCTAAGCACAGACTGTCTGGAAGTCAGCCAGCTGCTGACAGTGGAACACTGGGTATGAGACCTGCCTTGCCAAGTGCATAGGAGCTGGAAGGAGCTTATTGTTGCCTGCCATTCCCCAATCCCTGTGCAAACTCTTCTGTGTAGCAGAGACAGCTGTGCTTCTCCCTGGAACATTACCTGAGTGGCCAGAGAACTGCCCTCTGATCCCCACTGGCTCCACTGCTTGCCCTGTATGTGGAGAGTCAGAGAGCAAACTTGCCTAACCCAGTCCCCACCCAACTCTGCCCCTCCACTCACCCTGGTAGCTTAACACAAAAGACAGAAACTTTTGGGAGCTCTATGTCGCCACCCATTGCCCGAGACACCAGGGTACCTCCCCTTTGTATTATAATATAAGGCAAGCACAAATCCCACTGCTACCAATGCAGCTGGTGCTCTTTTGCCAGTGCCACCTTCTGGCTGGAGGCCAACCAATACAGTTTATTACAGCATCTCCATGTAGAATAACCCAGAACTCAGGAAGGAGAAAATGTGTGCATGACCTCAGTTGTCACCAATGCTTACAGCACCCTGGCTAACCAAGAGATCCTGAATCTGACCACATGACCAATTCATTCCTACTACAACCTGCATTTAAGAAAGCCAGCACACTAAGGCTATTTATAATTAAGGAATCTCACAGAGTCTACTTTGCCCCCCTGCCATCCCCATCAGAGCTGGTGCTAGTACTTGTGTCTGGGAGACTTGAGGACAAGTCACATCACTGGATCCCTTGCAGACATTTCTCAACACCAGCCTGGAGTGTGACAGCCCAGGCTGGACCCAAATGAGAAACAGCAATAACAGTATTCTGGCTCTCAGGGACTCCTACTTCTAGGGGAAGGGAGAGTATACCATATCAAGGGAGCACCCCTTGGGATAAAAAAAATCCAGGTGGAAGGCCTTGAGTCCCAGAAATTTCTGCTTGTGGAAAAATTCTTTCAGCAGAGGCACGGGTGCAGTACTAGGCTCAGCAGGGAAAGTTTGCAGCTGTAAGACAAGGCAGGCAGCCCTGGTGCTTGTAAAATATCTTGGAGAAGGGGACTTCTTTTCCTTCTCATCTATCTGGGCAGATACAGCTGGGGCTTTCCCCACAGGAGCTAGGTATGGGAACACTTGCAGACAGCTGTTCTGGAACACTTCAAAGTGACCGCATCCGAACAGAAGAGGTGTTCTCCAAGTTCAAGCTTGCACAAGGGGTAGAATCATAATTCCTTTCTATGTGGAACATCAACATTTCTACAGATGAAAAGAACTGTCCATATGATCTGAATAGCCAGAACTCTGGGTCAGGAGTATGACTAGGAGCTAGATAACTTCCCCACTGGCCTGGCAGGGGAGCTGAGGAGGTTCCAACCTTTCCCCCAATGAGACCTCAGTGTATTTCACTGAGAGCTTCTCCAGGGACCTATGTCAAAGCTGGGACCTCTGCCCACCCATGAGTATGGCATTTATCTGCCTTCTTTAGCTACAACCAGTTTCCACTCAGGGACACCTTCCCTACTGGCCTGAAGCCTGAACGATTCAAACCAGTAAATAAAATACAGGGTAAAAAAGTGCCCATTCACAGAATGAGATAAACTTTGAGAGACCTCTACCACTCCAATCCCACAGGAGACAGTGAACTTGCTCACACACCAAGCACATTGCTACTACAACTATCTTCTGAGACAGCCATCATACAAGAAACATATAGAGTCTTCACCCCTAAAAGTACCAAGAGCAGAAATAGGATACAATAAACTAAACATTAAAGTCACATCTTTAAGGGAGAAAAACAATTAAAAAAACACAGTGGAATCAAAAATAAATTTAAGAATAATTAGAAGAAATTGTCTACCCAAATGAGAAAGAACCAGAAAAATAATTCTGGCAATATGACAAAATAGGATTCTATAACATTTCCAAAAGATCATACCAGGTCTCCAGCAATGGATCCAAACCAAGGTGAAATCTTTGACATACCAGAAAAAGAATTCAAAAGGGTGATTATTAAGCCACTTAAAGAGATACAAGAGAAGGGTGAAAAACAATATAAAAAAATGTTTAAAAATCAGGATATGAATAAAAAATTTTCTAAAAGGATAGATATTTAAACAAAAAACAATAAAAACTTTTTGAAATGAAGTACATTTAAGGAATTACAAAATTCAGTGGAAATTTTTAAGAACAGACCACGTGGAAGAGAGAATTTCAGAGCTTGAAGAGAAGGCTTCTGAACTAACCCAATGAGACAAAAATAAAGAAAATGAATCTAAAGAATGAACAAATCTCCAGGAAATATGGAATTAGGAAAGCAGCTAAACCTAAGAATAATTGGTGTTCCTTAGGGATGTGAGAAAGCAAAAATTTGGAAAACTTATTTGAGGGAATAATTGAGAAAAAAATTCCCTGGTCTTGTTAGAGATTTAGATATTCACATACAGGAAGTTCAAAGAATTCCTGGGAGATTCATTGCAAAAAGGACATCACCAAGACATACAGTCTTCAGACTACCCAAAGTCAAGCTGAAGGAAAGAATTACAAGAGCAAGGAGATAAACGCATTAGGTAACCTATAAAGGAAAAGTTATCAGACTAACAGCAGACTTCTCAGCAGAAACCTTACAAGCCAGAAGAAATTGGGGTCCTATCTTTTGTCTCCTTAAACAGAATAACTTTCAGCCAAGTTTTATGAATGAAGGAGAAATACAGTCTTTTTAAGACAAGGAAATGCTGAAGGAATTTGCTACTAGCAGACAATCCGTGTAAGAACTGCTAAAAAGAGTTCTAAATCTTGAAACAAAATGTTAATATCCATCAGAATAGAATCGCTTGAAAGCATAAAATTCACAGGGCCTGTAAAAAAGCAAAATATCTAGGTAACAATCAACATAATGACTGGAGCAGTACCTCACATATCAATATTAACATTGAATGTAAATAGTTTAAATGCTCCACTTAAAAGTTACAGATTGGCAGAATGGATATAAAAAGTCACAAACCAAATATCTGCTGTTTTCAAGAGACTTACCTCATATATATGGACTCATATAAACTCAAGGTAAAGGGGTGAAAAATAAATTCCATGCAAATGGAAACCAAAAGCGAGCAGGAGTAACTATTCTTATATCCAATAAAACTGACTTTAAAGCAATTAACATTATAAAACAAAGACAAAAATGGTCATCATATAATTATAAAAGGATCAATACAATAAGAAGACATCACCATCCTAAATATATATGCCCCTAAGTGAGGAGCTTACAGATTAATAAAAGAATTAGAACTAGGCCTAACAAACGAGATGGCAACAAAATAATAGTGGAGGACTTCAACACTCCACTGACAGCACTAGATAGATTAGTGGGGCAGAAAGACAACAAAGAAATAGTATACTTAAACTATACCCTAAAACAAATGAAGTTAACAGATATTTACAGAACTTTCTATGCAACAGCTGTGGAATATACATTCTATTCAACAACACATGAAACATTATCCAAGATAAATCACATGATAGGCTACAAATGAAGTCTCAATAAATTTTAAAAACTTGATATTTTATCAAGTATCTTTATAGACCACAGTGGAATAAAACTAGAAATCAACTCAAAAAGGAACTCTAGAAGCTAAACATATATATGGAAATTGGACAATCTGCTTCTGAATGATTTTTGGGTTAACAATGAAAATTTAAAAATTACTTGAAATGAATGATAATAGTGAGAAACATTATCATAATTTCTAAGATAAAGCAAAAGCAATTTTAAGAGGAAAGTTTGTAGCACTAAATGTCTGTATCGAAAAGCCTGAAAAATCACAAATTATCAACCCAATGTCACACTGCAAGGAACTAGACAAACAAGAACAAATCCAACCCAAAGCTAGCAGAAGAAAAGAAATAAAAAATTACAAACATTCCTATACACCAATAATAAACAAGCAGAGAGTCAAATCATGAGTGAACTCCCATTCACAATTGCTATAAAGAGAATACAACACCTAGGAATACAACTTACAAGGAACATGAAGGATCTTTTCAAGGAGAACTACAAACCACTGCTCAAAGAAATAAGAGAGAAAAAAAGATGGAAAAACATTCCATGTTTATGGATAGGAAGAATCAATATCGTGAAAATGGCCATACTGCCAAAAGTAATTTATAAATTCAATGCTATTCCCATCAAGCTACCATTGACTTTCTTCACAGAATTAGAAAAAAAACTACTTTAAATTTCACATGGAACCACAAAAGAGCCTGTATAGCCAAGACAATCATAAGCAAAAAGAACAAAGCTGGAGGCATCACCCTACCTGACTTTAAACTAAACTACAAGTCTACAGTAACCAAAACAGCATGGTAATGATACCATAACAGATATATAGGTCAATGGAACAGAACAGAGGCCTCAGAAATAATACCACACATCTACAACCATCTGATCTTTAACAAACCTGACAAAAAGTAATGGGGAAAGGATTCCATATTTAATAAATGGTGTTGGGAAAACTGGCTAGCCATATGCAGAAAACTGAAACTGGACCCCTTCCTTATACCTTATACAAAAATTAACTCAAGATGGATTAAAGATTTAAATTTAAAACCTAAAACCATAAAAACCCTAGAAGAAAACCTAGGCAATACCATTCAGGACATAGGTATTGGCAAAGACTTCATGATTAAAACACCAAAAGCAATGGCAACAAAAGCCAAAATTCACAAATGGGATCTAATTAAACTAAAGAGCTTCTGCACAGCAAAAGAAACTATCATCAGAGTGAACAAACAACCTATAGAATGGGAGAAACTTTTTACAATCTATCCATCTGACAAAGGTCTAACTTCCAGAATCTACCAGAAACTTAAACAAATTTCCAAAAAAAAAAAAAAAACCCTATCAAAAAGTGGGCAAAGGATATGAACAGACACTTCTCAAAAGAAGACATTTATGCAGCCACCAAACATATGAAAAAAAGCTCATCATCACTGGTCATTAGAGAAATGCAAATCAAAGCCTCAATGAGATATCATCTCATGCCAGTTAGAATGGTGGTCATTAAAAAGTCTGGAAACAACAGATGCTGACGAGGATGTGGAGAAATAGGAACACTTTTACAGTGTTGGAGTGGGAGTGTAAATTTAGTTATACCACTGTGGAAGACAGTGTGGCGATGCCTCAAGGATATAGAATCAGAAATATCATTTGTCTCAGCAATCTCATTACTGGGTATATACCCAAAAGATTATAAATCATTCCACTGTAAAGACACATGCACATGTATGCTTACTGCCCCACTATTTACAATAGCAAAGACTTGGAACCAACCCAAATGCCCATCAATAATAAACTGGATAAAGAAAATGTGGCACATATATACCATGGAATACTATGCAGTCATAAAAAAGAATGAGTTCATGTCCTTTGCAGGGACACGGATGAAGCTGAAAACCATCATTCTCAGCAAACAAACACAGGAACAGAAAACCAGACACCACATGTTCTCACTCATAAGTTGAACAATGAGAGAACACATGGACACAGGGAGGGGAACATTACATACTGGGGCCTGTCAGGGAATGGGGGGCAAATGGAGGGAGAGCATTAGGATAAATACCTAATGCACGAGGGGTATTTGTCCTAGATGTTGGATGGATAGGTGCAGCAAACCACCATGGCACATGTATACCTATGTATCAAACCTGCACATTCAGCACATGTATCCCAGAACTTAAAGTAAAATTAAAAAAATAAAAAGGAAAAATAAGAAATAATAAAGATCAAAGCAGAACTAAATAAAATTGAAACAAAAATATAAAAGATCAATGAAATAAAAAGTAGATTCTGAAAGGATAAACAAAATTGATAGACCATTAGCTCAATTAACCAAGAAGAGACAAGATTCAATTAAGCTCAATTTGAAATGTAAATAGAGACATTACAATGAACACAACAGAAATTTAAAAGATCATTTAAGACTACAATGAACACATCTATGCACACAAAATAAAAAAAACTAAAGGAAATGGACAAATTCCTGGAAACATATAACCCTCCAAAATCGAACCAGGAAGAAATAGAAATTCTGAAAAGACCAATAACAAGCACTGAGACTGAATCAATAATTTAAAAATAACAACAAGCAAAACAATAAAAACAAACAAACAAAAACAACAATAACAACAAAGTCCAGGGCCAGGTAGATTCACAGCTGAATTCAACAAAATATTCAAAGAAGAATTGGTACCAATCCAGCTAAAACTATTTCAAAAGACTGAAAAAGATGAAATTGTCCCAAATTCATTCTATGAAACCAATATCACCCTCATACCAAAACCAGGAAAGTACACAGCAACAACCACCACCACAAGAACAAAAACTATAGACAAATATCCCTGATAAATATAGATTCAAAAGCACTCAACAAATACTAGAAAATTGAATCAAACTGTACTTCCAAATACAGTAACACCGTAATCAAGTGGGTTTCATTCCAGGGATACATGAATGGGCTAATATATGCAAGTCAATAAATGTGATAAATGACACTAACAGAATTAAAAACAAAAAACATATCATCATCTCAATAGATGGAGAAAAAGCGTTTGACAAAAACCAGCATCACTTCATGAAAAATACCCTCAACAAACTAGGCATAGAAAGGACATACCTCAATGTAATAAAAGCCATCTTTGAAAACCCCACAGCCGGTATCATACTGAAGGGAGAATAGTTGATAGCTTTTCCACTGAGAAGTGGAACAAGACAAGGGTGCCCACTTTCACCATTTCTATTCAACATACTACTGGAAGTCCTAGCCAAAGCAATCAGCCAAATAGAAGAAATAAAGGGAAACCAAATTGGAAAATAGGAAGCCAAATTATTGCTCTTTGCTGATGATATGATAGTATACCTAGAAAAATCTGAAGACTCCTTTGAAAGACTCCTAGATTTGATAAATGAATTCAGTGAAGTCTTAGGTTACAAAACCAGTGTATGCAAATCAGTAGCATTGTTATGTACCAACAATGGCTAAACTGAGAATCAAATCAAGAACTCAACTCTTTTTACAATAGCTGCAAATAAAAAATACCTAGAAATATACTGCACCAAGGAAGTGAAAGATCTCCACAAGGAGAACTACTAAACACTGCTGAAAGAAATCATAGATAACACAAACAAATAAAAATACGTTCCATGCTCATGAATTGGAAGAATCAATGTCATGAAAATGATCATACTGCCCAAAGCATCCCACTGATTCATTGCAATTTCTATCAAAATACCATAATCATTTTTCACAGAATTAGAAAAAAATTCTAAAATTCATATGGAACCAAGAAAAAAAGAGCTTGAATAACCAAAGCAATCTTAAGCAAAAGCAACAAATCTGGAGGCATCACCCTCAAATTATATTAAAAGGCTAAAGCTACCAAAACAGCATGGTACTTGTATAAAAGTAGATACACAGACCAATGGAAAGAACAGAAAACCCAGAAATAGAATTTTGGGAAAGGATACACTATTTAATAAATGGTGCTGGGAAAACTGGATAACCATATGTTGAAGAATGACACTGGCTTTCTATCTCTCACTTTATACAAAAATCAACTCAAGATGGATTAAACACTTAAAGACCTGAAATCACAAAAATTCTAGAAGAAAATGTAGGAAAAACCTTTCTGGACTTTGGCCTAGCTCAAGAATTTATGACTAAGACCCCAAAAACAAATGCAACGAAGACAAAAATAAATAAATGAGGCCTAATTAAACTCAAAAGCTTCTGCACAACAAAAGAAATAATCATCATAGTAAACAGACAACCCACAGAATGGGAGAAAATATTTGTAAACTATGCATCCGACAAAGGACTAATATTCAGAACGTACAAGGAACTCAAACAAATCAGCAATAAAAAGAAAAAAATAAATAATTCCATCAAAAACTAAGCAAATAACATAAATATATATTTCTCAAAAGAAGATGTACAAATGGCCAATTTGTATGAAAAAAATGCTTAACATCAGTAATCATCAGGAAAATGCAAATTAGAACAACAATGAGATACCATGTTATTCCAGCCAGAATGGCCATTATTAAAATTCAAAAGACAATAGATATTAAAACGGATGTGGTAAAAATGGAATATTTATTTACTGCTTATAGGAAAGTAAATTAGTACTGCCTCTGTGGAAAACACTATGGAAATTTCTTAAAGAACTAAAACTATATCTACCATTTGATCCAGCAATCACACTACTAGGTGTCTACCTAAAGGAAAATAAGTAGTTGCGTATGTCTTTTTAGACACCTGCACACATGTTTATCGCAGCATAATTCACGATTGCAAAGATATGGATCCAGCTTAAGTGCCCATCAACCAATGAGTGGTTAAAGAAAATGCGGTATATATACACCAAGAAATACTACTCCACTTTAAAAAAAATAAAACAATGTATTTTGTAGCAACTTGGATGGAGCTAGACACCGCTATTCTAAGTAAAGTATCTCAGGAATGGAAAACCAAACACTGTATGTTCTCACTTATAAGTGGGAGCTAAGCTATGGGTACGCAAAGGCATACAGAATGGTATAATAGACTTTGGAGACTCAGTAGGAGGAGGATCATGGTTGGGATCAGAGATTTAAAAAAAAAAACCATACAATTTACACCACTTGAGTGACAGGTACACTAAAATCTCAGATTTCACCACTATACAATTCATCCATGTAACCAAAAATCACTTGTATCACAAAAGCCATCAAAATAAAAAGTTACTTTTTTAATTAAAAAAATAAAGCTGACTACGTAGTACATGTACATGTTCTCAACTGCTGGATTTTGGAAGGAGCAGGGGAAAACAGGTGCAAAAAGGATGCAATGAATTCCATTCTAGACAAACTTAGAAAGATAATCTGAAGCCTAACTGCAGTTTCCATAAAGTTAAACAGCTCTAATAGAGTAGGAAACAGAGCAAAATGTGGCAGAAGAGCCCACATCTGTGAGAGAGGTATAAAGTTTAACAGACATCTCCATCAGAGCAGGTACTGGTATCCACTGCTGGGAGACCTGAAGACAAGTCACATCACTGGACTCTTTGCAGACATTCAGAAACACCAGCTGGAACCCTGGTAGCCTCACTAGGTGTCTAGACCCAGAAAAGAAATAACAATCACTGCAGTCTGGCTCTTGGGAACCCCTATTCCTAGAGTAAGGGGAGAGCACTATATCAAGGTATCACCCCAGGGGACAAAATCATCTGAACAGCAGGTTTTGAACCCCAGATCGTTCTGCTGGTGGGAAGTCTCCACAGCAGACACGATTGCAGTGCTAGGTGCAGTAGTGAAAGTCTGCATCTGTACCCCAATGGGCAGGCAGCCTCTGTGATTGTGAAGGGACTTGGAGAAGTGGTCCTTGTTCCCTCCCTGCTGTCCCCATTCCCCAGCACTGCGCTACAGACACAGCTGGGGTTTTCGCACAGGAATGCAATGTGTTTGCACCTATGGACAATCTTCCTGGAATAATGCTGGTTGAGCGCAACCCCACAGGAGGAGCACCCCCTAGATTGAGGTCTGCACAAAAGGCAGAGTCACAATTCCTCCCTATTTGGAACATCAACAATCCTACAGATGAAAAGAGGTGCCTGTCAGATCTGAATAGCCAAGTAACTGGGACAGGAATTAGGCTGTGAGGTGAATCGCTTTCCATGTGGCCTCGCAGGGGAGCTGAAGTAGCTCTAACTCTTCACCCTGATAAAACCTCCACAAATCTATTTGAAAGCTCCCCAGACACCCTCATCAAGGCTTGGACCTTGGCCCACTGTTGCGTGTTATATCCACCTACATACCCTAGCTACAACCAGTGCCTACAAGGGTTACCTCCCCTGGGTGCAAACTTTCGCTACTGCACCCAGCACTGCAATTGTGTCTGGTGTGGGAGACTTCCCACCAGCAGACCTGAACCCTGAATCATCAAGTCAGTAAATAAAATACTGGGTAAAAATTAAATAAATAAATAAATAAAACCTATACCACAAGATAATTAGATAAACTTCAAGAGATCCCTGCCATTCCAATCCCACAAGAGACAGTGAGCTTGCGCACACATCAAAAGCATAATGACTACAATCAGCATCTGGGAAAGCCAGTACACAAAGACTCTCTATAACTAAGAAAGTCATACAGAATCTTCACTCCTAAAAGCACATAGAATCAAATTAGGCTAAATTAAACATTAAATTCCAATCCTTAAGAAAGAAAAAGAGAAATTAAAAAAAAACACAGTCCAATCAAAAATAAACTCAAGAACAATTTGAAGAAATCATCTACCAAAATGAGAAAGAACCATTAAAATAATTCTGGTAATATGACAAAACAGGGTTCCATAGTACCCCCTAAGGATCACACTACCTCCCCAGCAATGAATTCAAACCAAGAAGAAACCTCTGAATTACCAGATAAAGAATTCAGAAGGTTGATTATTAAGTTACTCAAGGAGATACTAGAGAAAGGTGAAAACAACTTAAAGACTTTAAAAAAAAAAACCCCAGGATAATGATTAAAATTTTTCCATAGAAATCGCTATCACAAAGGAAAACCAATCAGGGATTGTGCAAATGAAAGACACACTTAGGGAAATACAAAATGCAGTGAAAAGTTTCAACAATAGACAAGAAATAGTAGAGGAAAGAATATCAGAGCTGGAAGACAATGCTTTCTAATTAACCCAATAAGACAAAGAAAGACAAAGAATAAAGATTTTTTTAAAAAATGAACAAACTCTTCAAGAAATACGGAATTATGTAAAACAGCCAAGCCTAAGAATAAGATGTTCCTGAGGAGGGAAAAATATCTAAACGTTTGGAAAAACTATATAAGGGAATAATTGAAGAAAACTTCCCTGGTCTTGCTAGAGATCTAGATATCTGATCTAGTTTGGCTCTGTGTCCCCACCCAAATCTCATGTGGAATTTTAATCATCAATGTTGGAGAAGGGGCCTGGTGGGAGGTGATTGGATCAGGGTGATGGACTTCCCCCTTACCATTCTCATGATAGTAAGTGAGTTCTCACAGGATCTGATTGTTTCAAAGTGCCTAGCACTTCCTCCTTTGCTCTTTCTCTCCTGCTTCACCATGTGAAGATATGCTTGCTTCCCTTTTGTCTTGTACCATGATTCTAAGTTTTCTGAGGCCTCTTTAGCTATGCTTCCTATACAGCCTGTGGAACTGTGACTTAATTCAACCTATTTTCCTCATAAACTACCCAGTCTCATGTAGTTTCTTACAGCAATTTGAGAATGGGCTAATACAGACAATTGGTACTGGGAAGTGAGTCATTGCTATAAAAATACCTGAAAATGTGGAAGCAGCTTTGAAACTGGGTAACAGACAGAGTCTGGAACATTTTGGAGGGATCAGAAGAAGACAGAAAGATGTGGGAATGTTTGAAAATTCCTGGAAACTTGTTAAATAGTTGTGACCAAAATGCTGATAGTGATATGAACAATGAAGTCCAGGCTAAGGTGGTCTCAGACAGAGATGAAGAAGTTATTGGGAACTGGAGTAAATGTCACTCTTGCTATGCATTAGCAAAGAGACTGGCAGCATTCTGCCCCTGCCCTAGGGATCTGTGAAACTTTGAACTTGAAAGAGATGATTTAGGGTATCTGGTGAAACAAATTTCTAAGCAGCAAAACATTCAATATGTAGCCTGGTGGCTTCTAACAGCATACACTTATATGCATGAACAAAAAGATGATCTGAAATTGAAACTTAAATTTAAAAGTGAAGCAGAGCATAAAAGTTTGGAAAATTTTCAGCCTGGCCATCCAGTAGAAAAGAAAAACCCATTTTCAGTGGAAGAATTCAAGCCAGCTGCAGAAATTTACCAAAGTAGAAGAGCCTAATGTTAATAGCTAAGACAAAGGTATTTTAGAGACCTTCACAGCAGTCTCTTCCAACACAGACCCAGAGGCCTAGGATGGAAGAATTGTTTTTGTGGGCCAGACCAAGGGCTCCACTGCCCTGTGCAACCTCAGAAAACTGCTGTTTGCATTCCAGTCACTCCAGCTCCAGCCATGGCTAAGGGGGTGTCAGATATGTCTCAGGCTGCCACTCCAGAGGGTGCAAGCCACAAACCTTGACAGCTTCCACATGCTGTTAAGCCTGTGGGTGCCCAGAGGGAAAGAGTGGAGGCTTGGGAGCCTCCATCTAGATTTCAGAAGATGTATGGAAATGCCTGGATATTCAGGCAGAAGTCTGCTGCAGGGGCAGAGCCCTCATGGAGAACCTGTACTAGGACAGTGCGGAAGGGTAATATGGGATTGGAGTCCCATACAGAGTCCCCACTGGGGCACTGCCTCTTGATGCTGTGAGCAGAGGGCCACCATCCTCCAGATCCCAGAATCCTAGATCCACCGATACCTTACACCATGCACCTCGAAAAGCCACAGGCAATCAACGCCAGCCCACATAGCAGCTGCAGGGGATGTACCATGGAGAGCCACAGAGGCAAAGATGCCCAAGGCCTTCAGAGCCCTCTCCTTTCATCAGTGTGGCCTGAATGTGAGACATGGAGTCAAAGGAGATTATTTTGAAGCTTTAAAATTTAATGACTGCCCTGCTGGATTTCAGACTTGCATGGGTCTTGCAGCCCCTTTGTTTTGTCCAATTTCTACCATTTGCAATGGGAGCATTTACTCAATGCCTGTGCTCCCATTGTATCTTAGAAGTAACTAACATGCTTATTATTTTACAGGCTCATAGGTGGAAGATACTTGCCCTGTCTCAGATGAGACTTTGGACTTGAATTGTTTTGAATTAATGCAAGAATCAGTTAAGACTTTGGGGGACTGTTAGGAAGGCATAATGGTGTTTTGAAGTGTGAGAAGAACATGAGATTTTGGAAGAGGCAAGGGCAGAATGGTGTGGCTTGCCTCTGTGTCCTCACCCAAATATCATCATGAATTGTAATCCCCAATGTTGGACGAGGGGCCTGCTGGGAGGTGATTGTATTATGGGGGCAGACTTACCCTTTGGATTCCTTGTAATTGTGAGTTATCCTGCGATCTGGTTGTTTAAAACTGTGTAGCACTTCCTTCTTTGCTCTTTTCCTTCTGATTCCCCATGTGAAGATGTGTTTGCTTCCCCTTCCCCTTTTGCCATCATTGTAAGTTTCCTGAGGCCTCACCAACCATGCTTATTGTACAGCCTGTGGAACTGTGAGTCAATGAAACCTCTTTTCTTTATAAACTACTCAGTCTCAGGAAGTTTTTTATAGCAATGTGAGAGTGGATTAATACAATATCCAAATACAAGAAGCTCAAAGAACTCCTGGGAAATACATTGCAAAAGATCATCACAAAGGCATATATTAATCGGGTTATCTAATGTCAAGGTGAAGGAATGAATCTTATGAGCTGTGAGACAAAAGCATCAGGTAACTTATAAAAGAAAACTCATCAGATTAACAGCAGATTTCTCAGCAGAAACCCTAAAATCCAGAAAGAACTGAGGTTCCATCTTTAGCCTCCTTAAACAAAATAATTGTCAGTCAAGAGTTTTGTATCTACCAAAACTACATTTCATAAATAAAAAGAGATAAAGTCTTTTTTAGATAAAAAAGTGCTGAGAGAGTTTGCCACTACCACACTAGCACTGCAAGAAATGCTAAAAGGGGTTTTCAATCTTGAAACAAGTTCTCAAAATACGAAAAAAAGAACTTCCTTAAAGCATAAAACTTACAGGGCCTAAAAACAATAACATGATGAAAATATTTTTAAAAAAGGTATTCAGGCAAAAACTAACATGATGAATAGAACAGTACCTCAAATCTCAATACTCCTATTAAATGTAAATGGACTATGTGCTCCACTTAAAAGATACAGAAAGGCAGAAAGATTTAAAAACCACTAAGTAATGGCTGTCTTCAAGGGACTCACCTAACACATATGGACTAACATAAACTTAAGGTAAAGGGGTAGAAGAAGATATTTTTCATAAATGGAAACCAAAACCAGGCAGGAGTAGCTATTCTTATATCAGAGAAAACAGACTTTAAAGCAACAACACTAAAAACAGATGAAGGACTTTATATAATGAAAAAGGAATTAGTTAAACCGGAAGATATTACAATCATAAATATACATGTACTTAACATTGAAGTTTCCAAATTTATAAAAAAAAATTACTTATAGACCTAAGAAATTATATAGACAGTAACACATTAATAGTAGGAACTTCAGTACTTCACTGACAGCACTAGGCAGATCAAGACATACAGTCAAAGAAGAAAATGTGAACTTAAACTAGACCCTAGAATGAATAGACTTAACACATATTTACAGGATATTGTACCCAACAACTGCAGAATATATATTCTTTTCATCAGCACATGGAACATTCTCCAAGATAGACCATATAATAGGCCACAAAACAAATCTTGATAAATTTTTAAAAATCAAAATTATATCAAGTATCCTTTCAGACCACAGTAGAATAAAACTGTAAATAAACTCCAAAAGGAGCCTTCAAAACTATATAAATGCATGGATATTAAATAATCTGCTCTTGAATGATCTTTGGGTTAAAAATAGTATCAAGATGGAAATTTTAAAAATTCTTTTAAATGAATGATAACAGTGACACAAATTATCAAAACCTCTTTTTCAAAACCTCTGGGATATAGCAAAAGTGGTGCTAAGAGGAAAGTTCATTGCATTAAATACCTACATTGAAAAGTCTGACAGAGCACAGACAACCTAATATCACACCTCAAGGAACTAGAGAAACAAGAACAAACTAAACTCAAACTCAGCAGAAGAAAAGAAATAACAAAGATCAGAGCAGAACTAAATAATACTGAATCAAGAAAATACAAAAAATAAAACAGAACACTGGTTCTTTGAAAAGATTAACAAAATCGATAGACTGTTAGCAAGATTAATCAAGAATAAAAAAAGAGAAGATCCAAATAATCTCAATTAGATACAAAATGGGAGATATTATGACTAATACCACAGAAATACAAAGGATCATTCAAGGCTACTGTGAATGCCTTTATACACACAACTAGATAATCTATAAAACATGGTTAAATTCCTGGAAATATACATTTCTCCAAGACTAAATGAGGAAGAAATAGAAACTCTGATCAAAACAATAACAAGCAGTGAAAATGGTTCAGTATTAAAAATATTGCCAGCAAAAATGTCCAGGACCAGATAGATTCACCGCTGATTTCTATTAAACATTCAAGGAAGAATTGGTACCAATATTACTGAAACTATTCTAAAAGATAGGAAAAGAGGGAGTCCTCCCTAAACCATTTTGTGATGCCAGTATCACCCTAATACAAAAATCAGGAAGGAATATATCTACAGTACAGAACAATATTCCTGATGATCATAGATGCAGAAATATTCAACAAAATACTAGCTAACCAAATGCTGTTGGCAGCATATTAAAAAGATAATACATCATAATCAAACGAGTTTCTTATCAGTATACAGGGATAGTTTAATGTACACAAGTCAATAAATATGATGCATCACATAAAAAGGATAAAAGTCTGGGCGCGGTGGCTCACGCCTGTAATCCCAGCACTTTGGGAGGCCAAGGTGGGCGGATCATGAGGTCAGGAGATTGAGACCATCCTGGCTAACACGGTGAAACCCTGTCTCTACTAAAAATACAAAAAAATTAGCCGGGCGTGGTGGCAGACGCCTGTAGTCTCAGCTACTGGAAAGGCTGAGGCAGGAGAATGGCGTGAACGGGAGGCAGAGCTTGCAGTGAGCAGAGACAGCACCACTGCAGTCCGGCCTGGGCGAAAGAGCGAGACTCCGTCTCAAAAAAAAAAAAAAGGATAAAAAAGAAAAATTATATAATCATCTCAATAGATGCAGAAAAAGCATTTGACAAAATCCAGCATTTCTGTATGAAAAAAACTCTCAACAAAATTGTCATAGAAGAGACATACTTCAGTGTAACATAAGCCATCTATGAAATACCCATAGCCAGCATCATACTGAATGGAAAAAAGTTGAAAACATTTCCGCTGAGAACTGGAACAAAGCAAGGACGCCCACTTTCACCACTTCTATTCAACATAGTATTGGAAGTCCTAGCCAGACCAATCAGACAAGAGAAAGAACTAAAGGAACATCTAAATCAGAAAAAAGGGAGTTAAACTGTCGCTCTTTGTCCATGGAATAATTGTATACCTAGAGCACTGTACAGGCTCATTCAAAAAGCTCTTAGATCTTATAAATTAATTCAGTAAATCTCAGGTTACAAAATCAATATATGAAAATCAGTAGCACTGTTATACACCAATAACCACCAAACTGAGAATCAAATCAAGAACTCAATCCCTTTCACAACAGCTACAAAAAATAAAATAAGTAAAACACTTAGGTATATACTTAACCAAGGAGGTGAAAGATCTCTACAAGAAAAACTACAAAATACTGCTGGAAGAAATTATAGATAACACAAACATGTAGAAAAACATCCCATGCTCATGGATGGGTAGAAACAATATTGTGAAAATGACCATACTGCTAAAAGCTGTCTACAGAGTCAATGCAATTCCCATCAAAACACCATCATCATCCTTCACGGAAATAGAAATAACAATAATACAATACATGTGGAACCAAAAAAAGAGCCCGCAGAACCAAAGTAAGACTAAGCAAAAAAAAAAAAAAAAAAAAAAAAAAATCTGAAGGCATCACATTACTTGACTTCAAATTATACTACAAAGCCATAGTTGCCAAAACAGCATGTTACTGGTATAAAAATAGGCACTTAGACCAATGGAACAGAATAGCGAACCCAGGAAAAGCCAACTTTTTTGGGCAACTGATCTCAACAAAGCATACAAAAACATAAAGTGGGAAAGGATCCTATTTAATAAATGGTGCTGGAAAAACTGGCAAACCACATGTTGAAGAATGAAATTGAATTCTCATCTCTCACTTTATACAAAAATCAGCCTAAGGCTGGGCGCAGTGGCTCATGCCTATAATCCCAGCACTTTGGGAGGCCAAGGCAGGTGGATCATGAAGGAGGGTGGATCATGAGGTCAGGAGACCAAGACCATCTTGACTAACATGGTGAAAACCTGTCTCTACTAAAAATACCAAAAATTAGCCAGGTGTGGTGGCACATGCCTGTAGTCCCAACTACTTGGGAGGCTGAGGCAGGACAATCACTTGAACCTGGGAGCTGGAGGTTGCAGTGAGCCGAGATTGTGTCATTGCACTCCAGCCTGGGCAACAGAGTGAGACTCCATCTCAAAAAATAAAATAAATAAATAAATAAATATAAATAAATCAGCTTCAGATAGATCAAAGACTTAAATCTAAGATCTGAAATCATAAAAATTCTAGAACATAACATTGGAAATACTCTTCTAGTCATTGACTTAGGCATAGAATTCATGACTAAGAACCCATAATCAAATGCAACAAAAACAAAAACAAATGAATGGAACCTAAGTAAACTAACTAAAAAGCATTTGCAGAGCAAAAGAAATCATCAGCAGATTAAACAAACAACCCTCAGAGTGGGAGAAAATATTCACAGACTATACATCTGACAAAGTGGTAATATCCAGAATCAACAAGGAACTAAAAAAAATTAGCAATAAAAACACAAACAATGCCCCAACCCATCAAAAACTGTGCTAAGGACATGACTAGACAATTCTAAAAAGAAGACGTGCAAACTGCCAGCCAATATATGGAAAAGATGCTCAACATCACTAATTATCAGGGAAATACAAACTAAAACCACAGTGAGATACCACCTTACTCCTGAAAGAATGGCCATAATTTAATAATTAAAAAAAAAAGATATTGGTGAGGATGTGGTGAAAAGGGAATACTTTTACACTGCAGGTGAGAATGTAAACTAGTACAACCACCATGGAAAACAGTATAGAGTTTCCTTAAAGAACTAAAAGAAATAGCATTCGATCCAGCAGTCCCACTACTAGGTATCTCCCCAAAGGAAAATAAGTTATTATATGAAAAAAAACAGATGCACGCACATGTTTATAGCAGCACAATTTGAAATTGCAAAAATACAGAAGCAACCTAGATGTCCATCAACCAATGAGGAGATAAAGAAAAATTGGTATATCTATACCATGGAATACTACTCAGCCATAAAGCAAAAAAAAAAAAAAAAAAAAAAAAGTCTTTTGTAGCAAATTGGATGGAGCTGGAGGCCATTATTTTAAGTGAAGAAATGCAGGAATTAAACACCAAATATCATACATTCTTATTTATAAGTGGGTGTTAAGCTGTGAGGATGCAAAGGCATAAGAATGCTATAATGGGCTTTGTGGACTTGGAAGCAAGGGTAGGAGCGGGTGAGGGATAAACTACATACTGGGTACAGTGTACACTGTTCAGGTGATCAGGACACCAGAATCTCAGAAATCACCACTAAAGCACTTATTCATGTAACCAAAAACTGCCTGTATCCCCAAAACTTATTGAAATAAGAATGAATTAATGAATAAATAAATAAAACCTGGCAGAGCTTTTTGAGGCAATAAAAGAGACAGTAGATGACAAAGATGAGAAAGTAATACCTGAAAACTTCTATGTTACAGGGTTAATAGTCTTTCCTTTTCTATATGAAGCTATGAGCTTTCTATGTTCTGTTCATTCTCCGAAAAACAGGGGAATACTCCTTGTTTCTTTTCTTCTAGACCACTGTTTATCTTCCATTTGCAAGCAAATAGAATTTATCCCACTTAAACTGGAAAAAAATAGTGCTACCTTATTTAAGTTGCTAATAAGAAAAAAAGAAAAGATGAAAGATGAAAAAACAAGGAAAAAATAAGAGGAGAGGGCAATTAAAAGGAAAGAAAGAACAATGTTGGGGAGAAAAGGCAAAAAAGAAGAATATTTAACAGTATCATATCAGCTAGATTATAAATAAAGAATATAGTAAAGATATTTGAATTTCTTGTTATGCTACTGAACTGTAGATTAGGGAACTGAAGACCTGAGATATTAACTGTTGTACTTGGTATCCATGAGTTCATTTATTAGTGTTTATTTAGTGCTTATTGTAAATTAGAATTTGGACTAGATGCCAGAACACAGCAGTAAATAAAACAAAGATAGGCTCAGGATCTTGTTAGCAGAAGTAAGATTCCAGTGTGGATCTCCCAATTGCCAATTCTTTACCCACCTCATTACACTTAAACCCTCAAGAATATGACCCCACTGATGCCATGTCCTTGTACCTATTTCTAGAAAAGATTGCTATATTTAACATGTCTTTGTGCCAAGGACTTTTGGTACTAAGAGCAGTTGCTTAAAACATCAAATTAATAATTGGAAATGCATACATTTTGCTCATAACACGTAATACACTGCTCTGATATACTCACCCAAAGAGAACAGAGATGACTTACGGTTGGTGAATAAGAGCAGCAGAGGGATCATTCCTAGGAAATCACGTTTTTCCTTGTTTCTGTTTTTTATTTCATTTGGTTTGTATGTTGTAATTTTTCTGACAAAATGTATCTTTAAAAGTATTTACAACATAGAAAATATGCTCAGGACAGAATAAAGGCTAGACAAGAGTGTACGTTAAAATCCTTGGACATAGTAAATGTGCAAATCAAATAAAAGAGTTACAGAAAATTATACATTTTATTTATCATCATTGGCATATATAAAGGAAAGTGAATTGCTTGGAGTTCATCTAAACATGGCATGTAATTCAAAAGTGTTCCATGTGATATTCTGTAAGCTAGAATCTTTGTCACTAGAAACCTTTAGTAAACTGCTATATGTCCTCATTTGAAGTCATATTATCAAAATATTATTTCACACAGTATATTTACTTAGTATGTTTATGGGTGAAAATAATCATTATTCTAAAATAAAGGTAATGATCATCTGAGAAGATTTTTTTCCCCAAATTTCAAGAGTCAATTTAGCAGGAAAATATTAACTGATTTGTCATGTATTACAGACATCCATATCCTTCTCTTGGTTTCACCATTCTTTTCTTCTTCATCAATATTTCTGCCTGTTTTTGTTTTCTTTCCCTGAGTGAATGCCTATCTATTCATTAAGGTGCAATTCAAACGTCATCATCACTTCCAATTCTACCTTCCATTGTCTCTCTTCCTTTCCTGCCATCCCAGATCCTTCACATTTACTTATTTCATAGTTCTTAGCAGGAAATGTGTTTTAGAAAGTTCAGTCTTATAAATGTGTGGAGTGCCTCTTGGATTAGAGTGGTGAGTTGGGGAGTCAGGAACAGCAGTTAAGAATTTGATGGCATAATCCAAGTGAGAAATCATGAAGTCCTGATATAAAGTAACATGGTGGAGACAAACAGGAAGAACAATATGACAGATATTTAGGAAATATAAAATAGAACTGAGTAAAACAAACAGACTAAATAAATAAAAGCAAAGACAGACCAAATAAACTAACAGAAATATTTGTGCTTCATCAGACTTTAAAGTAGAATAATTTGAGTAAATATATAATTTACTATCCAACTTGTGAAATTTTTAGAGCAAGAGGGGATACTATTGATAATTAAATCAGGAGAGGAAGATGCTAACTAGAGAAGAAATCCAAGCATTTAGATACTACTTAAAGATTATCTACTTTGACCACAAAGTAGGTAAAGCTCTAATCTTCCCTGCCAAGCTCACTCTCTCTAATTCAGTAACCAAACCCACTCCGTAACTGACTTATTTAGCCACAAAGATTCAACACCATAGGTTTGCCCATACCTTCCAAATGTATGTCTTCAATCTCAACCTCTCCAATAACCTCAAGACATAGTATGTTTTATCATCTACTCGGTATTACTTATCTACTCATCATTAACTCTCAACTATCTATAAAGAAGCATCTGATAGAAATATAACATAAGCCTCATATGTAATTTTAAAAATTTGCGTAGCCACATTAAAAAGTAAAAATAAGTATGTGAACATAATTTAATTTAATTTAATTTTTTACCCAGCTTTATTGAAGTATGATTGACAAAATTATATAGGTATATCTAAGGTGTACAACATGATGTTTTGATATATATATATATATGTAACGTAAAATGATTACCACAATCAAGCTAACACATCCATTACCAGATGAGTTTAATTTTAATAAGATTTTTAAAACCAATATATCTGAAACTATTATTTCAAATTGTAATAAACGTAAAAATTATTAATTAGCTATTTTATGCTGCTTTGCATAGGAAGTCTTTGAAATCCATTGTGTACTTTACTCCTAAGATATATCTGAATTTGGATGCTAAATTTTCATAAAATTACTTGTCAGTATTTGGATTTCATAAAATTTACAGTTAAAAATGTAGATTCACAAACCAAGTTGGTCCAAATATACCTAAAAGATTTTTAATAAGTGAATTGGGTTGCAGTTTTAAAATTTAAATTCAGTAAATTAAATAAAATGCAAAAATTGTCTCTAAGAGCTACATTAAAATGTGAGAGGCTACAGCATTAGATAGTTGAGGGATGACAGGTGTCTCAAAGTTAGAGTCTGCAACTGAATGTTTGACCTACCTCTAATCTATTCGTCTCCTAGTCTTCCCCATTGCAGTATCTAGCACTGCCATTTGCCTAGGAGCAAGGATAAACAAGTAAAAGTCAGCCTCAATTCCACTTTTTCTCCACGACCCACATGGAGTGACCAGGAGATCTTAATATATACATAATATATCATATATATATATACATATAAGTCCAACCATTTCTCACCACTTCCATTGTTAATACACTAGGCATCCTCTCCTAAATAATGGATTCTTCTTTCACTTTTAGTTCCTTTAGGGTATTTTCAAGAGCAATTCAACTAATCCTTTTAATCTGAATATATCACTTTCTTGCTCAAAGTTCCTCGAAGCTTTTTTATCTCACACAGAAAATATACTATTTATTTATTTATTTAATTAGGAAGGAGGGAAAGCACATCCCTAATGCCAATGTTTGCCTCTGCAGTCCCATCAAAGCTTTTCCTCATGGGTTTGCATGACTAGCTTTCTTATCTTTTCATTGAGGCTCTCCATGACCCCCTTAAATAAAATACCCTCCTCTCTTGTGCATTCATCACTATTTTTGCTTGATCAGTTCTACTTGCTTTTCACACATCTCACACAGAATGCTACCATAGCAGAGTAGTTGAGGGGACATATTTTTTGCTATATTTATGGGTTTTGCTATTTACTAGAGATGTGGTCTTGAGCAATTTTACCTTGCCATTCTCTATCTTAATTTCCTCATCCATAAAAATGAGGGTAAGAATCGTACCTTGCTAATAGGCTTGTTGTGTAGATTGAGTGATGTTGTCCTATCTAAGATTCTTAGAACAGTGCCCAGTACATAGGGAATGCCTAACATTAGATATATATGTTAATTAAAAGCCAATACAATCTATGGAGACAAAAGGAGAACATTATTTTCTAAAACATTACTGCAGATTAAGGAGAATGCAGCCTTTGGTGCAACAGGAAAGTGTGCTCTGAGGACGGTTTGGAGGGTGAGAGATTATAGAGTCAAACACTCCAGAAAGGGTAGGGGAGTCAATGGAGTGGGGAACAGAATCTGAATTTAATAGCCTTTAACCCCCACATCACCAGTCTCTCTTAATTGTCTTCCGTCAGGTGGTTCCAGTGGTCATCATTTGGGGAATTTTCAGTGGCAGTTGTCTATAGGGAAAAGAAAGAGAGATCAGACTGTCACTGTGTCTATGTAGAAAGGGAAGACATAAGAGACTCCATTTTGTAAAAGACCTGTACTTTAAACAATTGCTTTGCTGAGATGTTGTTAATTGGTAGCTTTGCCCCAGCCACTTTGCGCCAGCCACTTTGACCTAACCTAGAGCTCACAAAAACACGTGTTGTATAAAATCAAGGTTTAAGGCATCTAGGGCTGTGCAGGACGTGCCTTGTTAACAAAATGTTTACAAGCAGTATACTTGGTAAAAGTCATCGCCATTCTCTAGTCTCAATAAACCAGGGGCACAATGCACTGTGGAAAGCCGCAGGGACCTCTGCCCTTGAAAGTGGGGTGTTGTCCAAGGTTTCTCCCCATGTGATAGTCTGAAATATGGCCTCATGGGATGAGAAAGACCTGACCATCCCCCAGCCCGACACCCGTAAAGGGTCTGTGCTGAGGTGGATTTGTAAAAGAGGAAAGCCTCTTGCAGTTGAGATAGAGGAAGGCCACTGTCTCCTGCGTGCCCCTGGGAACTGAATGTCTCGGTATAAAACCCGATGGTACATTTGTTCAATTCTGAGATACGTGAAAAACCGCCCTATGGTGGGAGGCGAGACATGTTTGCAGTAATGCTGCCTTGTTGTTCTTTACTCCGCTGAGCTGTTTGTGTGGAGAGAAACATAAATCTGGCCTACGTGCACATCCAGGCATAGTACCTTCCTTTGAACTTAATTATGATATAGATTCTTTTGCTCACATGTTTTTTGCTGACTTTCTCCTTATTATCACCCTGTTCTCCTACTACATTCCTTTTTGCTGAAATAATGAAAATAATAATTAATAAAAACTGAGGGAACTCAGAGCCCGGTGCCGGTGCAGGTCCTTGGTGTGCTGAGTGCTAGTCTCCTGGGCCCACTGTTGTTTCCTATACTTTGTCTCTGTGTCTTATTTCTTTTCTGACTAGAAATACCCACAGGTGTGGAGGGGCAGGCCACCCCTTTGGTTGTCTTTAATATTGTTTTCAGGAACTGCTCTTTGACTTGGGTGCAGAAAAACAGATTTTTCTATATGTGCCAAGGACCACACCCTCACCCTGCCAAGGCTGCTTGGTTCTGCTCTTAACTTTTGAGCCACAGGGAGTCCATCTTTTCTGTCAACTGGGACATACTTTAACACATAGTTATTTGTTATTATTATTTTCCTCACATTAGTGAAAGATACGTGAGAGGGGATTTTTTTTCAATTTTATTTACTGCTGCTTCCTTGGAGTCTAAAATGTCTGGCTGATATAATTGCTAAATTAATACATGAACAGAGAAACCAAGATTTAAAAAAAAAGAAATATGTGTGTACAGACACAAGAAAATGTAAACTGTTAAAGCAAACTAAATATGGCCTGAGAAGGACCCCATACTTCTATATTTGAGTCCTTGTGGATGAACTGCAACCTAACTTAATAGGTAGAAAAGATTGAAAACCTAACTTAGGAGTATGCACCTGTAACAATCACTGAGTCTTAACTAATCCCAGCAGCTGTACTTCAACCAATGCTACACGGCTGAGTGTTCAAACTATGTTCAAATAAGGCAAAGGCTGAGCTGTAACCAATCCAGCTGTTCCTGTACCTCACTTCCAATCTCTGTACATCAGTTTATTTTTTTGTCTATATATTTGTTCTGACCACAAGGCACCCCCGAGTTTCTGAATCTGCTGTGATTTTGGGGGCTGCCCAATTTGTGAATCATTCATTGCTCAATTAAACTCCTTTAAATTTAATTCAGCTGAAGTTTTTCTTTTAACAGATGGTGTCACAAGTGGGATCCAAAGCAGAGTTTCTAATGACCCCCAGGAGCACTGAGTGAACAAGTAAGGTATCTGTAGGACCCACTTTTGGCAATTAATCTCTCAGAGCAGCTGGGGATTGTACATAAGTTCTCTCTTAGACTTCGGGCCTCCACAGAGTTGTGTTTTGAGCTCTCTGAGTTTCTTTGAGCAAATTTCTGATCCAAACGAGATTTGGAATTCATGATAGAAAATGGACTGGGTCCACGAATGGATTTGATCCAGTAATTAACTTACTTGAATGAAGTTAGAGGTCTATTACATCTGACTTGGTCAGAAAGAAACTGGTAGCAAATGGTAATATCCTGAACATTTTGGCTTTCAGAAATTTGCAGGGATTATTATTCTACACCTTTGTTTTATTTTTCTTGCACACGCAACTAGGAATAAAAATCATTGGCTAAGTTAATCAAGGGAACCTGAAAGCAAAGCCAATATTTTAGGTAAAAATTTATGAAAAACTTAATTTATGAAAAACTGAGTTTCTTCCGGCTTGTACATTAGGCACCTGAAGGATTAAAGTGTTACAGAAATGGCGAAATCTCACCAAAGGTAACTTACAAGGGAACATTCTGAATAAACAACAATGCATTAAAGTGCATTTAAAAATGAGAGCTCCCAAAAAATTAAATCTGGTAATCTTTCAGCTTAGTTACTTTCCTGATCCAAAGGAAATAGACTGCAGCACAAGTTGGCTGACTTTGGATAAGTAATGGGATACATTTTACCTGAGTAAAGGATGGGACTGAGTTAGAGCCTGTCCCCTCAATAAAGTCCCTCTTGGTTAAAAATGGATTACAGATGACAGAGCTCAACTGGGGGCAAGTTCGAGCCTTGCCAGTTCTATATTGGGTGCTAAGCAAAGTGGCTAATGTCTATGTTTTGTCACATGTATTTTGCTCTGGCCAGAATGAAAAATGTTATTTGGATTACCCCTTGCAATCCCTTGGGCAACAACTTGCAAAATGGAGAGGCTTTTGCCTGTGGTTCCATGAAACAAACAAACAAACAAAATGATGATTTTCCTTTATGATACAGCTTGGCCCCCAGGGCAAGGCGGGTCACTAGGGCCACTCAGGGAAAGGAAACCCAGAATCCTGATATGGTGACAAAAGGATAAGAATTTCTTGCAAGTCAGGCTCTGGTCTCTCTCTCTCTCTCTGTGCAAACTGGTTAAACGAATGGTAAAAGTCACTGTTTATCTCCTCTGTAAAGTTTTGATTAACATGAAAAAGAATTCTGAGGCTGGTCTTAAGATGTAGTGAATCTGATGTGCTTTGTGTGTCTTTCTGTATTGTTCTGCCATAAGTCAGCTGATAGTGAAATTGTTTAGATATACAAATTGAATAAACTCCATGGTCTAAGTCAAATTACCTCTGATAACCCATCAGTTGTCAGTACTATGCACCTAATTTGGAGAAATAACTAGTATTCAAGGGGCTATAAACCTGTTAATTAAGCATGGAGTCATGGAGATGACTCCATGGCCACCTTGTCCTTCCTAAGTCCTCAAAGCTTTTATTGTTAAAAATTCTGCATTCCATGACTCATCATAGAAAAGATAAAATAATCCAAATCAAATATATTGGTGTGGTGGCTTACAAATTGCAAATAGTTTATAACCAATGTTTGGTCCCATATTCCTGGGAAAACAATCAAAGCTCCAGGTATATTTGGTCACCTGATGGGCCACGTAAACATTTTATAAAGGGATTTTATTTGTTATTTATAATGCATATTTTCTGGTTGTGTAAAAGCTCTCCAATGCAAGAGGGCTGATGTTATAATACTAAGTTTTTAAGCGACAGTATATTTTCACCAGGTAAAGAAAGCTTTTTATGGTGCACTGAGCATAATAAACCCCTCCACAATCTAGAACCTGAAGATTGTATATTCTGAGAACATCATAGAAAGGCTGTCTTTGCTATCCATATTGCAGCAAAGCTTTGGAAACTTGAATTTTGGGTTCTTAATCTCACAACTAAGAAGGGTCCCTGCATGCTCTTGGAACTGTACTTCCATTGGAACCTTTAAGGTAATGCCAGCCAGGGAAGTCTATCCCCAGAAAAAGAGAGCATCCTTCATGAGAACAGATTTTCCCAAGACAATAGGTTGAGACTTCTACCATCATGAAACTCTCGTCTTTCAATATTTTTTCTTGTTTATGCCTCTATGAGCAACAGAAATAGAAAGGGGTCTGTTGTGTGCACTTATGGGGTATACTTTTATTTGTGAAGAATTGTATAGCCAGTCTTATACATGGATAACTTTATACTTTGATAGGTAAAAGATGAAGGCCCAATGTAGGTGAGAAACTTTAATGATACATAGATTGCCTCATAATAAGTCCAAAACAGAACATTGATTCATTAATCTTTTTTTTTTTTTTTTTTTTGAGATGGAGTCTTGCTCTTTCACCAGGCTGGAGTACAGTGGTGCAATTTTGGCTCACTGCAACGTCTGCCTCCCAGGTTCAAGTGATTTTCCTGCCTCAGTGTCCCAAGTAGCTGGAACTACAGGTACGTGCCACCACACCCAGCTAATTTTTTTGTATTTTTAGTAGAGACAGCGTTTCACCATATTAGCCAGGATGGTCTTGATCTCCTGACTTCATGATCTGCCTGCCTCAGCCTCCCAAAGTGCTGGAATTACAGGCACGAGCCACCGCTCCTGGCTGATTCATTGCTCTTAACTCACATCATGAGTTAAGGAGAACATTGCCAGGAGGACTTCACTCTTCTGTAAGAGAAGGGCATCATTTGTTAGGTCCTTTTTCCATGGTTTGGAATAAAAGAGGCAATGAATAGAAATGCACCCCTCACAATAGGATCTATGGCAGATTCTACTGTAAAGGCTATGATTACACACCAGACTTTAAATTCTCTTGTGAAAGTTATGCTAAGTAATATAATTGGATAAACAGAAAAGTATCTGTGCTGGCACTTATGGCCTATGGAGTAAACATCAGATATTATAGAGATCCACTTGTAGGTGATTAAAGAAGAGACTGCTTGGTAAAGTGAGTGGACTCTTTAGCTTATTCTTTGATCTATGTGATTTGAGGTTGTTTAGTTTATACAGACCCTGGGTAAGGAGCATACTCCAAACTGTTGTTATTATCCTCCCGATAGTCATGATAATAGTCTCCCTGGTGCACTACATTTTAAATGTTTTAAATGTTTGCATGCAGCCATATCTAGAATGTCAAATGGTCTCTCCTCAACTGGAATGACAAGAGCTAAAAGAAATGTGTGAGCCTAAGGAAACCATATCCTGTGAATGACAGGCTGAGATTGGAAACCAAAAATGATAGTAACTGAGAGTGGCACCAAGATCCTAAGTTTTGGTCACATTCTCACCTAAGTAAGAATCTGGCCAAAAAGGGGGAGTTTTTTAAAACAAAATCATGGGAGGCCATTGTTTTGGACTGAGCTCATGCACTAGGCCTTAACAGACCAAGCCAAACAAAAATGGAGTCATTTATGCTAAATGTGATATAATCAAACTAAGACTTTAAAGAAACACTAAGAACTTAGACCAGAACAGACCAGGTTTTGATTTTCTCCTGTAAACAGAATGTTCCAGCATAAGGAGGTATCCTCTATGCAGTCCTTGTTCCTATCTTTGCAAAATTCACTATTCTACTCATCCCCAATGGGTTTCAAGACCAAATAAGTACATTTATGATGATGATAGTGATCTCAATACCTAAGGTTTTGGTCAATCTTTCAAAATTGAGAAAATAACCAAAAGGTGGGAATTGTTAAAGCAAACTAAATATGGCCTGAGAAGGACTCTGTACTTCTGTATTTGAGTCCTTGTGGATGAACTGCAACCTAACTTAATAGTCAGGCAAGATTGAGAACCTAATTTAGGAGAATGTACCTGTAGCAATCACTGAGTCTTGGTCAATCCCAGCAGTCATACTTCAACCAGTCACTCACTGCTGAGTGTTCAGACTGTGTTCAGATAAGGCAAATGCTGAGCTGTAACCATTCCGGCTGTTTCTGTACCTCACTTCCAATTTCTGTATGTCACTTTGCTTTTTTTGTCTATAAATTTGTTCTGACCATGAGGCATCCCTGTAATCTCTCTGAATCTGCTTTGATTCTAGGTGCTGCCCCATTTGTGAATTGCTCATTGCTCAATTAAACTCCTTTAAATTTAATTTGGCTGAAGTTTTTCCCTTAGCAAAATGAACAATTAGAATTATATAAGACAAAACTGGGAGACAATATGAATATAGGAGAATTGGGGAAGGAGTGGATTAAAAAAGAAATCCATCTGTACTCTTTTAAATTAAAGCAAGTTGGTCTTTTAATGCCACTGTTTTTGTACCACATTGACACATCTATTTCTTAATTTAGTATTTTATTTGGTTAATGATAATTTGCCTTGGCTTATCAAAGAGGTTAATAAAGTTACAGCCAAGATGTTGTTTGAAAGCATGCCATATAATGCAATCTGGAGAGGATCACATAAGTAATTAAGAATCTCAAATCTATTTCTTGACTCTGGTCAAGACATCACTTTACTTCTCTCATCTTCAATTTTCTTGTGAATGAAATAAAGGAGTTGAAGTAGGTAGTTTCTATTAACCCTGCAAAGGAAACTAAAACATTTCACCCCAAAATATTGCTCCCTGGTATAAAGATCAACAGATGCAGAAAGAGACTTTCCCCCTATCTACATAAATACTTGAAGTATCCACCAAAAAGAATTGTTTTTCCTTCTGCTTACTGGTATCTCATTAACTGTTGCAGAAAGGAAGACAAAAAATGTAGCCATACCTGAACAGACTCTTTCATAAGATAATGTCTGTCTCTCAGGCTCATTCTATTTCCAAAGAGAACCACTTACAAATTAATCTCTGTTTCCTGATCCATTCATTCTCCCTAGTATTAGGCTGGTGTAAGAGTCATTGCAGTTTTAACATAATAATTACTTATTGCCCCTCAACGTAATTATTTATATTTCCCATCTCTCCTCCCCCTTCAGAAAAAAATGGCTATGTTAGTATCAGGGCCCCATTGGGATATTTGGGTTAATCACTCTGCTCTCCTTCATGCACATTAATTAATTTGTATTCCATTTATCATATTTAGTACAACCTCAGATAGCAAAGGAGAAATTTTCTCTTGGCTTTTACAATTTCTGGCTTTGTAAATTGTTATATTTCCATGATACACTCTGGCTATCATTTGCACAATTTCTCACTGTCCTCAATTGGCATAGATGGAATCTAAGTAATGTTAATACTGTGGTAAATATAGCATCTTTTCAAAGGTAAATATAGTGAACAAAAGTATGTGTTGTATATGCGTATTCAGTGACAGTTGAATATTCTGCTATTTGAATTAGCATCAGTAATAATTTTATTTCTTTCTTTTTTTTTTTTTTTTGAGACGGAGTCTCGCTCTGTGGCCCAGGCGGGAGTGCAGTGGCGCAATCTCGGCTCACTGCAAGCTCCGCCTCCCGGGTTCACGCCATTCTCCTGCCTCAGCCTCCCGAGTAGCTGGGACTACAGGCGCCCACCATCACGCCCGGCTAATTTTTTTTGTATTTTTAGTAGAGACGGGGTTTCACCGTGTTAGCCAGGATGGTCTCCATCTCCTGACCTCGTGATCCGCCCGCCTCGGCCTCCCAAAGTACTGGGATTACAAGCGTGAGCCACCGCGCCCGGCCATAATTTCATTTCTTATAAAACCAAATATGGTGATATAAATTGTTGCTAATTGATAAGCAAAATGAATGATATGGAAATGAGCAGTGCAAGTTAACCAAGAAAGAAAAAAATGGTATCAGATAAAATTAAAGATAAATACAATACGGAAAAGCAATGCGCTTTTCTTCTCATTTCTTTTGTATGTTTATGTTGTTAACTAAAAAGAAAACAAACTCTGTAAAATATTTAAGGAAGTTTATTCTGAGCCTGTATAAGAGACAATGGTCTGTGGCACAGTCTCAAGAGGGCCTGAGAACATGTACCCAAAGTGGTTGTGTTACAACTTGGTTTTCTATGTTTCAGGGAGACATAAGACATCAGGCAGTACACGTGAGCTGTACATTGGTTCAGTCCAGAAAGGCAGGACAACTTGAAGCTGAGAACTTACAGGTCCTAGGTAGATTCAAAGATTTTCAGGTTATCAACTGGTTAAAAGAGTCATATCTAAATATCTAGAATGAATAGAAAGGAGTATCTCAGTTAAAATAAGGGGTTGTGGAGACCAAGGTTCTTATTATGCTTGAAATAATACATAGAAAATAACTATTGAATTATTCAATACCAAGAGTGGTTATAATCCCTGGAGATACCATAGAGAACAAGATGGAGAATGGAAAAGTTTATGCCTTCATGGAGCTTACATAATGATAGAGAACATAGACAACAGACAAATGCATAATATACTTGTTACAAGTTATAAATCTAATAAAGAATAATAAAGCCGGGCATGTCGACAAGTGATTGACAAAAATAAATATTCAAAAAGGTAGTCTGAGAAGCCCTCTCTGAGGAGTTGATATTTATACCAAGAACTTAAATGAAGATGCATACAGGGATGAAATGCTTTAAGGCCAGGAATCCCTTCTAAATTATTTCTGAGATAGTTATGAAGTGCATTAATTTAATCTCATGTATACTGTATTCTTAAAAGTGAACTCATATTTTACAATTGTTGATTTCTGGACTAAAAAAAATCAAGTGAAAATCCTCCTGAAGTTACTCTATTATAATAATGCCAAAGTTTTGAAAGATGAACATATTTGAATTTTAAAGTAACATCCTGTATTAGTGTTTTCTAGATGAACAGAACTAATAGGCTATATATATGTAAAGGGGAGTTTGTTAAGGAGTATTAACTCGCATGATCATGAGGTCCCACAATAGGCCATCTGCAAGCTGAGGAGCAAGGAAGCCAGTCCAAGTCCCAAAGCTGAAAAACTTTGTCCGATGTTCAAGGGCAAGAAGTATCCAGCATGGGAGAAAGATGTAGGCTGGGAAGCTAAGCCAGTCTAGCTTTTTCACATTTTTTTCTGCCTGCTTTACATTCTGGCTGTGCTCGCAGCTGATTAGGTGGTGCCTACCCAGATTAAGGGTGGGTCTGCCTTTCCCAGCCCACTGTCTCAAATGTTAATCTCCTTTGGCAACACCCTCACAGACACACCCAGGATCAATACTTTGCATCCTTCAATCCAATCAAGTTGACACTTAGTATTAACCATCATACATTATTCATATTTAATTTGGTAATAATGCTTGTCTACTTCTCTAATATTTTATATTAATTGAGGATTAAGCTAATATAATATATGAATAGTGGTGTATTTCTAAATATGACCTTTCCTTTTTAAGAAGAAAAACTAAATCGTACCAAGTATCTATTTTTGTTACTGTTTGAGTATGTGTGCATATGTACTAAATTATTAAATATCAGAGACTATTGTCAACTATCAGGATTATTATTAGAACTAACAAAGTATACTATAAGGGTAAAACATTTCTCATAAAGTTTTTCTTTGTGTCCTTAATTATAGCATTTTAATAATTTAAAATAATACATTATTTATAATAATTAATTATAACATTTATTTTAGGATGCACAGAAACTTTATTAATCAAACTGTAGTAATTATCACTGAATGTATAAGAGAGGAAAATGTATTTAAAAAATAAATGTTTTTATAAGAGATAATATACAAATTGCATGCTGTCATGGTAACCCAGAGTATCAACAATATTGGAGTAGCTTACAGAATAGCAGACACAGATTAAAACATAAGTATCAGTATTTTTGCTTCATGTATGGATATTTTATGCATTCAAATAAAACCTCATTCATGTTTTATTATCTAATAAGTAATATCAGTGACTGATAATAACCAAATATGTTATTGTAGAAAATACAGTTTTAAAATATATGAAATCAAAGTGAATATTATACCAGGATGGTGACTGCAGATTTCTTTGTCATCATAGATTAAATAAGAATTCTAAAAGTGCTGTCAGTACAACAGATTTAAAACAGAACAACTTATGTTCAGCTCTCCAAATCATCTTTAGATGGGAATGCTATGTTATTGTGCAATTTCCAGTTAAGTGACCATTTCCTCCTTTACTTGTACTTGTCAGTCAGAAATAAGTTTGAAATATAGAGCCTAAACCATGGATTGCAAGCGTTCTTCAAATGAACAGCCAATTTAAACTAAAACAAACAAAACTATCTTATGTTAAAATAAAATCAATACACAACATATGAAGTTACTCAATTTTAAAGATATCTATAAATGTAATTTCTGGGCTTCAAGAGTTAGATAATGGTTCTGTTTTTAATTGCCTATTTGTCCTTGGTTACAATATTTAATCTGTATGCATCTTAATTAAAATGACAGTTATAATGGATAATAAACATTCCTCTCTCTAACGATCATGACTTTGTGCTTCCATTTTCTGAAAAGCAGTATATGGTTAATATTTTCTAATGAAACAAAATGAATGCCAAGTAAATGCAAGATATTCTTTTTATTACTATTTTTTTCTGTCTCATAAGGACTATGTTCCTTCTGATAGCTATGTTCTTTTTAAAACTGCTATATAATGCTAGTATTATGAAAAAGACTACATTCAATTCTAGATACATGCAATCTTAAATCAATCTAACTGATACATGTCTTTGGGGGGAAGAAAATAGGCATTTTTCTCCTCCAAGCTTCTTGATGGCCATTGTAATTGCCAAGATACCAAAAAACAGAACTCATTATCCCATCTGAGCATATCAGGAATTTACTATATGGCAATGTGTTTGGAGCTACTCATTTGGAATGTTGTGACTGAATGTATTGCATTTCTATACAAATTGAATTTAACTCTTATCCTTCATCCCCCTCATTCACAATTATGACAGAGTAAATATTGAATCAGCAATTATGGATGTAGCACATAATATTTCATTGTTGAATTCTACAAATCACATGATTCCGATTTTCACTGCTACTCTTATTATTATTATTATTATTTTGGACAGAGTCTCACTCTGTCACTCCGGCTGGAGTTCAATGGCATAATCTTGGCTCACTGCAACGCCCGCCTCCCAGGTTCAAGCAATTCTCCTGCCTCAGCCTCCTGAGTAGTTGGAATTACAGGTGCCCACCACTATGCCTAACTAATTTTTTATATTTTTAGTAGAGACAGGGTTTCACCATGTTGCCCTGGCTGGTCTCAAACTCCTGACCTCAGGTGATCCACCTTCTTTGGGCTCCCAAAGTGTTGGGATTACAGGCGTGAGCCACTGTGCCTAGCCACTACTAACTCTTGATAAATGCTTGATCCCCCTGGTCACATTCTAGGAAAAAACAAACAAACAAAAAAACAAACAAATATATATATATATATATATATATATATATATATATATATATCCAAATTGTTGTGATGGAATTCATTGGGATTTACTAAAACTAGCTTTACAATTTGGAGCCTACACAGCAATATTTGTATTTTGATGCCAGTTTATTAGCTATAAGTTCTTAGGTAAAGTCCTAGAAGTTAAATTTCCTAATGTCTGAAACGGCTCACTCTTCTAGCTTCAATTGTAAGCATGTGTTGATGGCTCTCTCATTTTAGAGAAACTCCAGATTAGGGAATCCTTGCATTTTTCTCTGTGTCAGCTGAGTTAATGCCAATCTAGAGAACCTGTTGTTGTCAACCCTTTAAAATAATAGCAACATTTTAGTCTTTATGCTTGAGACCCTGAACTGAGCACAACATAAATAAAATAATGTAGTAGCAGAAGATAGAAGTGAAGAAAATGATCACTGATAAGCCCTAACTTTGATAGTTATGTTGATGACAATAATGATAATATAAAAATACAACATAAAGTGCCAGAGGTGATCCTAATATTTTCATGAATTTTAGCATGTTAAGCCTTCATAATAATTCTATGAGATTGATACTATTTTTTACCCAGTTTTATAATCAAAGAAACAGGCATTGAATAGTTAAGTTACCAGTCCAAGATCATGCTACTTATAAGTGACAAACATAGTATTAGAACCAAGGCAGCCTGGCTTTTATATTGCGTTGATACTTCCTTTCCGTGGATCTCAGTCTTCTCTTGGTCCCCAAATACACCTCTCTACTGATCCTTCTTAGTCTACTTTATACTTGGCTTTTATCTTCCCACCTCTTCAGTAACCATGAACCACAGTGTTCAGTTCCAAGATCTTTTATATTTTCACCTTCTGTCTAATTTACTTGTTAAATCTTAGATATAGTAATATTCTTCAAAGGGGACCTACATTTTGTAAAATAAAACATTTATAATACATATTATTCTATGACTGCTGCAGAAATCTCTTGCCTAAGGGGTCACATCTTAAATAAGATTGAGTCCTGAAGTCACTATGTAATGTAATAATTGAGTGGAGTCAAAATAAATCTTACAGTACTTTACATGAGCCATAAAATACAGTGTATATATCTTTATGCATTCAATTCTACCAGCAATATATAGACAGATATATGTGGATAAATACAAAGTATATAATGATGAGTGCACATGTAAATTTTTATTTTCTTCTATTAAATTGTAACACTAAAGAGAGAAAAAGAGACATCACAGGGAGGCTGTGTATAGTTAAATTTGAATAGGCCAAAATATAGAAAAGATTTGAGGTCTCTGTCCCTCACTGACCTTGCCAATGACTACCTGAAATCCTCTCATTAGTTGCCCCTTCTTACCTGAGTTATTGAAAACTCTTCATAAGCATTTTTTGTCAGACTTCAACTATGTCATCATTCCATGGAAGACATCACAATTGGTAAGCAGGTGTTGAAAGGCAAAAAAAAAACGAAGGGTGAAGTTTGATGTAGAAAGGGAAGAACAGTCAAATCAAACTCAGTAAGGCAGTCTCCTGGGAAATTAGATGGCTGTAAATGGACAATGAATCCCTGATATATAAAAAATGGAAGCACCACAGGATGAAGAGACTAGAGAATAATGACACTGCAGGCCGACTTGCCCTAAGTTTCCATGTTGTTGTCCAAAGTCTATTTGGAACCATGCAATAGCTCTTCTCTGCTTGCTGTGGAGTATCATCTGATATAAATCAAATGATTTTCTGATATAAATCAAACCCTTCATCCAAGAAAGTATACAAAGGCCTGGTATATAAAGTTCTTCCTTTTAATGTAGCATGCCTGTAAGTGCACTGAGAATGTGCCTGAAGGCAAGCTGCTTTCCAAGGCACAGCAAAGTCATTCCATGGGGAATATTCATTTTTCAGAAAGTGTAAAGCAATAAAAAGTCACCTTATAGTATGTACACGTACTGATATATATATATATATATGTCTACACACACACACACACACACACACACACTTTGAGGTATGCCCAAAGGTAAACTATTACCTACATTATTGAGACATATTATAGTTGCAAGGTACACAAAGTGTCATTTCATGGCACTTCAGAAAAGAATTCAGAAGGGGCTTGAAAATTTTGGAAAATATGGTTATACGAGTTGGTAATCAGAGATATATTTAAAAAGGAGAGAGAAAGATCTCGAAATACATCCAGCATCTACTTTTATTATGTGATTTAAAGAACTTTTCAATATTGCTTTTTCTATGATTAGATGAAGTTACCAAACAATGACAATGATGCCAATAATCATCTGTTACTTCACTAAAGAATTTTATTATAACTCACATATTAGCTTGTATACAGTGAGTTTTGAGAGAGAGAGAGAGACTCTGTTTGTTTGGGAGGAAGTAAGGGAAGAGAAAAAGAAACTCTGCCTAGTAATCCAGAGAATTTGCCAGAATTTTATCCAAGACAATCAAGGTGATCCCCCACAAGTCTGTAAGAACCATAGCATAACTGAGCTTGGGGAATTCCCTAAGGCAGATACAGCTTATATCACAACACCTAAGTCCTTTCAAATATCTGAAAAGCCTTCCCAAGAAGGAAAGATACGAACAAGCCCAGACAGTAAAGATTACAATAAGTACTTAACTCTTCAATGCTGAGACACTGAAGAACATCCACTAGTATCAATACCATCCAGGAAACATGACCTCACTAAGTGAACTAAATAAGGCTGTAGGGACCAATACTAGAGAAACAGAGACATGTGACTTTTCAGACAGCAAATTCAAAATAGCCTCAACAGGGCACATCTAAGAGTTATTGCTGTTAAAGAGAAAGTAGAGAAAGAAATAGGGGTAGAAAGTTTATTCAAAGGGATAGTAACAAGGAACTTCCCAAAGCTAGAGAAAGACACCAATATTCAAGTGCAAGAAAGTTCTAGAACATCTAGCAGATTTAACCCAAAAAAGACTACCTTGAGACATTTAATAATCAAATTCTGAAAGTTCAAGGATAAATAAAGGATCCTAAAGCAGCAAGAGAAAAGAAACAAATAACATACAATGGAGCTCTAACACACCTGGCAACAGACTTTTTAGTGGAAACCTTATAGTTCAATAGAGAATAGCATGATATATTTAAAGTGCTAAAGAAAAAAAATTACCCTAGAATAGTATATCTGGTGAAAATATCCTTCAAACAGGAAGGAAAAATAAAGATTTTCCCAGGCAAACAAATATGCTGAGGGATTTTTTCAACACCAGACCTCTCCTATAAGAAATGCTAAAGGGAGTACTTCAATCAGAAAGAAAATGACATTAATGAGCAATAAGAAATCATCTGAAGGTACAAAACTCACTGGTAATAGTAAGTACACAGAAAAACACAGAATGTTATAACACTGTGACTATAGTATGTAAACTACTCTTAGGTTGAGTAGAAAGACTAAATGATAAAACAACCCAAAATAATAACTACAGCAACTTAGCACGCAAGATATAAACAACAGAAAGTTGAAAAGTGAGGGAGAAAGTTATAGCATAGAGTTTTTATTAGTTTTATTTTTTGTTGTTTATGCAAACAGTGTTCAGTTGCTATCAGGTTAAAATAATGGGTTATAAGATAGTATTTGTAAGCTTCGTGGTAACCTCAAACCAAAAAACATACAATCAATAGCACAAAAAATAAAAGCAAGAAATTAAATCATATCACCAGAGAAAATTACTTTCACTAAAGGAAGACAGGAAGAAAAAAAAAAAAAGACAAGACCACAAAACAAACAGGAAACAAATAACAAAGTGGCAGAAGTAAGCCCTTACTTATCAGTAATAACATTGAATGTAAAGGGCTAACCTCTCTAATTGAAAGACATAGAGTGGCTGAATGGATGAAAATATGAGACCCAGTGATCTGTTGCCTATAAGGTGAGTTTTAAGTTGTTATTAGTTAGTATTCAGCAACATAGCCATTCACCAACTGCAGCTATGGAGGATTATATATTGATCTGATAAATAAGGAGTATAGCAAATCACATGCATAAATTGAAATGTGAGGCCCTAATAGGGAGGATGGTCACAATAGGAGGTAAGAAGTGGGCACCAAGGATACTCCACAGGGGCAAAATATCAAACGAAGTATGGTACATGGAAGTGAAAAAAGAATGTATAAATGCTTCATATGTCAGATGTTTCCTCTAAACTATCTATCCAGAGATGCTTGCTGTAAAAATGTTGAGTTAAGAATAAGGCAAACAGGCAACTGGTTTGGGTAAATAATTGAACTGAGGAACACTGACAAGACCTTAAAATGAATGTAGCAATCAGGAAGAAACTGGAACACAGAGAAAGTCTCATAGACCTCATTCATTCATTCTAATTTTTCAAATTTTTTAAGTGCATGTTATAGGCTATCAAATAGTTATTAAGTGTATGTCCCAGTATGGGAAAATGTGCAGATAAAAAAATGGTAATGAAAGTGTAGACACTCAAGTCATAATGCTAAGAGTTGTTAAATATTATTTGTAAATTTTCATGAAAATCTTCAAGAAGAATAAGAGGTTCTGGTATAGTTGTGGAAAGGCTTGAAAAGGAGTTAGCATTTGTAATTGGAAATTGAAAGATATCTTGTAGTTTACAAGGAAGAGATGATAGAAAAAGACTGATAACAGATTTTGAAGGAAAGACAAGAATGACACACTGTATTCACTCATTCATTAAATATTTTTGAAGACCTAATATGTGCCAAATACGTAAACAAAAATATGAGACAATGTGAAAATATGAAAAACACCATGTCTTTGTTTGAATTTCTCCAGAAATCCACACTGAGAAAAGGCTCCAGTGCAAAAACTTGATTTTGAGAGAAACACAAGTAGTGGTGGGAAAGTGATATTGAGAAAAAAAGAGAGCCAGTTAAGCTTCTTTACTAAATCAACAGTCACAGTGGATTAAATCCAGAAATGGTGTAAGACACATTGCAAAATGTTCCTACATGAGGAACGAGGGAGCTAAGGTGTTTATATGCCTGGGATTTACGTCTCAGGCATGTAGATGCAAATGCTGCTAGTTAGAAGGTGGTTAGACCATACCAAAAATTCTGAAGGCTCTGGGTGAATTACTGACAGCATCTGCTGCAAATTAAATAATGGTAAGTGTGCAAAGAAAAGCATGAAATTATATATGCTATTTAATTATCATAACTAAAACTGGAAGAGGTTCAAAAATATTAAAAAAGAAAGTCTTTGAGTGGTGATGATTTGTCAATGAAGAACTTTCTGTCTCCATTTTGGATTTTCACTTATGTTAGTGTGGTGTTTGCATAATGAATATATATTTTTTTTTTTAGTAAGAAGAATAAATCTGTTTCTCATCCAATGATTTGAGTTTCTAATTAGCCTCTGGTGCCTTACTTCGTTATTTAGCAAATAAATATTTATTGATCTCACATTACATACCAGGTATTGTTAGGGGCATTTGGATTGGATACAAAACTAAATATGACAGGAGAAACAAATATACTGTTATTGACAAGAGCTATGAAGAAATTAAACAGGGAGATGTGATAGAGAGAGACAATGACTGATCAGAAAAGTCCTCTTGGTAGAGTAAGCATTGCCAACGTGACTTGGTTTCCAAGAAGGAGCAAACTGAGCAAAGGTTTGATAAAATCTCATCTCAGGTAGAGAAGTTTCATCAGCAATTTTTATAGCAGAGTTCCTCAAACAAAACCAGCTTTAAACAAGTAGTGCTGGCCAAAAATGTGAAGATTTCTGGCCACCACTGCAGAGCAACTGAATCATAATATCTGGATGTGAAACTAGAATATCTGCATTTTTCAAGATGCTTTCCATCTAATTTTCACCTATAAGGAAATCCTGAAATCACTAGGTTGGTTCTATCAAAAATTATTTTCTAAAAACTTTTGTCTCCAGCACAATAGAATATGGTTATTTGTTGTGGGAAGCCAGGGACCCTGAACGGAGGGACCTTTTGAAGCCATGGCAGAAGAACATAAATTGTGAAGATTTCATGGACATGTATTAGTTCCCCAAATTAATACTTTTATAATTTCTTATGCCTGTCTTTACTGCAATCTCTGAACATAAATTGTGAAGATTTCATGGACATTTATCACTTCCCCAGTCAATACTCTTGTGATTTCCTATGCCTGTCTTTACTGTAATCTCTTAATCCCATCATCTTCATAAACTGAGGATGAATGTCACCTTAGGACCCTGTGATGATTGCGTTAACTGCACAAATTGTTTGAACAATATGAAATCTGGGCACCTTGAAGAAAGAACAGGATAACAGTGATGTTCAAGGAACAAGGGAGATAACTATTAGGTCTGGCTGCCTGAGAGCCAGGCAGAACAGAGCCATATTTCTCTTCTTTCAAAAGCAAATAGGAGAAATATTGCTGAATTCTTTTTCTCAGCAAGGAACATCCCTGAGAAAGAGAATGCATTCCCAGGGGGAGGTCTCTAAAATGGCCGCTCTGGGGACATCTGTCTTTTACAGTTGCAGATAAGGGATGAAATAAGCGCTGGTCTCCTGTAGCGCTCCCAGGCCTATTAGGATGAGGAAATTCCTGCCTAATAAATTTTGGTCAGACCGGTTGTCTGCTCTCAAACTCTGTCTCCTGATAAGATGTTATCAATGACAATGTGTGCCCAAAACTTCATTAGCAATTTTAATTTCACCCAGGTCCTGTCATCTTGCCCTGTCTCCATTTATCTTGTAATATTTTATTACCTTGTGAAGCATGTGATCTCCGTGACCCACACCATATTCGTACACTCCCTCCCCTTTTGAAAATCACTAATAAAAACTTGCTGGTTTTGTGGCTTGGGGGGCATCACGGAACCTGCCAACATGTGATGTCTCCCCCAGACACCCAGCCTTAAAATTTCTCTCTTTTGTAATCTTTCCCTTTATTTCTCAGACCGGCCAACACTTAGGGAAATAGAAAAGAACCTACATAAAATAACGTTGAATTATCGGGGGCGGGTTCCCCCGATAGTTATTAACTTTTTGAAAATAAGTGTTATGTAAGGAAAATTAACAAATTATTAATCAAGTTAATACTATGGTTTTATGGAAGGCATTAGCTTGTGTTTCTACAAGAAGATTTTGTTGAAATGCTTAAAAATTGATGCTACTTCTGGTTTGCATATAATAAAAAATGCAAATTCTATTTTGGCAAATTTTATTTTGGCAAATGAAATTGGTCATTTTGTTTTCTGGGTCTAGTGATATGCATCTTTATTTAATGTGCCTACCACACTTTTATAATTTGAATAACAAAATACCAAATCAATCAAACCCTAGAACCCAAATTTCGAACCATGTGTGTCAGAAATAGATGTTATTTGATGATACCCTGAATCATATATAATATTTAGTATAAATAAATAATGAAAGGTGATGAAAGCAATGGCTATTTTGTTTTGACCACAAAAAAATTTGATAACACTTTTTTTTAATGTAGAGTTAAAAAAATAGCAAGATGAACTTCACAAGTGACTCTATATTTCTCTTCCTTGGCCTCCTGGGTATCACAACCTCTCTCCCAAGCCACATAAATAAGCACAACACATACATCCTAAGAATACCATATATAAAAGGTAGGGAATAAAACATAAAATAATATACATTCAATGTTTGTAGATGAAACTCCTGGGCAACATTCATAAGACTGAGGCCTCACTGATGAAATATTCCAGGTGTTGCCACCCATATACTCTCTAGCAGGTCATGCAGTCACCATGATTCATTTCTGTTTTCAGCCCAGCCATTAGCTTGGGACTGAAAACCCTGTCTTCCCTACTCCTTTGCTCTTAGCATCTGGCTGTGTGTGTGTGTGTGTGTGTGTGTGTGTGTGTGTTTCTCTCTCTCACTTTCAAAATATTCTTTTACTTGCTTCTCAATTTGGGAAGGAGATTGGGCACAATCTGAGGAAATTACCAGAATCTTAATTTAGAGGTTGATTTCATGATTATGTTAAAACAGAAGCTTTAGGGGCACTGAATCTTAGTTTAGTATTTGTGTGGGTTTCTATTCTTCTTATTTCATGTTTTCCTTATGACGAGACATCAATTAGCACTCACTGTTGTTCATCTCTGCCCTCTCAATTATTTCAAACTTAAGGAGTGTAAATTATCTTATTGGTAACTTGAGATCAAGACCTGGACATGCGTAGCTGAACACATTTCCTTCCTTTCTCTCCGTTGTAGCTGCCTGTAGAGAGCACACAGTTCTTGGCCATAGAGTAGTAAAAAAGTAACTGAGTATGGTTGCCTGTGACCAGGCACATATTGTCTCACTGCTGTACCATGAAGCCCACTGTTATCACATATTTACAAAACAACCTTTGATCCTATGATTTTTCATAAATAAAATGCCATTTGCATTTTCACTGAATTCTGAATGTATCTCAATTGATTGCAAATTTGATGGAAAAAAAGTTGCTTTGTATTGGGCTGCCTCAAGTCCCAATTACAGATGACATTAAAAAAGACTTTCAGACTTGAAGTTGGACCTAAAAGAATCTTAGTTGACCTGTCACTGAAATGGAAGCATGGCCTAATTGCTAGTTTGGATGGTCTTGCATTAGAGAAGGCGGGGGAAGAATGCTAAGATTTGAAGGTATACTTGTTTGAAATGACTTGGGCCAATTGGATTAAGATGTGAAGATATGAGTAAAACAGAGATGATCTGCACATTAGCTCTGCTAATTTCAACAAATACAAGCCCTGGCTCTCCTGCAGCACACTACCAACATTCTTTCTTGTTCTAAACCAGGACATGAGCTAAGATAACACCATCAATTGGTTTATCAGACTTGTGCAGAAATCTTGATTCTTCTTATTAGCATACAATGTCTAAAAAGCTTTCTATCCCTGTCATTTTGGAGCTTTTCTGCCTGGGAAGTGCCTAAGGCCAAATCTTTTAAGATAAGATTTTGAACAGATGGGAACAGAGTAAAGGGCTTTCCCGTGACAGCTTTGGGTACTGTGTTGGTGGCTTACCACAGCAAAACATATCTGCATAGCTTTTCTTTTTTTTTTTTCTTAGCTCTGTTTGTGCTTCTTTATGGACCACCTTTGTAGGGGATAGTACAAGTAATTATCCACATTAACAAATAGATTTACAATGATTTAGATGTTTACAGTTTACAAAATTTTTTTACTCTTTCATTTAAACCTCAAAACAGTGTTGTAAGTTAGGGAGGACATGGGGTTTATTTTTCCAATTTTGCAGTTGAGAAAAGTGAGACTGGGATCTTGACTCAGCCATATTTGGTTTTAAAATCTGGCTTCATAACTCACTAGCAATGTGAGCCTGGATGGGTTACTCAGTGTCCTCACTTGAAAAATGGTTTGAATGATGAAATTGAATATGAGAGTTAAAGCTGTTAGTACAGAGTCAACTAATTAATAATTACTTGAGAAACTGTAGTTATTTTATTTTTAATTTAAATACTAAATTTCCTCACTCTACCAAGTTGAACACTAAATCTCAATCATTCAAAAATTTTAGAAATTCTGTATATTGGACAGTGTATTCATACATATTCATGTAATTTACCTGTAAACCCTGAGCCATATGTTTTGGCACAGACTCTATTCCCTGTGTAATGACAAAGATATGCTGGCCCCATTTATCAAATGTAGTTAGGGAAGGCAGAAAGGGGAAATGGCATCGATAAATAATTCCGTGTAATTTCTGTGAACCACAGATTCTTAAGTCGAGCTGTATTAACAACTTCATAATTCATAATGAATTAATTTATTACAGGTTACCACCTCCAGCTGTTTTATACATCAAAATGTTAAAACCGTATTTAATAAATTGCTTTTATTTGCTAAGAATATGTAAAAAACTAACTGTCATATAAACCTATATTTCAGGTATACAAAGGAAGTTTTCATGAAATCTGACTATGTAAATATTCTGATGAATTTTATATATCAAAAACCAGACAGCCTTTCAAACATTAGTACAGTGCTATGAAATCATATATTTAAAATGAGTTTTGTCTTTGTCACTTTATCAATCCAATCAAGTTTGTTCAGGTATTGGCCAAAGAAGGAACTGAAGTCATAATCTTATTATAAGCTCCTACTCATGCCACAGTTTTAGTTTACTTGCTGTAGAGATCTCTGTTGGAGGTGCATATTTCTTTTCAACAGTCATTGCTTTTCTTTCCATATACTCTCTACTCTCACATTTAATGAATATAGTTTTCTTTTTATCTTTCCTAAAAAAGATCATGAGCAGATTATTGAGAATGAACTTGTAATCAAATTAATTATTTAGATTTGACTCTGACTGGAAACAAATCTAAAAGCTAGAAATGTTATGATTCCCTGTTTTGTTACAAATGACTTGTTTAAATTATGACTGGTAATTTTGATGAAAGTTTCAATTTGATATACTTTTCGATAATGTGCAGTTAATTCAGAAGTTTCTAGTCCCTCCTAAATTTTCAAAATTTTGTTGTCAAAATCCACATTTTGGTAACCAACAAAAATGCTGTTATTGAATGGTGTTAATAATATTGTTTTTCTTATCTAATGTTTGATAACTGAATGAAGATATAAATGAAAAATTATAATTTTCTTGGGTGTTTATATATAGGAATTACAAAAGAGGAAGCTCTGGAGGAAATGAATGAGTTGATATTATCATGTAGAAAGTTTACAATTTTGTAATTCTATTATAACAGTCCACACAATTTTTAAAATTTACCTTTCAAGAGCAATCATTTCAAGTATAATTAAGGCAAACTTAGCATTATATTCAAGACTAGTTTCCTTAAATTATTGTTCAGAATATTTTTATCTTATATATTTTAAAATCATTTTAAACTACTTTCTAAAAAGTTCATATTTTTCTTCTTAAAAATTTTCTTCACAAATTTCTATAATTTTCTTCTTAATTTTCATATACATGTATATATATGAGAAAGAGAAAGTTCTCTTTCTCTGGACTACTCATCCCTTAATGCTTCTTCTCTACCTTCCTCTGTGTAAATGTTCACTGTGTAAATGTTCACAAGTCCTTTCTGTCTTACCCATCTTTGTCAACACTATATTACTAGATTGGGTACTCCATCATATTACATCTTATGTGTTCTCATCTCTTACACTGGTTTGGATTGCTGTACCTCCTACTGGATTAGAAGCTTCTTGAATTTAAGAGATGGTTCTCACCAAGGCAACATCCTTTAAGCCCATCAGAGTGACTAGTAAATGGTAGGACACAAAAGACACTTACTGAAGTACATTTTTAAAGACAGATTGTAGTACATGGAATACTAGCAATCATAAAGATGTCAAACACTTTTATATGTTTAATTCAGTTAATTTGAATTGAAATTCCAAAGTACTTTTTTATGTAATAAAATAATGGGATTTTTTTCCCTTCAAAAAAGTAAAATATCCATCAATGGAGGTGTTAAATATATAATGATGTATCACCTCAAAGGGTTTTAATGCAGTCTACAAATAATGATTATGAACTCTATTTAACATTATGAAAAGACTATAATAAAACATATACCGAAAAAGACAGAATATGGACTTCTTCATGTACTGTGATTATAACTGTTTTCTGCTTCAGTGTATGAGACAATTTAGAGAATACCAATTTAACACGGTGTTCATATGAGCATTTTCTCCATTTCCCAATTTCCGGTAAGTTATTTATTTTTGTAATTAAAATATTAAAAATATTAAATTTATTCAAAAACTCAAGAAAGCAAATGAATATCACAGAAATAAGTATTGGAAGTGTCCAGAACTGGAAAAGTCCATAGACATAAATATTGGAAGAGTTCATTGAAAGAACAAAATAGTAGAGCAGCTAAACACGTGAGCATGGACAAACTGTCCACTTTTACATCTGCTGTTTAACACTTACTAGATTGGTCATCTTGAAACGGTGACCTATATGCTCTGAAGATTAGTTTCCTTGACCTTAAAATGGGAAATAATATTAATAATAATGTTCATTTCACAGGTAAAGCATTACAAAAAGATTCTGAAATATAATGAGTGTTCTTAAAAGCTAGCAAATGATGCCTGATAGAAAATTAGCACTGTGAGGCTAGAGATTTGCTTAATTTACCACTATAGTGTGTACCTGTTATTTTAGTGGTTTCATAATAAACATTTGTTGGAGAAGGAATGAACGAAAGGCAGAATATAATGAAGCAGATAGAAAATAATTATCAAAAAATCTAGGGATTGTCAAGAAAGGAAATGCAGGTTTTTCAAAATAAATTTCACTATTTGGAAAAGGTCTGAGAAGGTAGCTAAAATAACACTTAAGTGTCCTGGAGAAAATTAATCCAATTATCCTACTGTATAAGTTTTTTCCTGAAAAAAATATATACTTGTTTTCAGAAACTACATTGACGCCTTCCTTGTAGTAATTTACTGTGTCTTTGTTCAAAATCATTCTCTTGCAGCGAATTAGCTCAAGCCCTCATAGAATCAACTGTGGTAAATAAGTAAAATAAAAATCCTGTAGGCTGAGTGCAGTGGCTCACGCCTGTAATCCCAGCACTTTGGGAAGCCGGGGTGGGCAGATTGTCTGAGGTCAGGAGTTCGAGACCAGTCTGATCAACATGGTGAAACCCTGTCTCTACTGAAAATACAAAAAAAATTAGCCGGGCATGGTGGCATGCACCTGTAATCCCAGCTACTTGGGAGTCTGAGGCCGAGGAAGTGCTTGAACCAGAGAGGTGGAGGTTGCAGTGAGCCGAGATCGCACCACTATACTCCAGCCTGGGTGACAGAGAAAGACTCCGTCTCAAGCAAACAAACAAACAACAACAAAAGAAACACTGTAGAAATAGTGATTATGAATAACATTTGATAAGATCTTTTAATAGTTTGGGGAGAGGAAAGACAGAAATGACCTAAAGCTTAGAATGCTCCCACTGAAAAATCTTCATTCTCACTCTTTAAAATTCATCTCTCTGCCTTTACTCCATCATGTCATTGAAATACATTGATCCCCACAACCCACACACATACTATGTTTTTCCAACCTCAGGTCATATCACATTTGCAGCTTGCTGTCTTAAAAATATACCTGGAATACATCCCAGTGTATTGATTAGCTTTCAGATTTAAAATGAAAAATATAACTGACTTGGAAGGCAATAAACCAAGCAGTGGGCAGTTTTCTCTATCACTTTTTCTATGAGTAGCACAGCAGCTATCTTAACATTTTCAGGGTAAAAGGAGATCTGAGTGAGCCCTTTAGCACTGTGATAATAAACTTTCTTTCAACACAAGTAGGGGATGTAGCATTGACTTAGAGGTGTTCTGGGAGATAAAACACCCATTCTTTGTTTAAGAAGGAAGTGTGAATGAAGGGAGTCAGGGAGTCTGACTATTCAAAAGCCAAACTAACACTCACAATTTTATTATTTATCTATTTATTTATTTAGAGACAGAGTTGTGCTCTGTCACCTAGGCTGGAGTGCAGTGGCACGGTTTCACTCACTGCAACCTCTGCCTCCCAAGTTCAAGCTATTCTCCTGCCTCAGTCTCCCAAGTAGCTAAGATTACAGGCATGTGCCACCATGCCCAGCTAATTTTGTGTGTTTTTAGTAGAGATGGGGTTTCACCATGTTGGTCAGGCTGAACTCAAACTCCTGACCTCAAATGATCTGCCCACCTTGGCCTCCCACAGTGCTGGGATTACAAGCATGAGCCACTGTGCCCGGCCACATATTTATTTTTTGAGTCAAAAGGTGAGTCATTCAAAATAAACATACACATACATGCACCCACAAGCACATATTCCTTGAACATTTACTTCATAACAAAACACTGGGGACTTGGCCTTCTCAAAACTTACATTCTAACTGGTGCAAATAGACTCTATTTTTTTTTTTTTAAATTGAGTAAGGTAATTTTAAAACCTAGAACAGATGTTACCAAAAATGGAAACGTGGGGCAGTGGCATAGAGAGAGACTAAAAAAGGTTTGACGGCTATTTTAGAACAAATGCTCTGAATGTCTTCTCTTAAGATGACATATTTTAAGCTGTGATGTGAATAATGAACAATCAGGCATGAACATATGCGAGCATTGTGCACTTTGAGAAAACATTTGTACAAATTTCCAAAGAGGGCCGTGGTTTGAAATTTTCAAACAACCGGGGGAAAAGAGATGGAAAAAAAAACATTGTTAGGACTGAAGAAAACAACAAAGGGTTTTATACGGAGCTAGGGAAAAATAATATCGGCTCAATGAGCCATGAAACGTGGTATGGATCTCTTTCTACTGTAGTCAATAGATTGTTTTAATCAAGACATTGATAGTATGTGGTAAATGAAAACAATTTCTGCACACACACAAACACCCAAACATTTGTATTGTGTAGGTATAGTTTTCACAGAAAAAACATCTCTCCTATGTCTTTTCTCTGTTGGCATTGTGTTAGCAGAGGCACACACTACTCCAATATCCTACATCTTGTGGAAAAGGTTAATATAGTGTTCAGGGACATATATAGGTCACCAGGTCTTCGATGAGGTCAGAAAACATGTCCAAAGGAATCAATGTGAGCACTGAATTTTGAAAGCTTTAGTGAGATTAAAAAAAGGAGGTAGTTGTTGTCCAAACAAGCAAGAGGAAAAAAGTCATTGAAGTATGGGATTCTTGTCACAGAGATACCAATTTTAATGATATATAATTGTTAAATGATTTTTAGATTTATAATTATTAAAATTCAATAATGATTCTTGCACTACAGCAGGTACTTCCTGAAGTCAGTGATTAATCCTTTTATCTCTTTAGCATGATACTTGGCCTATCTTAACCACTGTCTCAGTAATTGAGAGAGTATACAATTATATTTATTTACTTTCTCTAAGTATTTAACATGTTTGGCAAAACAGAAAAGCTGAAAAATTAAAGTTAGTAGTTGACTCTTAAAACATGGTATTAAAACTGTACCAAACTGAAGCTATAATTTAATGTTTTCTAAGTTTATATACTATCTTATTGAAATTAGAGATGTGTCAATATATATGAAATATGCTTAGTAGTTCTGTATGTTGCAATACTTCCTTCACCATATTATGAGTGAAGTTACTAAATAATTGCTAAGTCATAAAAGTATAGTTTACATTGTTTACATTACCATCAGTAATACTGATGAGCCTTTTTTAAAAATGTTCTTTAGTTGAATCAACTTTTACATATAAATTTTTAATTTCTTGATTTTCTCATAAACATATAAATATAAGAAATATGCACTCTAAATTTACTCTTATCCCCAAGGTTTTAAATAGTGCAGCTACATTTGCTCAATGAAAATACTTGCTAATGTTTAATGGACAAATATTTTATTTACAACAAATATAAAAATCCTTCATGTATACTGGAGACAGAATAGAGAATGGTTCTCCAATTCACAAAAAATATATTAAATATATTATTGTAAGTAAATAAAACATTAATCATTCATTGAACTATTGTACTCTTCAGTAAACATTATAATTGTTCGATATAATCAGATTTTACATCGACACTGATAGGTAGCTAGTAACATGTTCAATTTGCTATTGAAGAAAATGGGGATCAATGTGGTTTACTCAACTCATCTCGGTTGGTAAATGTGGGAGAGGGCTGGATCTGAACTCAAGTCAATCCACTCATGTGTGTCTTCTTAATTTAAACCATGAGTACTTTCAAAGGATGCTTGAGGATTCAGGAATCCTCAATAACATGAATTTCTTTTATTGTGCAGCTCATGCTGGAAAGAGTAGAAGCAAATAAAACTATGAAAGAAGGGGAAAGATAATTCATATGTTACCTTTTCTGTTATTTTTATACTTCTTTCCATCACTCCCTTCCACCTCACCTTTTCTTCTGTCTTACATATCTCCATGGCATAAGTCTTTCTCCTTTGGTCCATGGCCTTCTTTAACTATAAACATATCTTATCTGTGTAAACATATCTCTTCAAGAGAAATTATATAAGATATGAGCACAAAATTGCAAACTTAATATAACTCTTCCCCCTATAATTCTCTACAAATGATTTGGTCATTTTTAAGCTTATAAGTGAAATCTTTGTGTGAGTAATATATTTGCAAGTATGCAAATACCACACATGATATATAATTCAGATGTTTGTCTCTTAAAAGATATGGAAATAAGCCAAAAGCAAAGTACTTATAATTGTCCATACTACAGAGAGAAAGTTATGTAGTTTACATAGCCTTAGAGCATCTGTTATCTGAATATGAATCAAAAATACTTTCTTAAAAGATCCTGGGCATATTAATTGAATTGTGATTTTTGTTTCCTAAAGGGAAATGAATCAATAGACAACTATTGCAAGGAACTGCGTAAGAGTAGATGGTAAAATATTTATTCAATTTTGATAAAAAAGAAAAAATATGATTTCTTCTCTATAATCAGAAGATATTTAAGAATCAAGTGTTTGGATAGGAGGAATAAACGAGGCAAAAAATAGAAAGCAGAGAAAAACTTGGTAGTCAATTTTCCAAGAAGAAATGCCCTTTTCCAAGGTCTACCTATTTGCAAATTATAATCCTCTGTGCCTGGTTTTTGAAGAGAATAATTTATAAACATTGCACAATCCTGTGTCTTACATTGCAGAGCTCCAGTGTTGTAAGGTTTGATGAAATTAAGCATGTCTTCCTTTTTGAAAGATACCAATTTTAATTATTTTTTCATTACAAAATAAATCAAATTCAGAACACCTGTAATAAATTACAAACATGACTGAAATACTTTACAGTATCTTCCATCAAGAGGTAGAATCTCTATTCCTCAACGGCTTGAATCTGGGCTTGTCTTGTGACTTGGTTTGAGCAAGGAATCTGATAGAAGTAATGTTTTGAATGTTCTCAGCTTTGGATTCAAGCCCTCTTGAAGCTTCTGTTCTTGCAGGTAAAGAAGCATAAGCTAGCTTGTTGGATAATGAGAAACATGTAGCCCAGTTGCCCCTGTCAGTCCAATTTACAACAAGTCAACCCCTAGAAGCAGAGCTAGGTGACCTGCAAACAAGCAGATATGTGAGTGAGTGAGTGAGTCCAGTTGAAACCAGCAGAGAAACCATATAGCTGAACGAAGCCATGTAGCCCAAGCAGTCATCCCCCAGAACATTGAGCTAAATAAAGGGTTGTGTTTTCAGTCTTTTAAGTTTCTGGGTGATTCTATTATACAGCACAAAATACTGATGCAAAACCAATAAACCGGGAGGGGTCAAAATTATTTCAGTTAATTTTTGACAAAAAAATTAAATGAAAAGCTATATTCAGATATTAAGGACACTACTCACACCTTCTTTCTGAATGTGAATGTTTTTCACTTGTCTGGAAATTCGATAGTCCCAGAGCTCTGGTTGCTTGTTTAGCATTGAGGTTGGATGAGAGTGGATCAGCCTGCTTGCGGACTCTGGGCCTCTACTAGCCAAGTCTGATGACTCAGGCAAAGGTGGAAATCTTTACTGGTTTTACTTATTATTTTCTCCAGAAAAGGAAATTTGGACCTGTGGTGACATCCAATCACAATTCTCAGAAAAATTTAAGTCACTGAAAGACACACCAAGATCACCTTTTGAATAGATGTAAAATGTAAACAAGCATGTTTTATAAATAAACAAACAATTTATTTGAAAGCAAATTAGTTTTAGATTTTAACTTCAAAGTTGAAATAGGAGCAGATTTATTTCTCTAGTAATGTAACTGTTGACAGAAAACAAAGATTGAATAAATGAAATGTGGTTGCTACTTCCGGCCTCCACAGGATCCAGCAGTTAGGAAAAGGAGTGTATCTACCTCCAGTGGGTAGGGGTGTGGATAAAATTAAAGTTCTTACAACATGGGTCCCATCACGTCATCACGTCCATAGAGAAGAAGGGATTGGTCACTGCAAGGTAGTGAATTCCTGAAGGAACTAGGTCAGCTTTGTCACTTAAGACAAGCCAGCAATTTTACTATGGGCCTTCAGGATGGGTAGCATCCCTGATACTAGCGAAAAAGGTTGCCCCTTTTCCACAGTCTTTCCAAGAAGAGAGCTCAAGAACACACACTTTTAAGTGGCTAGTTGGGTAACTTGGGAATCTTTTAAAAAGCGATTCTCAACCTGTGGCTATTTCTCCACTGAGACATTTGGTAGGATCTGTAAACATTTTTGGTTGTCAGATGATGCCTATCTCTTAGATCCTTGATGGTTCCAATATTCTACAGCCCCAAATGTTGTAGATGTTGTAGGAAAGGTGACTTACCTCAAATCTCTAGATGAACAGACTGGCTTGCCCAAACAAAACCAGTATTCAAAGACTGAAATAAGTTACTATGTTGTCGAATGTGCAGTCACCAGCAAGTGGCCACAAGAATCAATAATAATCTGAAAGACGTGCTTCCACTAAATAAACAAAATAAAATACCGGTAACAGACTCAAAAAAGATAGAGATTTGTAAACTGCCTGATGAAGAATTCATAATTGTTTTTAAAAACCTCAGCAAATTTCAAGAAAAATACACAGAAACTATATAGTGATATTAGGTAAACAATAAACAATGGGTAAAATGAGAAATTAAACAGAAAGCCAAACATATATTAAAAAAGCAGAAATTCTGGAGCTGAAAAACTATAAAGAAGGAAATTTAAAATGCAATAGAGACTATCGACAGCAGAAAGAGTAAGAAGCAGAAAAAAATATATATGAAGCAAAGACAGTTTATCTGAAAATGTACACTCAGAGGGAAAAATAAAAGAAAATAAGAAAGATTTTGGAACATCATCACAAGTGCAAATATTCAAAGGACAGAATTTAAAGGAGAAAGAGAGACAAAAAAGCAGAATACTTATTTAAAAAAAAAGGCTAAAAACTTTCCAAATCTGGGAAAAGTTAAAGGTGTTCAATCATATTTAATCCATATAAGACAATACCAAGGCATGTTATAATAAAACAGGAAAATATAAAAAACAGAGAGTATCCTAAAACATCAAGATAAAGAAAACATATTACGTATAAGGGAGTTTAGTAAGGCTACCAGCAGACATTTTTAGCAGTAACCTTAGATTCCAACAGAGAATGGGATGATGTACAGTAGTTTCCACATTATCCATCAGGAATATATTTCAAGACTCCCAGTGGATGCCTGAATCTGCAAATAATACCAAATCTTATACGTGACACTTTTCCTATGCAGTAATATTTGTGTAGAGTGTCCTTCATGGCTATATGGGACAAAGGGAAGATTCACATCTTGCATAGGATGGAGAGGATGACACGAGACTTCATCATGTTACTCAGAATGTCATGCAACTTCAAACTTATGAATTGTTTAGTTCTAGAATATTTTATTTAATATGTCTGGAACACTGTGCACAACAGGTAAATGAAACTATGGAGAGGAAGATGGTGGATGAGGAAATACTACTGTATTCAAAAATGCTGAAGAAAAAGACTATCAACCAAGAATACTTTACGAGCTAAGCTGTCCTTCAGAAATGAAAATTGGTTAAAGGTTTTTCCAGACAAACAAAAGCTGACATAGTTCACACATTAGACCTTTCTTCTTTCTTCAAAAGAGAGCTTTTCAAAGTGAAAGCGAAGGATACTAATTAGTAATTTGAAATTATATAAAAGTATAAAACTCACTGGTAAAGTAAATATATACTTAATTTCAGTATATTCTAAAAATAAGGCCAAGTATATGTTGCCCACAAGAGGTTCACTTCAGCTTTAAAAGTGATGGGATGAAAAAAAGTATACCATGTAAATGGAAATCAAAAGAGAGAAGAAGTAGCTATATTTACATGAGATAAAATGGACTTTAAGCCTAATACTTTAAAAACAAGGAATATATATTTATTATATATTAATAATATAATAAAAAGGGTCAACATGTAAAAAGGATATAATAATTGTTAATATTTATCAAATATTTATCAAAAGGATATAACAATTTTGAATATCTATTAATATTTGCTGTATATAATTCTTCCTTCAATGCGGGTGTGTACCCTTAAAGCTGAAGTGAGCCTCTTGTAGGCAACATATAATTGGCCTTATTTTTAAAAAATTCATTTAGCCAGTCTATGTCTTTTAATTGGCTAGTATATTTCCTTTACATTCAAGGTAATCATTGATATACCTGAATAGACAGACAGATAAACATTCTCTGTGATAGCCCATATATTAGGCCACAAAGCAAGTCTTAACAAATTTAAAAAGACTGAAATCCTATCAAGTATCATTTCTAAATATAAAGGTGTGAAACTAGAAACCAATAATAGGAGGAATTTTAGAAACACACAAACATGTAGAAATTAAACAGCAGGGTCTCCAACAGTCTATGAATCAAAGAATAAATTTTTTAAAAAATTAAAAATATCATGAGATTAACAAAAAATGGAGACACAACATATCAAAACTTACGGAGTGCAGCAAAAGCAGTTTTACAAGAAATGTTCATAGCAGTACACTCCTATATCAAAAAAAGAGAAAAATCTCAAAAACAATCCAGCATTACTTACTCATCAAGGAACTAGGAAAAAAAGAAGAAAGCCCAGAGTTAGCAGGAAATAATAAAGATCAGAGCAGAAATGAAATAAAGACCAGAAAAATGACAGAAAATATCAATGAGAGTAAGAGTTGGTTTTCTAAAAAGAAAAGCAAAGTTGACAAATTTTAGCTATATTAGTGAAGAGAAAAAGAGAGATGATACAAATAAAAAAAATCAAAAGTGAAAGAGGAGACATTACAACTAATATCACAGAAATATAAAGTCTCAAAAGATATTATTATGAACAATTATATAATACCAAAAAATAGATAATTTAGAAGAAATGGATTAATTTCCAGACACATGCAATTTGTCAAGATTGAGTCATGAAGAAACAGAAAATCTGACAGGCAAAAAATGTAAGAAGATTTATTCAATAAAAATAAATTTCTCATTAAAAGAGAAGCTCAGGACCTGACAGCTTTACTGGTGAATTCTACCAAATATATAAAGAAGAAGAATATCAGTCCTTCTCAAACTCTCCCAGAAAATTGAAGAAGAGGGAATACTTCTAAACTCATTGCACCTCACCGTCATTACTCTGATATCAAAGTGAGACAAGGACACTAAAAGAAAATAAATTTTAAACCAGTATTCCTGACAAACGTGCATGCAAAAATACTAGAACACCAAATTTAACATTACAGTAAAATGATTATTCACCATAATCAATTGGGATTTATCTCTGGAATTCAAGAATGGTTCAACATACGCAAATCTATAAAGGTGATATGCAATGATAAGAGAATAAAGACCAATAGATCATCTCAACAGAGGCCAAAACACATTTGGCAAAATTCAAATCCTTTCATGATAAAAATTCTCAAGAAATTTTATGTAGAAGGAATGTATCACAACACAGTAAAAGTCATATATGAAAAACCCACAGCTTACATTCTACTCAATGGTGAAACATTGAAAACTTTTCCTCTGAGATCAGAAATAGGAAAAGAATGCCTACTCTTCCCACATCTATTTACCATATTATTGGATATTTTAGCTCAAGTTATTAAGCAAATGAAAGAGAAGAAGGTATCCAAATCAGAAAGAAAGATATTAAATTGTCCCTTCTTGCAGATGGCATGGTTTTCTATCTATGTAAATTATATATAAAATATAATATAATATATATATAACCCTAAAAACTTTGGCAAAAATATTCTTAGAACTAATAAATGAATTGCAGGATACACAACAGACAAACAAAAATCAGTAGTGCTTCTATACACTAATAACAAACTATTTGAAAAAAAATCAACAATTCCATTAACAGTAGCTCCAAAAGAATTATTTAGGAATAAATTTAATGAAGCAGGTAAAAGACCTGTACACTGAAAACTATAAACCACTGATGAAATAATTTGAAGACACAAATGGAGAGATATTTGGTGTTCATGAATTGGAAGAATTAAAATTGTTATAATATCCATACTACCCAAAGTGATCTACAGATTTAATGAAATCACTATCAAATTGTCAATTACATTTTTCAAAGAAATAGAAAAAATCCTTACATTTGTATGCATTCACAAACAACTCCAAATAGCCAAATAAATCTTGAGCAAGAAGATAAAAACTGAAGGCACTATACTACCTGATGTCAAATATGATACAATGCTATAGTTATTAAAGCAGCATGATACTGGCATAAAAATAGACAGATGGAACAAAATAGAGGGCCTAGGAAGAAACCTACACATTTACGGTCCATTGATTTTTGACACCATACTCAAAAATTAACTCAAAATGAAACACCTGACACCTGCAATCCCAGCACTTTGGTAGGCCAAGGTGGGCATATCACCTGAGGTTGGGAGTTTGAGACCAATCTGACCAATATGGAGAAACCCCATCTCTACTAAAAATACAAAATTATCCAGGCGTGGTGGTGCATGCCTGTAATCCCAGCTACTCAGGAGGCTGAGGCAGGAGAATTGCTTGAACCGAGAAGTGGAGGTTGTGGTGAGCTGAGATCAAGACATTGCACTCCAGCCTGGACAACAAGAGTGAAACTCTACTTTAAAAAAACAGCGAAACATAAAACCTGAAATGGTAAAAGTACTAGAAGGAAACTTAGAAGAAAAGCTCCATTACGTTAGTCTGGGCAATGATGTTTTGGATATGACCCCAAAAGCACAGGTAACAAAAGGAGAAATAGACAAATGAGATTACATCAAACTAAGAGACTTTTGCACAGAAAAAGAAACAATCAACAGAGTGAAGGCACAACCCACAGAAAGGGAGAAAATATTTGTAAACCATATTGCTAATGAGGGATTAACGTCCAAAATATATAAGGAGCTTAGATAACACAAAGGGAAGAAAACAATACCCCAATTTAAAAATAGACAAAGGATCTGATAGACATTTCTCAAAAGAAGACATGCTAGTAATTGGTCAAAAGGTATATGAAATGACTCTCAACATCAGTAATCATCAGGGAAATGTGAATTAAAACCACAATGAAATATCACCTCATACCTGTTAGAATGGCTATTGTCAGAAAGACAAAAGATAAACATTAGTGAGAATGTGGGGAAAAAGAATCTTTGAATGCTGCTGGTGGAAATGTAAACTAGTAAATATAACCATTATGGAGAACTCTACAGTGCTTCCTTGAAAAATTAAAAACAGAGCTACCATATAATCTGGCAATCCCACCACTGGTTATATACCCTAGGAAAATTAAAAACTATATGATGAAGAGATACATGCATTTCCACATGTATTCCACCAGTATTCACATTAGCCAGGATACATAATCAACCTATGTGTCCATCAGTGGATAAGGAAAATGTGGTATATATACACAGTGGTATACTATTCAGCCTTAAAAAAGAGGAAATTCTGTCATTGACAACAACATGGATGAATCTGGAGAATATTATAATAAGTGAAATAAACCAGGCACAGAAAGACACTTATATTTAGAATCTAAAAAATTGACCTTATGCAAATACAGAGAAGAATCATGGTTACCAGGAAGTTGGTGTGGATGTGGCCATTTGAAGAGTTGACGGGATATTGGTCAAAGAATACACAATGTTAGGAGAAATAAGTTTGGGGGCTGGGCGCAGTGGCTCATGCCTGTGATCCCAGCACTTTGGGAGGCCAAAGAAGGCAGATCACTTGAGGTCAGGATTTCAAGACCATCCTGGCCAACCAAAATGGTGAAACCCTGTCTCTACTAAAAAAAATACAAAAATTAGCCAGGCGTGGTGGTGCGCAGCTGTAATCTCAGCTACTCAGGAGGCTGAGGCAGGAGAATCACTTGAACCTGGGAGGTGGAGGTTGCAGTGAGTAGAAATTGTGCCATGGCACTCCAGCCTGGGTGACAGAGTGAGACTCCATATAAAAGAAGAAAAGAAAAGAAGAGAAGAGAAGAGAAGAGAAGAGAAGAGAAGAGAAGAGAAGAGAAGAGAAGAGAAGAGAAGAGAAGAGAAGAGAAAAGAAGAAAGAAAGAGAAAGAAAGGGAGGGAAGGAAAGGAAAGGAAGGAAAGGAAGGAAAGGAAGGGAAAGAAAGAAAGGTTTAACAGATCTATTGTAAAATAGTGTAACTATAGTTAATAGCAGAGTAATTTATTTTTCAACATCACTGAGTGTGGATTTTATGTGTTCTCAACACAAAAAATTATAAGTATGTGAGATAATGCATATTTTAATTAGTATAACTTGGCTATTTCACAATGTATACATATTTCAAAACATGTGCATTAAAAATATACGTTATTATTTTTATTTGTCAGTTAAAAGAATACATAAATAAGTTAACAATAAGAAAGCTCAGTGACAGTCTTAACATGGAAACAAAACTGTTGCTTTTAAATTTAAATTACTTCATTATAACAAAATCATGTTATTCTATTTATAATTGACAAACTACAATTTTCAAATGATTTAGGCAAAAGCTGGTAAAACAATAAGGCCTGGTCCCCAAAGGAAAATTCCATAAAATAATTTACTATAATGAATTTACCAAATACCTTAATAAAATCTCCTTTATTATATGATTTTAGCTTTACAGAGAAATGTTGTGCGCCTTGTTAACAATAGACAAAATCACTGTTTATGAATCTCATCTGTTACACAAATTAAAAATAGTGTATTTCATGGGATCATTTCAGGGCCTTGGGGCTTAGGAAGGGAATTTTTCTAAGTGTCTCTCACAGTATTCCATGCAACAAATGTCACTGAACATATGAAAAATAACATAATGTCTTCCCTTTTTGAGAGGAGTTGGAGGAAATTTCTTATTTTATGAAATCCTCAGTGAACATACCTTAAACATGATTAAACTTAATTTCCTTTTTTATGTTCATTTTTTAAAATTTTCATTAAAAAATTTTTTGTAGAGATAGGGTCTCACTGTGTTGCCCAGGCTGGTCTCGAACTCGTGGCCTCAAGCAATCCTTCCACCTCAGTCTCTCAAAGTGCTGAGATTACAGGTGTGAGCCACCAGGCCAGGCCTATCTCCTTTTTTGAAAAGTTGTAGTGTAAATCATGATTACATATTTATTATTTCAAAGGTGATTTATGTTTATTAAACTTATAGAATTGGAGGGACATTTGATTATATAAAAGGTATTTATTTCCTTCTTTCTAAAATTATATCAAATTGACAACTACTTATCATTTGGAAGTTAAACCAAAACCAAATATTATTTTGCTTCTCATACTGTTTATTCTTTTTGTTTTTTCTATTGTGAATTCTCCAAAGCTCACTTGTTATCTTAGAAGTCTTTTTTTATCATCTCATGGAACCAGTGGAAAGAAACAAGTGGGGTAAAGCAATCTAACCTAATGTATTGACTTTTATAAAAAATAAATGTCAAAACTGTTGTAAAGTTTTAATTTGAGTAACTGTCTTACAAAATGACAGAAAATCAATCTTTATAGAAGTTTAATATCACCAAACGTATAGTTTAGATTTTTTGAATTTTTTGCTTTTTCTTCTCATTACTTGCAGATCGAAATCTAAAATATGAGTGTTTTCCTTTTTTTTCTCATCCATGAAAATCATTCTGATGGTTAGTAAATTTATTACTGTGTTCCTTGATTTTAAAGTTATTTCAGGCTTCTTCATTACCTTGATTACATTATCTTATACAGTGACCCACAAAAAAACCTGTTTTTATCTCTTTTATTCTTTGACTTATAAGGTAGTGAAAATACTTAGCAGAATTTTTGCAGAAAATAAAGTATCTTTATCCATAATATATATGGAACAGAGAAAGGATTTAATTGGTATTTAGCTTGGAAGCAAGTCTCAACATTTATGCTGTCATTCAAAGTTAAACATTTGCCTTTCAAACTCATTCATTTATCCAGCACAGTTTTACTGAGCATGTACAACATGCCAAAATGCCCCTAAACAAGAAGATATAGTAATTAAAGCAAAATGAAGTTGTGTTCATGGGGCATGTTTTGTAGCATGTTTATTCTAGTTTATCCTACCTATCTTTATTGATGATAGTATTTCCCTTATTTTCAGATATATGCAGTCACCTTTTTAACAAACATTTATGGGGCTCCCACTGAGTCACCTTTGTATTAGGTGCTTGTTAAATAGTGTTGAAATGAATACTGTCTTTGTTGCTCTTAAATTATAATGGGGAAATAAATGCAAAATAATGAGATTTTAAGTGTGAATAAGGAAACAAATAAAGAAAAAACCTGGCTAAGAGTGAATCCCAGTACAGATTGGGTGGCTCAGTATTTTCCATAGGGAAGCAGAGTGAAACTGAAAGCTGGAGGAAGGGAAGCAACTAGCCATGCCCAGGAATTCAAATTTGAGTTCTCCTGGTAGAACAGCATTATGCATAAGTACTGAGTTGGGTGAGTTTCAAAGCGTTAAGACTGTGAAAGAGGCCATGGCAAAAGAAGGTTGGTGAATGAAAAAAAAAAAAAGAAAAGTATTAAAGGATGTTAGTTGGTGGCAGTGATGATGAGGATCAAGGAGAAGATGGATTTTGGAAGTGTAATTATACAGAATTGGTGATAAATGTTATGTGAAGAATAAGAAAGAGAAGAATCAAGGATGCTTCAAATATGCTGGATTAAGCAGCAATGTAAATAGGAATTACCGTTTATGGGGAAAATGAGTACAGTTTACAAACTATGGAGATAGAGACACCCATATGGTGCTCAAGTATAAATGTCAGGTAGATAGTTGACTGTAAGTCAAATCTCAGAGCAAGCGCTGAAATTGAAGTTGCAGGTATAACCTGAGGAGTCTCAGACTGCAATTAAAATAATACAATCTAGTTAGCTCCCCCAAAGAAAGGGTGGGGAGAAGATAATTCCCATATATGCACTTGGATTTCGGTAGAAGAGTAAAATCTGGGAGCATGTATTAGGTAATGGGTATCCAGAATAAATGGTACAAAGCTTTGCCTTCTAGGGGCTCAAGGTTAAGTTGGAAAGATAAGTAAATATCTAAATAGTTATAGGATAAAAGTATGTACTCGGTACTAATGGAGCACAAAGCAGGAAACATTTAATTCTGCATGCGGGTATTTCAGAGGAGACTTAAAGAAATTTGCCATTGAGCTATTCTGCAAATCTTTACAATACATTAAGTAACAGGCTAATAGGACACGGGGAAGTTCATTCTGGGCAAAAGATTTGAGATAAGAAAGAAGCATTTGAGATCTCTAAGTAATTCAGCTTAATTATGTGATTATAGCCTGTTTCACAATGTAAGATTTAAGTTAACCTTCACTGATGTACTTTTTCACTTTTATTTTACATTCTTGTAGTAATTAACAAATCATATTGCTTTTGTCCTTTGTCTGCATTATATGTTCTCTCCTGATTTGCCCCTTAATCTGCACAGGCAAGAAAAAAGTGTCTTTTCTTCTTTTTCAACTTAGACATTCCACAGTTTTGCACACAGAGCAGGAGGACAACAAATGTATCATTTCCTGAAAGACTGGGCTCTGGTCCCTCTGTCCTTGGTGATCACGGAAAAAAAATCCTTTTAACCAGTGTGAAAAGCAAAGGAATCACACCCAAAACATTACAATGTATCATCATTTCATCCTGTCTGTGATGCCCTGATATAAGTAAAACGATTCAGTGACCTGAAATTAGCCTCTAATTATAGCTTCAAGTATTATTCTGTACAACTTAGGTTTCCTTAAATTCAAACAGACTCAATATTGAATCAATTTGTTAAACTTACTTATTTCAAGATTCTTAACAGACACAATAATACTAACATATAACAATTTCTGCATATAAACAATTGTGTGGTTTCACTTACTGAAGTGAGAGTACTACTTCTCAGCTAGAATAACATGCAGCCTAAATGCAAATTAAAAGCAAAATAAGACACTCTAAGTTGAGAACTTTGAGAACTGCTTGCTGTTGGCTAGAATGGTTTTAGTATTGTTGTTGATCATTACACAGAAGTATAAGGACAAACACTCGTAAAATAAAAATATAGAGTTCAATCTAACAAATCTGTCTGTCTCGACCCTCTCTCTTTCCAGTATACATTTAAAATGAATAAAGGATTTTGGTTACGAATTCAAAATAATTCAGTAAAATCTGAAGTCTAAAACAAAAACAACAAAAATATCTTGTTGGCAAAAAGCCTGTGTTTTTGAAAAAGAAAATCTCCTAAAAGTGATGCCCCCTCCTCTCCAACTTTTTATAACAGATTTTCTACCCTAGACTTGGAGCAACTTAGAATCATGAATTGTGAAAATGGATTATGCATAAAGGTGCCAGCCTCCGAGAGCTGTGAGTTTTCCAAATGATAATTTCAAGACAATATTTAACTAAATGCAACCATTGTGTAAGTAGAAGGGCGTTGTCAATATAGACATTTCAGTAGAGAATAGGTGGCAATATTGGATTTCAGGCATTCAATCATTCATTCTGTTATGTGATAATACTGATTATCAAATATTTGTTAACACCAACATAACATTTTGTTAGGTTTTCTGGTAAAACCACAACCATAAACAGAGACTAAATATGCTTTTATAAGGATCAAGTAGCCAATGCCATTTAACCAACAATACATTAGAGACTTTTTTTAAAGGGCTCCAGAGTTTTCTGACATGTGAAAAAAACACATATCTCGAGGATCTTACAATGTTTATGTGCATAAATGTCTACAAAGCCCTTGCAATTTATGGCTAAGTTTAATATTCAATTGAAAACATCCTATTGGTTACACTTTTCCCTTAAGTATTACAAACAATACTCAGTGGCTTTTAAGAAATGCTGGGTTACCTGAATTAAATATCCAAATAACTTAATATCAAGCCTACAATAACATATTTTATATAAAACAATCTACTAAATTTGTGCTTATCGTTTTACTATAATGTAGAAAGAGATGGTCATAATTTGGGGGGTTTAGGTCTGCAAATTAAATAAATTCAGGAAGAAAGGAATGAAGGAAGAAAGGAAGAGAGGGAGGGAGGGGGGAAGGAAGGAAGGAAGAAAGGAAGGAAGGAAAGAAAAAGGGAGGGAGAGAAAGCAAAGAAGGCAAGGGAGGCGAGGGAAGGAATATGGGAGGAAGAAAGGGAGGGAGGTAGGAGCATTTGCTGAAAAACTATTAAGTATCAGGCACCAAACAATTTATCTTTTTCCATGATTCTCAGACACTGTTCTATTAAATTTTAGTATTTATTTTTTTCAAGGTAAGGATACCAAGTTTCAAGAAAGTTATATAAATTTTTATGAACACATAGATAATAAGGACAATAGATGATAAAGGACAGAACCACGATTTTAAGGCATCGACTTTTGATTACTCCAAGATGACACTCTATACTTAAACACAAACTGACTTAACAAATATTTACCTCTACCTAGTTTGATCATTTACCTACTTTGCTGATAAATATTATAATCATCAGCAAAGTTTCATGATATAATGTTTCTTTATACCTCGTTTGTAGCAGGAAAAATAAAAACAAACACACAGATAGGTTTATGAAAACTACTTTATTTTAGGATATTTTCTACTCAGCATTGTGAATAAAAATTCAATGAATGATAGCTAAAATTAATAAGAAAGACATTAAATAGGATAAAGGGCATAATTGTTGACTAAAATGTTTATTTCACTGTCTATTCTACATGTCATTTATAAAATCATTACTTGCTGGAACATCTCCTCTTAATAATAATAGTTACTTTGTCAGATTTATTTTTTAAAGGCAGTGATTATAAAATGTAAGTGGGATTATGCTGTTTTACTAAATTGCACACATGTAAATTCAAATTCTATAACACAAACATGAGGTCAGGTTTGTTTCTCAATACAAAATTAAACTATACTAAATTACACTATACTAAAGGGAAGTGCTTGGCTAAGGAGGTTTTGCCATCTCAATAAATGACTATCATTTATGCAGTCTGCTCATTTCCCTGCAATGCTTTTGCATGTTCAATAAAAGTTGATATGAGTGAAAGGATATGAAATCCCTACCAATAAGGTAGAAAGAAAAAATAACACTAATTTAAAATAGACTTCAGCTACCTGTCATGAGCAAATTAAAAAAGTCTTTAATGGAAAGAAGTGCAGCAGTCGGCAATACCATTACTTAGTCCTGTAGATGATTCAGCTTATTTAAGTCTTAAAAAGGATTCAGATATGAAGATATCTGAATCCAATGTGGTTATTATATGAAATAAGCTTAGCTGTTTCAATTTAATAAGTCTAGAAGTAAAAGGTAAATTGTTCCCATATTAGGTTGAATCTTTTGATGTTTAAAATAGCATCTCTTGTGATATCCTGATTTCATATTTTGCTTTTGTTTATTTTGTATTAATCTTAGTCATCATTTGCAAATTTTCCATATTAACTAAAGTGGAATAAACACAGGCATTGCACTTGACATATGTTGGGCTATAAAATGTGGGGGGAAAGTTAAAAAATTATTCCATTCTATCAGGGATTGCTCAGCAAGGTAACTGCAGGAGACTTTCAACTGCTTGTCCCTGCAAGATTATATCAGTAAACTGACAAGTTCAACCTCCTGTATTTACAGGTTCCTGTTGTTAAACATCATTAAATTCATTGATTGAATCCATGCAATTAAAAAAACAAAACAAAACAAAGCTGCCACACAGCCAAGGCCCTAACTACAACAGCAAGGAGTGTCTTTGAGAAACTGAAATTAAAGACTGAAAATTTGCACTTTTAAAATGTGGATTCACTTACATTCTTTATGTTTCTTTTGGCAGGCACTGTAGTTGGCAGTCGCACAACTGCTATGCCCTTACAGTTGGTGTTATTTGCTTAAAAAAAAGTATATGTCAAATAGAAGGCTGGCAAAAATAATAAATAAAAAAGATAAAAATTGGAATGGATTGTTTTGAAGAACCTCTCTATCTCACCACTTTAATTCATTCAACTCTCTAATCATCCATACATCAGTTGACTAAGAAAATATTTTGAGAACCCACTATGGACAAAGAATGTATCACTAATAAGGCAAAAAGTAAATATTCTCCCATTATACAAATTCATTTTTACTGAGATATATTTCACATACTATAAAATTTGCTTTTAAGTGTACAATTCAGTGGTTTTTAGTATTTTTACAAAGTTATGCAATTATTTAATTCCACTACCATTACCTGATTCCAGAACATTTTCATTACCTCAACAGAAACCATGTGTCCATTTGTAGTCATTCACCATGATTTCCTCTTCCTAGACACTGGCAACCACAAATTTACTTTCTGTCTCTATTGACTTGCCTACTTAGACTTTTTGTGTAAATGGATTAATGTACCATATGGCTATGTCTTTTACGGTTACTTTCATTGAGTACATTGTTTTTAAGGTTTATCCATGTTGTGGCATGAATCAATGCTTTATTCTTTTTTAACGCTGAATGATAGTTCTCTGCATGAATACACACGTTTTCTTTATGTATTAATGAGATGGTGGGCCTTGGCTTGTTTCCATTTTGGGGCTATTAGGAATAATGCTGCTATGAACATTACTGTACAGGTTTTTGGACATTTAAAAAGATTTTATTGGGCATATGCCTAGGAGCGGAATTGATGGGTCTTATAGTAACCCTACATTTAACCTTTTGAGGAACTACCTAACTGTTTTACCAGGTGGCTGTAATATGTTACATTCCCAGCAGAAATGTATCAGGGTTCCATTTCTCTACCTCCTTGCCAGTATTTTTTTTACTTGTCTTTAGGATTAAAGCCCTCATAGTATGTGCAAAGTGGTATTTCAATGTGAGTTAATTTTCTTAGCATTTTCAAAGTAGGTGATATTTTGGTAGATATGAAAATAGAAGCATAGAGACAGAGTAATGCAAATAAATAATAGAAAGTAGGGGGGTGTGTGTGTGTATATATATATATATATAAAATATATATATATATAGTTTCCAAATGAAATTATGCAAAAAAAAACTGTAATTTTTTTTAAATAAATAACATAATCACAGAGTCAGATCCTCTTTTATAGGAGGAGATATTCATTGATTGGCTTTTGAAGTATGAACACTGTTGACACAAAAGTGAGGCGAGAGAAAACATTTTAAAAAGAGTATTTAATGTAAAATGTATGGAAGTCAAATTGCACAAGGTAATATTGTGAAGCATTGAGTGGATCAATTTTTATTGAGTAGACAGTTTAAAAAATAACAGAAGGGGCAGGCGCCATGGCTCACACCTGTAATCCCAACACTTTGGGAGGCTGAGGTGGGCTGATCACCTGAGGTCAAGACCAGCCTGGCCAACATGGCAAAACCCCATCTCTACTAGAAAATACAAAAACTAGCTGGGCGTGGTTGCAGTTGCTTGTAATCCCAGCTACTCGGGAGGCTGAGGCAGGGAGAATTGCTTAAACCTGGGAGGCGGAGGTTGCAGTGAGCCGAGATCATGCCACTGCACTCCAGCCTGGGCAACAGACCGAGCCTCCATTTCCAAAAAAAAAAAAAAAATAGAAAAACAAAACAAAAAAAACCCCTAGAAGATTGAGAAGGCATATAACCATTGCATCCGAAACAGAGAAACATAAACATTTGTAGTTACTACACAGGTTCAATATTTTGAAACAATGAAAGATAATAACAGGCTTACACATCATAATGAGTGGTACATAATAATAAATGTGCTATATCCTGAAAGCTTTATTAAAAATTTGGAAAGAGATGAAATTTGAGTGTACAAGAACACTTACATTATGTTGGTCAAATGTTAGAAGGAATGATTCAGAATTAGTCAAGCATTGGACAAACTTCTATAACCTTTTGGCTTCCACCACGGTCCTTTTTCTGTATTATGGTATCTTATTGGATCCTCACTCTCTAAGTACATATGGATGTGATTGTTTCTGGATGCTGATGTTTTATTTTTGAAGACTGCTAGGCTACCAGCTTCATTATGTTTGTAGAAAATATTTCACACTAAGTTTCTAGCTATCTCATAATTGAAGGCACATGTTATTGATTGACTGAAACTGAAAAATTAGAAGGTAATAACACTGAATTCTCGTGCTCATGAAGATGACAACTGATCTTACTGTAGGAATAGAACCTCTTCCTGACCATGCCTTTTGGAATAGGCAAGTGTCCTGCTGATCTTGACATTTCAAGAAAGTTCTGGCAAGGATAATATTCTGTGAATGCAAGAGGCGAAGGTGGAAATCAAGAGAATAGTTGAGATATTTAAAAAAATGGCAAATACCAGGTAAAATAATGAGAAAAGTATGGATGTGCATTCATAGCATGATACGTGAAATGAAAGAGACAGAATTAGCGTAATGTGCACCTGTTCACCTAGAATAGTGTTAAATTAAGTTTATCTTAAAGTTGACTACCTGTAAGTTTGGCCTAAATGTTTCTCCATATATAGTGAACTGTAACCAACTGGATTTGTAAACAGACTGTAAACTACTTACACCAATCACTGTTTCTAACAATTATAGGCAGCCAACTTTTCAAATAAGGCAAAGGCCAAGCTATAACTTATCAGTTGTTTCTGTTCCTCACTTCCAACTTCTGTATGCCACTTTCCCTTTGTCTGTCCATAAATCTCCCATCCTGTGGTAGTGCTGGATTCCCTCTGAACCTATTCTGGTTAGTGGGGCTGCACAATTCATAATCATTTTTTGCTCATTTGAACTCTTAAATTTGTCTAAAGTTTTCTTTTAACAGATGATTACAGAGGTGTGATCTGAATTAGAGCTTCTAGCAACTCCCAGGAGCACCAAGTGATCAAACAAGATACCCACCGGGTTACTCTGCCCATCGCTCCCTTGCCGCAAGTGGGGATCATGGATCAGTTCTCTCTCAGATCCCAAGGCTCCAGGGATTTGTGTATTGAGCTATATGATTGTGTTTGAGCAATTTGTAAATCTGAACTGGGTTCAAAAATTATGACAGAAACTAGATTGGGTTCAGAATCACATCGGATCTGATAATTAACTAGCTTGGATTCAGCTTTAGGCCTCAAGACATCTGATTAGAGCAGGCATAAATGGGCAGTAAATGGCAATACTGCAAAAGGTATGAACTCTGACTTTCATGAATTTGCAGGGATTTTTGTGTTCTGCCCCCTTTGCTTCTTTTTCTTGCATGCTTAGGTAGGAAAGAAATTACTGACTAAGTTGATCAAGGGAACCTGAGAGCCAAAGCCAAGATTCAATGTAAAAATGGGATCCTTAACTTCTGAAAAACTGAGTATTCCACCTTCTGGCAATACTTACCTTTTCATGGGTAGGCATTAGGTCCCAGAAGCAGCAAATTCTTACAGAAATGATGCAATCTTACTAAAGGTTGTTTAAAATTACAGTAAAATATTCAAATGAACAGTACTGTACTTTAAGAAGTGCACTTTTAAAGTGAAATGCAATGAATTAGGCTCATCCAGGGATATCTATTGATTTGCAAAAGCTTCTAAATAGATTTCAATATTTTTAATGTCTCTTCCTTAAAAAGATTCTTTATAAAAGGCAAATAAAAACTTAAGTGACTAATTGATAAGAGAAATGGAATCTGCTAAAATCTTGACTTAGTCATGGTCACACCCCAAAGCACTTCATCTAATTCTTAAACAACCATCTCAGGTAGGCATTACTTCTGATAAAGTGTAGAGATTAATTTACTTTCAAGGTCACAAAGCTAGTAGAATATGAAAAAATAGGTTTCTGAATCCAGGCCTCAACTCTATGTGCAATGCCTCTTTTCTAATTCTAATTACTGCATTGGTTAACAAGAGATAATGATAAAGCTAATTTGCCTCTTTCTGAGATCACAAGTGATATTTTAAAAGGTTACAATAACTATACATTTTGCACAACTTACACTATTGCAATACTCCACCAATGGAATATTGCGTGATGAGAAATAGCACCACGAGGCTGGGCGCGGTGGCTCAAGCCTGTAATCCCAGCACTTTGGGAGGCCGAGGCGGCCGGATCACGAGGTCAGGAAATCGAGACCATCCTGGCTAACACGGTGAAACCCCGTCTCTAGTAAAAATACAAAAAAGTAGCCGGGCGAGGTGGCCGGCGCCTGTAGTCCCAGCTACGCGGGAGGCTGAGGCAGGAGAATGGCGTGAACCCGGGAGGCGGAGCTTGCAGTGAGCCGAGATCGCGCCACTGCACTCCAGCCTGGGCGAAAGAGCGAGACTCCGTCTCAAAAAAAATAAAAATAAAAAAAAATAAAACCGTCTCAAAAAAAAAAAAACGAAACTGTGGGTCAGGAAAATAATAGTGAAAATAATGACTTCTATAATTCTGATATCTTTAAGAATCCATGTCTCAATAATCAAGCAGAAATAAACCAAGTGAGAATGCTACTCCAATATAAATAAACAAAGTAAGCAAATGATTGGTGTTCAGTTTTGGCAATTTTATTGAACCAATAAAATTCTTACTAATAACAATGAAATAAATTTCTGCAAGTATAAATATGACACAGTTTAACAAAACCCATTGTCCTGTACCTATAGATTTTCAAAATGTCATAAAAAGTGCAGTTATGAATTGTTAACATGTTAATACACAGTTCCTTTATTTAAAAAAAAAATAGAAAGCTATCCTGGATAAAGTGTTTATAAAAGCTAGGCCCTCTGGTAAAGTAGGCTTGCTTCTTTTTTGGATCTATTCACACTGAATCTAGGCATAGAGAATTCTTTCTTTGAAAGATTCCTTATGGGCTCCACAGTGTACTCAGTAATTTTAGTTAAAAAATAGCAGCTAAATTAAAAGACTACCTATTGAAATAAATCAGCCACAAAATACATTTTTTTTTTGCATGTTAGCTTGCTATCTTGAATTCTTTTTATAAACAAATTTACATCTACAAAAGTAATTCCATTTGTAAGGGTGTCTGAGAGGGAAGACCTGGTCAACAGAAGCTCAACAGAAGCTCTTACCATTGCTATTTCAATAGCGAGTCTTACCTTTGTTTAAGATCCTTTTCCTGGTCATCTCATCTTAAATGGGCCTTCATGTACAACCATTTTCCTTGCTTTGAGTGAATGATGGTACAATATTTAGGCCTAAAGCCTCAACCCTGTACTTTTGAGATATAATTTTTCTACCATGTTTCATCTAAGACTTTAGAAGGCAAATTGTTGCCTAACTAAAAATGGCTTAGGGCAATGCAACAGAAAATTAGAAGACTAATAGACTAAATGGGAAAATAAAAACTATTTGAAAGCCAATAAATGAGAATTATTTATGAAATCTATAAGATCTGCTTGTTTATCTGCATGTCTATATGTGCTATGTGTATGTAACAAAATATGGTATGTAAAGCTAGTTTTAAAATTGTTGGTAAAATAAGAATGGGTTCTGAATTGTCAGTTAAATCTAATTCACACTTTTTTTTGCCTGAGTTTTCAGACAGGTTTATGATGTCTCTACTATATGTTTTAAGGTAATAAAACTGCTACTTCTGTAATATTTTCAATACTTGCTTGATTTGACCGTAAGCTTATGTTTTGGGATTTGGTTTTCCCATTGGCATGAGATGGCAATCCCTGTAATCACCAGCACTTTGGGAGGCGGAGGCAGGTGGATCACCTGAGGACAAGAGGGACATGTCCTCAGTTGCTACAGCACCAGCTATATGGCAGGGTCATGCTCATATGGCTCCATTTTTCCTGTCCCAGCCTTGCCTCCGGGCCATTTTGGGAAGAGTTGGATCCTCCAGGGATTGTCTTCACAGCTGTTTTCTGCCCTGAGCTCTCCGCCTGCTATTTAAATTTAGAATCCAAGTGGGCCCTGCCCTTCATAGTCATTCTGGTTGCTATATGGCTATTTGAGATTCAGAAGAACTGGCAAAGATATTAGGGAGGGTACCTGTGTCATAGTTTCAAAATTATTTTCATTCATATAAAATTTTAAAGTTAAGTTAATAGATAAACATAAAATGTATGAAACATTTATAAATAAGTTAAAATACTGAAATAATAATTAAACATAAATTCATATTTATATAATTTGGCATGTTATTTTTATATAGTATAGAAAATGTAAATATATTTAGATCTGTTAATAAGCATAAATTTGGAAAAGCATATATTTCTAAAATAATTATGAATTTGTTTACATCTACAAATACTGATATAAAACAATTCAAACTTATTTCATAGATTTTTCACTAGAAATTGGGCTTATTAAGAGTTACATATAATAAAAACTGCACAGTATAAGAAAAACAACTTTGCATACAGAGTGTATAAGGAAAAGCAAGATATGTTTTGGGGGAGAAAAATTGTAAAGGCATAAAAATGTGTTTTCTAGAAAAATTAATTTGGTTTAGTTTAAAAGTTACTTAAATTTTGTTTCAAATTGAAAAAAATTAAAAAGATATAGACAGAACTAAATGAATTTAGAAAGTTCAAAAGAGAAAAACATTTGTAAGCAGTTATAAAAAATTGGTGGAAATCTTACGTGGTCAAAAGCTGACTAAGAAAAGATGGATTTGTTTATAAGATTGTATTAAAATTAGCTTTAGTACTGGTAATATACTAATTCAAAAGTAAAACTTGGTTTTCTCTTTTGAAGAAGATTTTTGTGTTGTATTAAGATGAGATAGTAAAAAATTTTGTTCACCTTTTGAGTAAACTGAAAAAAAAAAAAAAGGAAGAAGTGCAGAGAGGAGAGCACATTATTTCTCATGCTGCCTTTATTGGGTCTTTTGATTAGATAACTGAATCTCTTCTCTATTGATGAATAAAGATTTTTGCTTTTTGTAACGTTTTAATTATTTATATTAAATATTTATATGTATCATTTAATTTAACGTTGGCCAAATAAATGACTATTATTTAATAGTGACCTGTGATCCTATTTTAGTCAAGTGTTTCAAACCTTTAACATATTTGACTGGCTTCCCTAAATCAAATTTCAAATTCAAAATTAAATATTTTTTCACCTAAAACTAACTTTGGGATGCTACAAAGGACGACTGCAGCATCAAAAAAGTGATTATCAGGCTTTTTTATATACTATTTTATATGGGAATCATTGTCAAATAAGAAGTTATGTATAATTTTCTTTGAGTTACATTTTAATGGATATATTATTAATATGTATCCCCAAATTACATGAGATTCCTTAAATTCTGATATGTTGTGGTATATGTTATCAGTCATAATTATGGTTCTTATGTTAAATTATTACAGGTCACAAAAATGACCAGACCTTCTTTTCAATTCCATCTTTAACCATGACCATATTAAGTCTCGTCCACAGTTAATGGCTTAATTCTCATACATTTCCTGAAAGCTATTTACAAGAAAATGGACTTATAAGTGTGGTGTCTTCCAGGAATTTTATAAAAAGAATAAAATAACCCTGAAAATCACTCTTCTATAAAAGTTTCTGATGATTTTAGGACCATATCATTTGGACAGGGTAAAAGTTTCCAGAACTCTATTGAAGACACCAACTAGTTACAAAGCTGCTAACCCAAGCAGAACAAGAAATAATTGAATGCCAATAAAACACTGTCAGATTTTCATGCTAAATCAGCCAGTTCAGAAATTATCTAGATATGTAATTTGGATGAACTCCATGGTCCAAGTCAAATTACCTATGATAAGCCATCTGATAAACAGTGGTATGGACTCAAATTGGAGAAACAAAATTGATAATCAGGAGGATATGCATTCAAAGTATAGACTCATGAAGAGCCTGGACAGCTGCCTAGTCCTTCCTGAGTCCTTAAAACATTCATTATTGAAAGCTATATACCACATGAATCCTCATGAAAAAGATAACATGATCCAAATAGAAAAAAAGATCTTTCTTTCTTTCTTCTTTCTTTCTTTCTTTCTTTCTTTCTTTCTTTCTTTCTTTCTTTCTTTCTTTCTTTCTTTCTTTCTCTTTTTCTTTCTTTCTTTCTTTCTTTCTCTTTCTGTCGGTCTTTCTTTCTTTCCCTTTTTTTTCTTTGATGGAGTCTCACTCTGGCTTGATCTTGGCTCACTGCAACCTCTGCCTCCCAGGTTCAAATGATTCTCCTGCCTCAGCCTCCCTAGTAGCTTGGACTACAGGCACACACCACCACACCCAGTTAATTTTTGTATTTTTAGTAGAAACAGGGTTTCACCATGTTGGCCAGGATGGTCTCCATCTCTTGACCTTGTGATCCGCCCACCTCAGCCTCCCAAAGTGCTGGGATTACAGGCATGAGCCACCATGCCCAGCTGGCTGGGCATTATTTCTTCAGTCTCCTTTTTCATGGTTTAAAGTAAATAAGACAATGATTAAAAATGCATTCCTCATAATAGACTCTATAACAGATTCTACTGCAAAGACTATAGTTGCACCACATACATCTATGATTCTCTTGCTAAAGTGGTACTAGATAATAGAATTTCTCTAGATTACTTATTGGCTCTACAGAAAAAATATCTGTACAGTTGACAACACTTCTTGTTGTACAGGAATTAATACATCAGGTATTATAGAGATTCAGCTGTAGGGGATTAACAAACAGGCTACTTGGTTGAAACAAATAAGACTCTTTATGTAGATCATTCTTTGATCTCTTTGATTTTTTTTTTAATTGGGTTTGGTTCATGGGGACTCTGGCTAAGGAGAATATGCCAAACTCTTGATGTCATCTCCCTGATATTTACGACATTAGTCACCCTAGTATATTGCATATTCTCAGAAGTTTAAATGTTTGCATGCAGCCACATGTAGCATATCAAATGGTCCCTCTTTGACTAGAATGACAAAAACTTAAAGAAATGCATCATCATGAGGAAACTGTATGAATGATACGCTGACACCAGAAAGCCAAAATGATGTTAACTAAGAGTAGTGCTAACACCTCAAGCCTTGGTCACACTCTCAACTAATTGACCAAAAGCAGGGGGATGTCAAACAAAATTACTGGAGGCCAATTATTTTTGACTGAGCTCATGCACTAGGCCCCTACAGAACACACCAGAACAAACCAAAATGAAGTCACTCAAACTAAATGACAACATAATCAAACTGAAACTTAAAAAATCAGATTGACCTCAAAACAGGCCATTTTTTTTCTTACTTAATATAGAAAACTCCAGCATAATAAGGAGGTGCCCTCTGATCTAATCTTTCCAAAAAGTAACCTAAGTTAACCTAAACTTCTTATTCCCTTACAAAACCCACTGTTCTGAAAGATCAGGATAACACTTACATTTATATTTTATTGACCAGACTTCGGTCACCTAGCCTAGCTACAAAACATGTCGGAAAATCTTCCCAGGTAAATATTTTTCCTGCTGAAAAGGAGGACAATGGAAATAGGTGAAAGATAATGGAGAGTCTCTTTCACATCCCCTCTGATAAACAATCACTGTAAATCTTCCTATAACCAAGCAATTTTAAGACTCTCAACTCTTGTCTCGCAGATAAGAAAATTGAGTTTTCAAACAGAGAGTAGAATATTTGTGGTTTCCTACCCTGTACCACATCTTTTGATCTCAAGAAGTTAGCCGTTCATGCCAAAATCTTCCTCAGATACCTAAAGCAAGGCTGGTGTATTGTGAAATAGCAGAGATGTGTGTTATGGAAACTTTCAGCTCAAGTTAAAAGCACTCAGAATATTTTGTGGTCATCATGAATATTTCTGGTACCTTTAGGGGCACTATGCTTAATTTTAAGTACATTTGGATGATACTATTCATTGAATAAATATTGAAATTAATGCATTCCAAGAATTGTGTTAGGTCTGATAATTCCTTTAAAAGAGAATAATACATCGTTTCAATTTTACAAGAGGTAAATTCTTAGTAAATGCATTCAAAGGGAATAGAGAGAAAGAACTGCCTCCACCTGTTTTGAGAGAGACAAGATTTAAATATATTCAACCACTAAAATAAAAGTGTTGAGGGTTATTTTCTCTTTGAAGTATTCTTCAACAAGTACACTTACCTGCAGAAGTATGCTTGACCATTTTCATGACTCAAGTATAAACATAAAAATGATGTTAACTGGAGATGAGTGTTTTTCATTGGAAAAAACACAGCGTACTCAAGTAGAGAGTGTGCCACGGCTAGAACAATAAGTTTCAATTAGTGCGTAGCCATAAGTCTTAAGGATATTTAATTTTCCCTTTTGTATGTGAAACACTGAAATGATGTGTGTTACCTGCAACATGCTTGACAAGGAAAGCCAGGCAGTGTGCTAATTCTTCTAGTGAGTTGCTGAAGGTGAGGTTGGACACAGAATCCTTTGGGATATGACTTGGTGGGCTATTTGTTACTCATCTTCTTATAACATGTATCAAAAAAGATAACATAAGCTACTTATTATACAACATAATATACGTGGTTTTAGACACACAGTTTAATTAAATAAAACTATTGGGCCTGGCACGGTGGCTCACACCTATAATCCCACCACTTTGGGAGGCCAAGGCGGGCAGATCACGAGGTTAGGTGAAACCCTGTCTCTACTAAAATACAAAAAGTTAGCCAGGCATGGTGGTGCGTGCCTGTAGTCCCAGCTACTCGGGGGGCTGAGGCAGGGGAATCGCTTGAACCTGGAAGGCAGAGATTGCAGTGAGCCGAGATTGCGCCACTGCACTCCAGCCTGGTGACAGAGAGACTCTGTCTTTAAAAACAAGCAAACAAACAAACAAAAAACTCTTGGATGAATTATGCATTGTTATAATCTGTTAGCCAGGGCATGGGTTGTAGGTGAACTGAATATAAATTTCATAGATTTAAATGCACTGCATTTGGACAAATATGCATTTTAGGATGAAAAATTGTACAATTTCAAACATTTAATATTAAACTTCAAATGGTTTATCTGCTTTCAGATTTGAGAACTAAATACCAAAGTCTTTTGTGATTGAAACACAATGATAGTTTGCCATTTATTGTATTTCATCACTTCCATTATTCACATGTATCTAATTTAATCAATTACTCTAATTATAGTCTTCTGATTAACAAAGGATATAAAATTACATTTCATTGAATTAAAAATGTGAGTATAGTATCTATTAATGTTCTCTGGTATCCATAAGTTAGAATGAGATTGTACTATTTTACTCAATTCAAAAATATTTCCATTTTTGCTGCCCCCTTTGTTTGGTATATTGTCTGTCTTCTGCACTGGCCCTAAAGATTTGTTGAGATTTATCAGTATCATTGCCACTGAAAAACAACATTTTTACAGCAATACCCTCTTTTAATATTTTAAGATTAAAAGATGCAGTATTTCAGATAGATGATTATGTTTCTAAGAATCCTTACCTTACTATATTGTAGCAATCTGAGGAAATCTAATTTTGCATTTGCTAAATATCCCTAAGTGCTTTATAGCTACCACAAATCATTTTGATACAGGGAAAACATAAGACTTTTATTACTATAGAGCAGATAATATTTAAAAAAGGTGTCTGTCATACAATTTTTTTCTAAAGAACTTTTTGTAAACAGTCATATTTAATTTTCATATCATTCTGATGCAACTATATTAAGATTTAGATTTTACAGATGAGAGAAATGAGATCCAGAGAAGTCAACAAACTTCCTCAATATTACATAACTTAGGGATTTCAAGTCTAAGACCATATAAGAGATCTTGTGAGTCTAAATCTAGTGTTCATTTTACTATACTACTTTGCATCCAGAAACTGATTTTTTCTGGGCAGGTCAGGCATACCTCCATGAGGCTCTTTCTCAGAAAAAATTTCATGGTTGGCAAAATTAAACTCAAACCCAAAATACACTGTCAGAGTCTGTTTGGACTGCTATAACAAAATACCATAAAATAGGCGGCATATAGACAGCAGAAATTTATTGCTCATAATTCTGGAAGCTGGGGATCCCAAGATCAAGGCTCTGGAAGATTCAGTGTTTGGTGAGGACCTACTTTGGATTAGAGAACTATCAGGCCTCTTTTATAGGGGTACGAATCCCACTGATGAGAGCTCTGCCACCATGACCTAATCACCCCCAATGGCCCTACTTTCTAATACCATCACCTTGATGGTAAGGATTTGGACAGAGGAATTTTGGTGGGGTGGGGAACGCACATAAACATTCAGACCATAGTGTGCCTGTCTTTTTACTTTATTTAGAGACCAAACACTTCCTTTTAACTGTTGCTTTATATTTATCTTTACCTTCAAATTCAGCGCCTTTAAAAAAAAAAGAGCTTAAATTCATTCTCTGTATTTTATGATTTTTCACTCCATCTTAAACCCTTTTCAGACTTCTGCCACTGCCACCAACTAAGACTGGTCAGTAAAAATGACTTTCTAGTGGCCATTCTTAACAGACTTTTAAAATCTGCCCTCTAGATCTATGAGGTATTTTTTTTTTACTTGACAGGTGCCTTTTCTAAAACCCTCTGTAATGGATTAAATTGTGTCCCCTCAGAATATATATTTTGAAGAGCTAACCCCACGTGACCTCAGAAGGCAACCTTATTTGGAAATAGAATTACTGCTGTGTAAATAGTTAAGATGAGGTTATACTGGAGTAGTGTGGGACCCTAATCTAATATGACCGGCATTCTTACAAAAAAGGAAAATTTGAGCACAGACATACCTGCATATAGGGAGGAGGCCATGTGAAGATGAAGGCATAACTTTTGGTGATTGATATGGTTTGGGTCTGTGTCCCTGCCCTAATCTCACATCAAATTGTCATCCCCTGACGTGAGGTGGGCCCTGGTGGGAGGTGATTGGATCATGGGAGCGGATTTTCCCTTTGGTGCTGCTCTCATGATAGTGAGTAAGTTATCGCGAGATCTGGTTGTTTAAAAGTGTGTGGCGCCTCCCCAATCCCACTTCCTCCTGCTCCGGCCATGTAAGATGTGCTTGCTTTCCCCTTCACCTTCCACCATGAGTGTAAGTTTCCTGAGGCCTCCCCAGCCATACTCCTGTATAACTGTGGAACTATGAGCCAATTAAAGCTATTTTCTTTGTAAATTACCCAATCTCATGTATTTCTGGGTAGCAGTGTGAGAATGGACTAACACAGTGATGCTTCTATTCATCAAGGAATGCTAATGACTGCAAGGAAACCCTTGGAAGCTAGGAGACACATAGAACAGATTCTCCTCATAGTCCTCAGAAGGAGCCAGCCCTGCTGACAAGTTGATCTCAGGCTTGTAGCCTCTAGAACAGTGAAATAGTAGTATCTGTTACTTAAGACCCTCACTTTGTAGTATTTCCTGCAGTAGGACTGATGAACTAATATATCCTCCCAATTTTATTTTCCTTCTATAAATTCACTATTTTCTCTAGGCTCTTTTATCATTTATATGATTTTCTAGATGTCATAATAATTTAAATTTGCCATCTAAATCTAAATTATTCCTTGTCAATACCACAAACACTGGTCCTCTACCATAATCTGTTCTTGAGTATCACACATATTTGGTAAATAATATTAAAATCTCATAGTTTCAACTACCACCCATTTATATATACAAACCACCCACGTCTTCTAAAATCCAGGTACAAATTGTCCAACATATCTAAAACTATGTTTATTATATTTCTCTACCTTCTTACCTATCCTCTATTTCCTCTTTTGGTGTAAGTAACCCATTTGACACAGTTACCCAAGCAAGAAATCTGAAGGTCTATTTAGATTCCTCACTTAACTTCATGACCTACATTTAAATGGTAAATAAGCTTTGGAAATTATATCTCCTTAATATTTCTTGAGTAAATTTATCTATTTCAACTACCTTATTTCCTCTCCTGATAAACTGCATTAGTTAAATAACTTCCTGCTTTTTGCCCTTTACTCCTCCAATTAATGGATTGAAGTCTGACAACGCTAAGACACAAATAAATCATGTCCTGAATTGTTGGTCTATGACTCCATTATTCTGGAAACCTTTCTGTAATGGTAGTATACTACATTCCCACCCCTACCTTCCCATTCTGTTTTGTGAAATATAATATAGTGTATGGTGACTCTCAATACACACTAGTGAAAATAACAGTTTTAAAATCCAATTTCTTTATGCAACACATCTAAAGCTTTTTAGCATCTAAATCACAATCTCTTTAACCTTAAATAAGAAGTAATGCATTTCAATTTCTGTTCTTTTGTGATGATGAAATGTTGCAGATTTAAATCAATTTTCATTAGCATTTTCATCATCTTGATAGGTTTAAAACACCCAATACAAAGACTCTTTGTCCCGTCTACTTTATATATTTTACTTCCTATCCTTTCTAAAATACACACACACACACACACACACACACACACACACACACACACACATACATGCACAGTCCTCTGTCTCTCTTTTTCAACAGTTTCAACATGCTATAGACATATGAAACATATTTTTGAGTATCTTTTTTAATGTCTTTTTGTGGAAGTCTGGATGAGACCTACTGAACATGTTTGTATTTATCTATAGGTAACTCATTAAAAGAAAAAATTTCAATTTTATAGGAAATGTGTTAGAATACTTTTAAAGGTCTTTTGTAATAGCATTTCTGAACTTCAAATGGAATTTTTATATTTTGGCATTTAGCATTCTTTGTCATCCATTTATTAAGCAAGTTAACTTGCTTTTGTTGCTTGAACTTTGGTGTTCTATTTATATATATCCACATGGCACAAATTTATTCCACAAAAAATTTCATGATAGCACAGAAATTAATTATATTCTTAGAGTTCTATAATTTTTTGACCTGTATAATTCTAATAGAATCTTTTTTTGCTGGTTTTTGGGGAAGTAGGGAACAAGAAAATCACTTGTATCCTTATAAGTCAGATGCTACCTTTCTTTCTGCGATATATTTAATATTGTAAATAAAATTACCTATTAACAGTTTCACTGTTTTGTTTTTTCTAACTTATCTTCAAACATTAAACCCTCCAATTTTTAATACAATAAGCAAGATTTCCTTCTGGGACTGGTTCTTAGAAACTAAAAAATACATTTTCTTAGACTATCAGAGGTCTCCTTCATCAAAAAAAGTCTGCCATACTCACACAGTCATTAAGACCAATGCAACCTTGGAAGATTTTAACTAATTACAAACTGTCAATTAAGGAATGAATTAAAATTAAAGGAGATAACATGGGACAGGCTTGACAGTATGGAAAGGTTATTTGGGTAGTTTTACTTTTATTCTTTAGCCCATACTTTATAGAAAGCTGCAATTTTCCTAAGAAAGGAAACTGGAGGAGATTTAAGCTTGTGTAAGTCACTTAACCTTTTGGGTATCTGTTCTCTTATAAAGGAAACGGTAAGAATGGATTATATAATACCAAAATCTCTTCCAGCTTTAACATTCTATGTTCCAATACATATTAGTAAGGGCTGTCAAAATCTATCAGTCCTGGTGGTATGTGATGTCAATGGCTAGCAATATAGAGAATAATACTGATGATGATGATGTTAAAAACTACTATTATTGAGTGTCATTTACCTGCATAATTAACACATTTGACTCCCTAATTTTTCTATGAGGTGAATATAAGATGAATATTATTGCCCTCCATTTTATAAATGAGAAAATTGAGGCTCAGATAATTTAACTAATATGCTAGCATCATAAAGTCCACTGCCAAAGCTAATCATTTCAAATACTAGGCTATATAAATAAAGTATTACTAGTGCTCACCAGTACTTTATTTTCTTTCCTTCTGTGTACAAATATGGCTGCAGTTTTAACAACCTGAAGTTTATTATGGCCATGTGACTAGGTCTGGCCAATGCCCGTGATTTATGATACAATGACAGAATTTATGGGTATAATTTTTTTCCCCCAAAGCATAGAGAACCCAGTAGTGACTTTACAGATCCCTCTTTCTTTGAGGTGCCCACCAAGGAGACAGAATATTTCAGATGGTAATGATCCAAGATGGTGGGGCTTTCCAATTCTGAATCACTCAGTTGCTGCTCACAGAAAAATGTTCCTTATCTGAATACAGACTTTGCTTGAATAAATTGTAAATCTTTGTTTTTCAATCCACTGAAAATTTTGTATTTTATGTTACCAAAACATAACCTATCCTATTGTGACATAATCAAGATGTTGTTTTCTTTAATACATGCTAGGGGCATGAAGCTTCGTTTGTTTTCCATATTATTGGTTTTATCAGTGTTTTTTGACATAATCTGCCACTTGGTAGACGGCACTGGCTAGCAAGGAAAAATGCTTAACCGTAAATCATTCTCTTCTGCTAGATTTTCTCTCATTTTCTCACTCCCATCTCTTAAACCTTTTAATCCTTCCCTACAACCTCTTAAACCTTTTAATCCTTCCCTACAACATGACTTTGGTAGACACATGTGCAAGCCCACTTAGAAATCTTAGTCTTTTTTTCAACATTGGCTAATAATTAAAAATATATTTGATTTATCATAATGATATTTAATAGCTTTGTGACTCATCAAAGTCAACTCTCAGACTAAATCAGGGAACTAAAACAAGTATGACTATTATGGAATTAGGGTTTATTATAGGATTAACAATTTCTAAAATTCTGTATATTGCTGGAGATGTGAAGTTCTAAGAGGGAGAATTGGAGGACCTAAGAAAACTCAGTAACAAGCGCTTTCGAAACCCGGCAGTTTGCTCTGCCCAAGTGGTCCTACCAAGGAGACTTGGTGAAGAAGATCATTGAACAATCTACCTCTGCACCTGCGATGGGCCTTGGGTTGCTTTTGGTCAGCAAGGTTTGTGTTCAGGAAGAAGAGCTGGACATGGAGCCTAGGAGAGTAAGAACAAGCTAGAATCTCCCCATACCTTTTTATTCATTTCTCATGGCCTTTAATACAAAACTTTCAAAGAGTAAAGACTTCTGGTTTACTTTCACCTTCCAAAACTCAAAAAAATTTCCCTTTGAGTCAATTAAATAAGTACCCTATAGGGTAGGAGATTCCAGGTAACAGTTCTAAATTTAGTCAAGGAGGCAATGCAGAAAAGTGCTACAAATCAGTTTTTTCTCCTGTGCTTTAATTTTTTCATTTTTAAATGTTTGATATTGCTCTATAAACCTTATGTTATAGTTATGGGAATAATATGTGAATGTACACTGAAAACCATCATAATAAAAAAAAATTATTATTGTTTCCAAAATGATTGTGACAACATATTTTAAATGATTTATCTAAGCAAATAATTTTGTGTAAATAAATATTTCATACTATTTAAAAATAGAGGTTTCAGAAAACAGTGTGTGCTTAGCTTGTCATTTCTGTATGTCTTCGTCCTACAGTGGGAAATTAAATATTTTAAGTTTACACAACATGCTACATACATTCTCAAAGAAAAAAAAAGTTCAATAGGCACCTGTAAACGAAATCTTTACTAGTGACTTCTAAGATAATGTATCATTTATTCTATATTGGTAATGTATATGTATACAGAAGAAGAGATGAATAGCTTGTAAGTTCTATTACATAGAACAACAAAATGTATGGGCCACCAAGAAAATATAAGTGTGGCTTTGACTGTTACATAGCTTTTGCTCTGATAAAATTAGTTGGAGGAAAACTTAGTGCTTTTGGTTTTCAATAGCCATGACTTTTAAATATTTACATACTTAAAGTTTAGCTAATTAACACCGAAACTAACATACATTTAAACCAATAACTTTCACTTCTGAACAAAAACATACAGAAAGTGACCATAAGACATACAAATGATATTCTGCATAAACTTTTGAAGTTGTACTATATTTCTCTTGGAAATGAATAGAATGTTCAACATTATCTTTTCTACTCTTATCATATGACTAATTAAAAAAAGGAAGTTACCCAGCTGAAATAAGGTAAATTATATTGATCATGAATAAATCATCTGGAGATCTTATTGAACTTTTCATGTACCAGTTTTGTTATTGTTATTTTTTTGTAGCAAAGCTGAATTACGACAAACTACTGTAAAACATATTTTACCTATTATTTAAATATTTCTATGATTTAAAATTACACAAATGTTGATTATAGTATATTCAAAATCCATTTGAGAAAATATTTGCAAAACCTAGTCATAACAAAGCAAACTGAGAAATTGAAATTTCATTTCAGACAAAAATCAAAGGAAACTTTCAAAGACACTATTCAAATTAAATCTATGGCTGTATTTCCATAATAAACTTTTAAACAAATCTGAGCTAGGCCTTGTGACTGACACTGTAGACAGACCAAGACTCAAGCTATAGTTTCCAACTTGAGTATACAGTCTTCTAGAGATAGTGAAAGACATAATCAATAATCATACAGTGTGTAAGTATTTGATAAGGACTATTCTAAAAATGAGGCAATGAAGAAACCTTGTCTGTGGTTTCATCAGAGATAGAGAGATCAGAGCAATTGCTTTGGGCCTGAACTTAAAGAGATTTTGTGTAGTTATACATAGTTGTAAACATGGATGTGTGGATACAGTGTGTTTATGTGTTTGTATGTGCAATGTGTGTGCTCATGCATGCATGTATGTGTTATGGAAAGAGATATGTGTTGGAAGGAAAGTTAGCTAATTTAGTTGATACTAAAAAATGGAACATACATACCAATTCACTTTGAGTATTTTACTAAGAATTATTGAGAAAACACTGAGAAAATGAATAAAAATTACAGTATTTTTCAAACTTTTTAAACCCAAAGTCCTTATTTATTTTTCCAGATTCATTTCATTCTTAAAGTTGGTAACAGATCCTGCCTTTTAATATGATGATGGAGTAAAGATAAATCCTTGTGTGAACTTGATTAAAATTGAAATTTGCTTTCCTAAGGTCCTCAAAACTGAATTGTCTTACCCTGATCAAAAGTGGTCCTCTGTGCACTGACTCATATGGGGTAACTTAATAGGATTTCACATTGTGTAATTTAGACTATATATTCATCTAATGATACCAGATTCATTAAAAAAAAAGAGAGAGACAAACAAACTCTCAAATCTCAATCCTCTGCCATGATTATTCATACCTCTCAGATGACTAGTGATCCTAAAATGATGACACAAATCAATGTGAATTTTCATAGTATGCTTATAGCATTTATGAAGATCTAATTCATTATATCTAATAGTTAATGTAACTCCTTCCAAGAGCATTACTACATTGGAGAAAGTCCACAGAAGATGAGTCACTGGAACTCATCTTTGTTGCTGTTTTTCAATGAGTCTGAGCAGTATTTATATTTCTTTTTGAACTCAATGATTTTAAAAATACATGTCTTAGTAAAAGAATATAACTAATTCTTTTTGTTGGCTATTACTATATTGATGACATCTATATGTGTCTTACACCATGTCACCCAGCCAGCCAGCAAACATTTATAGAGTGCCTAATATATAGCAGGTACAGTGCCAAAAGTCACTGACACAGAGCAGTAACAAACATGTCAGTCTTGAGTCAAAGGCTGATTTATTTTATTTCTAACCATTATAGTTCACTTAAGTCTCTAACTTTTAGTGGGATTTTTTAAGTAGAATTCAGAAAAGTTTATTATTTTGTGTTACGAGAGGTGATATTGTTTGGCTCTGTGTCCTCACCCAAATCTCATCTCGAACTGTGGTCCCCACATGTTAAGGGAGAGACCTGTAATACCCACATGACAAAGGAGGAAGGTGATTGGATCATGGAAGCAATTTCCCCATGTGGTTCTTGTGATACTGAGTGAGTTCTCACAAGCGCTGACAGTTTTAAGTGTTTGAAAGTTCCTCCGTTCTTTTCTCTCCTGCCGCCTTGTGAAGAAGGTGCCTGTTTCCCCTTCCACCATGCTTGTAAATTTCCTGAGGCCTCCCCAGCCATGTGGAACTGTAAGTCAATTAAACCTCTTTCCTTTATAAAGTACCCAGTCTCAGGTATTTCTTTAGAGCAGTGTGAAAATGGACTAATATAGTATATGTTAGAATGTTCTTTGCCATTCTACCCATTTCCATGAAAGGAGTATATTTCTCCTCTCTTCAACTTTGGGCTTGAACTTATAGCTTTAGCCTGTGGGATATCAGCCGATGTGCTGTAAGCAGAGGTTAGAAATGTGCTTTTGCACTGGACTTTCTCACCTGCCTTCTGTCTCTACTACCAGGACATGTTGAGTGGTTTGATGGTCCTGTGGGGTAGTGGAGGAGCACAGAGCAGACATCCACCTTTACCCATGGCCTGGAACTAAAACTAGCCAAGGACAGCAGAGGTCTGCAGAGCTGGCATGACAGTTTGATACCCCCAAATAATCTATAAGCAAGTAAGTAAGCAAAAATGCTTATTCTCATAAGCCTCTTAGGTTTGGGGTGCTTTGTTGCAGATTGATAGCAGACAGACACACAAAAAAATCTGACACCAGATTTTTTTGTGGTTCTTATATTTAAAAATATCTACAAGGTTGTAAATATTTGTTTGTTCTTTTTAAAAATACATAAGAAATATTAAGGTTGTGCATTTTATATCATGATTTGACTTTGATTTTAGAGCCAGGTGACAAAGGTAGAAACCAGTAAAGATATCATGAAATGAATAATTTTATTCAGCAAAATTCATCTATGATAATTTCTTGAGTGGTCATCCATTCGATAAACAAATTATTCCTCAGAAAGCTCTGTAACTACCCTGTATTTAGCCAGATTATATACATATGGGAGAGAGTGATGAAGTGGTTTCTTGATTTCAAAAAAAAGTATGTGTCTGTATGTATGAGAATTTTTCTTTAAAGTTTTATTTATTTTTTAATGTTCACTTGGCTCCAAATGTGATAAATAGGCAATATTCACATAAAGATTCAGGGCCCTTCAGAGAGAGAAATTTATTCTAGAGTTAAAATTGTTAACAAGCAATTATTAACCACTTAATATAAGGAACACATTCTTTTTTACATGCCTCTAGTCCTTAGGGCAATGGCTTATACAATGTTGATAAACCACATATGTACACTAAACAGGAATATGTGATTAAAACAATGATGGCATTTATAAATATATAGTTAATGAAAAGTTAAGTGTTCGGGAGCCTCCTCGTCTGCTCTGAAGAACAGTGATGGCACTAACAGCTGACACATTACACTTGGCCAAATCAATGACTTTCTCAATAACAAATGTGTTCTTGATTTCTGCATGTTGATGTCACGGACCCAACTGCAACTGTAAGATGTTCTGGATATACACGCAGAGAGTAAGTCAGTCCAAGTAAAGAGAAATAGCTTGATTATATCTCAGTAAATGTACAGAAAACAATTGTGAGCTAACGGGTCGGGTAAACTGTTACATGACACTATCATTTATCTATTTGTCCCAGACAAACAATGTAGCTTGGAAATTTGAATGGGTGCTAAAAAATTAAATGACAAGGTGGAAAATAAGAAGTGTTGAGGATATTCCTGGATAAAGAGTCACTTTCTATAAATTCTTATTTCTGAGTATTATCCAAAAGTCTGAGCAAAATTTTCTATAAACCACGTTCATAGGGGAAATCCAGTACCTTAGTTTCATTAGGCTTCCTTTCTATTCACAGTACAAAGCTGAAAAAAAGTTTGTTTCATTCTATGAAAAAAAATTGTAATATATAGATGTTCCTCGTTATCTTTAATTATGCCCCAACTTCTATCCCCTGAGGTGAAAGCCAGATGATTTTGTATCAAGTTAACTTAGTGAAACCATGGCAAAGAACAATTCTATTAATGTCTCAACAGTGGTAAATGATCTATAAATAATTCAAAACTTTATAGATTTCACAATATTCACACTAACCAGAGTTCCCATAAAATTAATTAATGTAAAATATACTTAAGCCAGAATTTGCATCTTTGCAGGTATCCATGATTTCCTAAAGGGAGATTGAACTGGCAGAAAAATTTCCTCAGCACTTTGCATCTCTCCCCAGAACCTGGGCCTGCAGAGATAACATGAAAAGGAATGAAGAGAAAGGTGACAGAGCATGATGCAAACAGTTTTCTGGGTAGAGGTTATGTATGACATGATGTTGAACTGCTGAGGTTCCTACAGACTGTATTCCCATCTCTCTCTTTATTCGTGGGGGTGGACACACACACACACAACTCCTCAAAGGTATCTGTCCACCACAATTTTATAATATTTTACCTGTGAATTGACATAAGTCCTCATCTATTCTTTCCTCTTCCTTCTGATTTTAATCAAAGAAGAAATATTCCTGATTTTGACCAAGGTTCTATTTCTAGCCTTGCTCAGTCTTATTTTGCCCAGTCCCTTATCTACTTTTCAGGAAAAATATAACTGCTGCTTCCCACATTGTCAGCCTCTCCTTTACTGCATCCTTTTTATCAATGTTTATACATGCACATGTCTCTTTCCCTGAAATAAAAAAGCTAAAGATAAAAGTAGGGAGACAGAGAGAGAAAAGAGAGAGAGAGGTTGGAGAGAGATGAGAAGAGGAGACATACACATAATGGCTAAAGATATATACATATCTTTATATATATTATATATATTTATATATATTATATATTTTTATAGATATACAGATAGATATAGATATATAATTTTAGTGAGAACAGAAGAGGCAGAGAGGCAGACAAGTAGATGCAAGGTAGGCTTGAATATGTACAGAAATAGAGGTATAGTATTTAGGGCTGCTATTAGAGATTGAAGTGTTCAAGAAGAAAATGATAAATGAATCTTCAAAAACAAACTGTTATGTAATTAGTGCTTGAAGTTATAAAAAATTTTATCAATTTGGAAGAATGCTCTTTCCCTCCTGTAAAGCTACTTCCTATATTATACATTTCAGCCTTTACAGTAATTAGGATACTTCCTGGGACCAATCCAAATGAGAAAAATGGCAAAGAAGATATAAAAATCTCCTGGGAGATTTTGGGGTAAAATTTATGGAATACATTTGAGGTCTTCCAAGAAATGGAATAATTATCGATGACATACCTGCTACATAATGGAAAACATAGGAGAACCCTAGATAGTAGAGAAAAAAAAGGGATCAGCACTAATATATGTTGTCAAAGTAAATGGTAGATTAGAATTCAATAATCATAAAAAGCTAGGAAAGAACACATGTTCCTACCCTCAAACCCTTGTTCATTATCTTATTCATTTATTAAGTCATTTCACATATCTTTACTGAGGTTCACTGCGTAAAAACCACAGCGTAATGTGTTGAGAATGCAGATATAAATACAGCTTAGCCCTGAACTGATACAACGTACATCACGGTAAGGAAAACAGACAAGAAAGGGGCAACAGCAAAGCTGTTCCTGAGTACATGAATAGCAGTGTACGCAACGTATCAAGAGGATGTGAGGCAAGGGAGCAGAAGTCAGCATGAAAGGTCAAAGAATTCATCTCAGTGGAGGTGAGATTTAAGGCGTAGTTTAAACGCTGAGTAAGAGTCCACCACGAAGACGGGGTAAAGAAGAGCACAAGGCCGGGCGCAGTGGCTCAAGCCTGTAATCCCAGCACTATGGGAGGCCAAGGTGGGCGGGTCACCTGAGGTTGGAAGTTTGAGACCAGCCTGACCAACACAGGGAAACGCCATCTCTACTAAAAAATTTAAAAAATATAAACATTAGCCAGGCATGGCCGTACATGCCTGTAATCCCAGATGCTTGGGAGGCTGAGGCAGGAGAATCGCTTGAACCCGGGAGGCAGAGGTTTTAGTGAGCTGAGGTCGCACCTTTGCACTCCAGCCTGGGCAACAAGAGCAAAACTCCATCTCAAAAAAAAAAAAAAGAAGAGCACAAGTCTGTAGTAACAACATTAATTTAACCTAGAATGATTAAAGAACTTAATCTCACATACAACACAGACATTTTATCTTCTCTTCCAGTGCTATGCCCTCTACGTCACAATTACCTAATGAATTTAAACAGTGTGGGTAATTAGTGCAGATATTGAATTGAATACATTCTGAACAAAACTGCTAATAGGTTTATATATATTTTGATCTCTTCTTTTGTACATAGAAGACACGTGACAAAATCATTTTTTTTTTGTATAAATAGTCAACTCTGTTGTCTTCATAGGTGATATAATTTGGGTATGTGTCCCACTGAAATATCATGTTGAATCGTAATCCCCAATGTTGGAGGTGGGGCCTGGTGAGAGGTGATTGGATCATGGGCGTGGACCCCTCATAGCTTGATGCTGTCTTCCTGATAGTAAGTGAGCACTCACAAGATCCAGTTTAAAAGTGTGCTGGCACCTCCCCGCATCTCTCTTACTCCCACTCTGGCCATGTGGCATGCCTGCTTCCCCTTCGCCTTCTGCCATGATTGTAAGCTTCCTGAAGATCTCACTAGAAGCAGAAACCAGCACTATGCTTCGTGTACAGCCTGCAGAACCGACAGCCAATTAAATCTCTTTTCTTATGAATTACTAACCTCAGGTATGCGTTTACTGGAAGGCAAGAACAGCAAAATACAGTAGGAATGATTCCCTACAAACCCTCTTTTTCCTCTCCCTTCACCCACCCATCTTGATATACTGAACCAGTTGTTCTTTTATACTTTTCGTGCCAGACCAGAGAGAAACCAGTCTCCTAGGAGAGAATTTAATAGAGTGAAGAGTAAGTGTTTTTCCATACAGGGGAGCATTAGATGACATTGTGCTACAGGTGTGCACTGTTATTTTTACCTTAGAATCTGCAAAATGTAAAGGATCTCTCCTCGTCCTTGTTTGTACCCATCAAACATGTCCGGACAATGGAGCACATTTTGCATTATTATATTCCTAAAACATGGAACCGTTAGCAGCTATATTTTGATAAGGACATATGTGCTAGACACTTGAAGACCCAGGACCAGCTCTTTCTCTGCCAGTAACTTACTAACTCAGCAGTTAAGTCATGTCATTTCACAAATGTGGACATCATTTTCTCTTCTGGGAAATGAAGTTGGATTGGGTGAGCTCTAATTTTTCTTCTACTTTTTAACATTGTGTGTCTATGATCTTATAATAGCAATATGAAATTCCTCCAGGTTTCATAATAAATATAAATATAGCAAAAAATCATATTAATTTTGCCATCAACATATAAGCAATAAAGCACCAACTTATTCTCAATTTCTTTTTTTGGGTGGGGATGGAGTTTTGCTTTTGTTGTCCTGGCTGGAGTGCAATGGCACGATCTCGGCTCACCGCAACCTCCACCTCCCGGGTTCAAGCAATATTCCTGCCTCAGCCTCCTGAGTAAGGGGGATTACAGGCATGTGCCACCACGCCCAGTCAATTTTTTTTTTTTTTGTATTTTTAGTAGAGACGAGGTTTCTCCATGTTGGTCAGGCTGGTCTTGAACTCCTGACCTCAGGTGATCCGCCCGCCTTGGCCTCCCAAAGTGCTGGGATTACAGGCATGAGTCACCACGCCCGGCCTGCTCTCAGTATTTTTAAACCTTCTATTTCAAGGATTAGTAAGTGAAGGTCCATGAATCTTGCTTCAGTGAGACCTTATAAGTATTTTGAATATTATTGTATGTATCTGTTAGTATATGTCTGTGTTTAAGTATGTATATAGATCTCTCCCATAATATACAGCATGAATTTTGGGAGAGATCAATAGCTGTCCTCAGACTCCAAAACAGGTCTGTGATCTTATTTACCTGTTCATTCTACCCCACCCTCAACACCTGCCAACTGCTGCCCCTTTCCTACACACATAAATCATGAACTATTGTTATAATCTTTGTCTACTATGTGTGTGTTTTATTTTAAGAAGTTGCATCAGCCACAGTCCAACCAAGAAAACAGAAACCAATCTATTATTTCAAACCGAGGGAAGAATTTAATAGAGTGAATTGTCCACATAGTTCATAATAAAGCTGACAAACCAATAGGGGGCAATGAAAAAATCTGCTGATGACCTACCTATCACAGGAAGCTGCTGGAACCACAAGGCTGGAGGGACTAAGGCAATAAGCAGTGCTACCAGAGCACAGAGGACCAGATCCAAAGCTGTAACCCCACAGGACCTGAAGCAACAGAGGTGGTACATCTGGAGATTGTTCTGAAGACCTGAAGATACTGCCCTCGCTGGCTGAATAAGCGTCCACTCCCCCGTGAAACCACACAGAGTAAACAGAAGGTATGGAGTGGCTCTGATCATAACAAATCCGGGAAAGCTGTTAAGTTTAGAATGAGTATGTCCACTCCTGCCCTTCTTAGAGTTTTCTCTATTTCTCGTAATGATATCACAACCATTTCTAGCAGTTATGCAGGCTCTAAAACTTTGAGTCCTCCTTGGCTTTTCCCACCACCTTTGCCCCCCAGATTATATTCATACTAATTATATAATATCTCAGTTTATACTCCTTTCATGCACTAACAATCTCTTACATAGTTTTTTCTCATTAACATCCAAATTGGTCATTATTCTTCTAGCTACATTTCTCTTCTAACATATCATTTCGCGGTCTCCATATCAACCTTCCTAATCCCAATTCTGATCACATCACTCTCTTATCCACCCAGATTTTATAAAAGACTAGATGAAGTTACAAGGCATGATTACTTTAGAACCTGATTCCTACCTTTTGTAGACTTTTAAAACTCATCAGTGTGAACTTTCTTATGGCACAAAGGACTTGTATGAACACTGTTCTAAGAGGCCAGACCAAACTTAAGCCCAGCTTCCACCTGCACTAATCTGTGTCCCTAAAGGTGACCCTGGCCACGAATACTGAGGTTTTTCTAAAAAAAATGCAATACTACCAAGCTGCAAAATGTACATTGACCTACATGAACCCACATTGCGAAGCCATTTTCAGTAATTCTCCATTTACTCCCTTCTATAATCTTCCTTTTCCCATATCCTCCTAGTCCCTATTCTTTCCCGTTTCATTTCCCCCATAGCTCTTTTTTTTTTGTTTCCTTTCTGTTCTCCCTGTGAAAACTTCAGTCACTTTTGTCTTAGTTGGAGCTGAGGCAATTTTACAACAGATTCAGTCTCCCATACCGCAGTGGTTTGAATGGGAATGTCTGGCTGCCTTTAGCAAGTATCAGGCACTGTATGTCTTTGACATCAGGCATGTATCTGGTTGAATGACATTTCTGACATTTCTCTGTACACTGCTCCACAGCATACCCACACTTGTATTTTTATTTCCGATGTGCCTTTGGTCTGGAAAAATGTTTTCTCTAAAATCGACATGCCCAAATATATGTTCATCTTTGAAGATCTGATCAAATGCAACTCTTTGTAGTTAACTTATTGCCTATTCAGCCTTAGTTATGAATCCTACTCTCCTCTTGGGTACATTCAAGCTGTGCTTTCTGCTTCTAACCTTCTTATGAGTGGAAGAGTCAATTTTACTATTTGTATACAATTTCCACAAAAGAGACCTGTGTCTCTTCCTCATTGGATTATTTAATACCAGTTCAATAATTTCCATGGCTCTTTTTTGTTTCTTCTGCCATGACAAACAATAGTGCTAAGAGTGGCTGTTCTGTCACTGGGTTCTGGAGTTGGAATAAGAAAAGTAGAGGCTCTAACTGACCGTCAGGGAGCATAAAGGCTTTCATAGTTTTACATGAGTGAGATTTTAAAAGTTTTGTTAGCACACTAAAATGTAGCCTAACATGACTATTTATTTGACTGTACTTTTGGGTAATTTTAGACTTTCTAAAATGGAGTATAATTATTTATGTATGTATAATGTTTCTTCTAGTAGACTGGAAAGCTTTAGTGATAGTATTTGCTTTTGAAAATACTTTACAAAGAGTAGACATTTGATAAGTATCTTTTATCTTTTCTTATCAATGACTACAAAAATAAATAAACGAATTGTTATATGATTATATGACTGTTCTCTTTTATCTGTATTCTCAGTCTAGAACTGCATTTTTAAGGCATACTTTGTATTGCATGATCCTGTATGCCCTCACTGAGGCAGCTGTACATTTTGCTTCCTAAGAGTTTCTTTGTACTGTAAAGGAGACGGGCAAATCATTATCGATATACCCATAAGTTTTTTTGTACATTTCCGAGATGTGTTGGCTGGTTCAGGATTGGCCTTGATTATACTTGGAATGAAAGCACCAATACAGATTTAGAAAATGCTGACACAGTATCACTGACTTATATATCTATAACCAGTCTGTTTCCAATTTTATAAGAAGATCTAGTTGGCAGTGTTAGCATTTTTCAAAAGTTGAAAGCAATAGGAAATAACCTTAGGTTTAATAGGCTTGTTTTGCTAACAATGAGATTTTTTTTCTATGAAAATTATTGATTCACTTCAACATTCTGCCATAGATAGCATTGTCAAAACTGTTTATTATTTGAAAATAGAATTGATGCTCAATAACTAACATTAAATTAGGGGAATATTGCTATAGATAATTCAAATATATGGACAGTTGCCAGATCAACTGCTTCTTTTTGTGAATACATATATATACATATGTGAATATGTTTTTATATATTTATTTATATATTAATACATACATATATAAACACATATTTATATACACACATATTTATATTCTTTAATTGTTTTGAGACCAGGGTCTCTTTCTGTCAACTAGGCTGAATTGAAGTGGCACAACCTTGACTCACTTCAGCCTCAGCCTCCTGGGCTCAAGCAGTACCCCCACCTCAGACTCCTAAGTAGCTGGACTACAGGTGCGGTACACCATGCCCGATTAATTTTTTTTTTAAGTTTTTGTAGAGATGAGGTCTCACTATATTGCCCATTCTGGTCTTGAACTCATGGGCTTAAGTGATCCTCCTGTCTTAGTCTCCCAATGTGTTGGGATTGCAGGTATGAGCCACCACAGTGCCCTTCTCTATTCTTTTAAACCAATCACTTTTCAACAACATGATCCGATTACCATAGGAAGTCCTGGTTCAAGATAAAGCTACCACCTTTAATTTTTTATTTCTTTACTCTAGCTTTAAAGCATTTGGTTGCTGGAAATTGAAGTTCATTTCAGTAAACTCACATAAGTTGGGGTTTGTTGAAGGTCTTCCATGGGGACTGAATGGTAACAGAATGTAACTGTTCCTTATGGAAAGAAGAGTTTGACCCTAGAAAATAAGTAAATGAGGCTCCTGATTTTATTTATCTTTTTGGCACTGCATGTGCTTCTGTCTTTTGTTATTATTTGTGCCTGATCTGTTCTTCTGCTCTCTTAGCAAATCACTTTATCTCCATTGTTGAAAATTACCTCTGCAAAGCTTGTCAAGGTAGCCTCTGGTTAATGAAGTCACAATTTCTGGTCTAAATTTTTTGGGTTTTTTGTTTGTTTGTTTGTTTGTTTTGGCATCTGTAAATTCTTTTTCCCGTTATTTTGAAAAATTCACCATGGTCTTTGGGTGTTCATTCAATAACCAAAATATTCTAACTAGAGAATAGAGATATGGGAGAATAGATAACTTCATACATCAAACTCTGATGGGTGGAGCAAATTGAACTATTAAAGAATATTGACTTTAATAATTTAACTTATGTGTGTATGTATATTTTAATTTGATTGATAGCTAATATAGGAGGATTGATAGGTGATTTCATCATCCAAGAAAAAAATATGTATAAGAAGCCAATTTCATAAGAGTAAGGTACCACATTGATTATTCTACCTATATCATTATAAACAATATTTGACTCAAAATACTAAATTAATTTACTTTAGCAATGTATGATACTAATATTTGGCACTAACTTAAAGATTATTTCAAAACCTCTCTGAAAAATATGTGTTTATGTGTTTTCCATGTTTATTTTTATGTATTTCACACATTTATACCATAATAATTATATTTATTTACAAATAAATGCCAGTGTTCTTTCTTAAAAAGAATCGTTGATAGATGTTTCTAAACACCTCCAGCAAAGTTTTACAGTATCTAAGTAGGCTAAAATTGGAAATTATCCATTGATATATCAGGAGCTAATTTTATTTATAAAAATACATTTTATCTTTAAAGGAAACTTCTATTTTTTCTGAAATATTCAGCATTGTAACATAAGTAAATTCTTACTGAAAAGAATATCATAAAAAGTAATCATCCATAAATATTTTGTTAGAAATAGATTAGTCTCATATTTAACCACTAAATTAGGATGCTGAATACTCACTGGGTATCACTTTTGGGTAATCATTTTGAAGGCTCAAAAATTTCTGACTAACATAGGAAATATGGCAATAACATTAATGCCTCTAATGTCACAAAAGGCATGAAACAATATCTAAGCAATGTATCACATTTATCCAGAGCCAAACTTAGTAGCTCTCTGACACAAGTACAGATGGTCTGAAACAAAGCAAATATATTTTGACACTTCAAAGAAACTTTACACTGTGCAAAGTAGCTAGAGGTGATGTCCTGAACTGTATAATTAGTCAATGAATGTTTATTTTGATAGAATAATGACAGTATCAATTTGCTAGAAAACTTGAAAGCAGTGCTCAGTGAGAAAGCTGTTGAATTCTATTGCACAGTGTACTCTGTTCTCCTTGATAATGATATCTGAATTAAAACCTCATGAGAAAGTCAGTGATTTTTTTAAGTCTAAGATTCCCCTGAATTGCAAATTATTACTTTTCCCAACATAACTATGAGGGTTGCTTTCAGTTTCTGCTGTGAAACAGCAGTTTCCACTGCCAAACTGACATTTAATAGTATTGTGGGAACCTACCACAGGTCTTGCAGAAAATAGTATAGATTTGTTTGGTAGGGATTTATAGCAGAATTACAAAGATCCCCTTAGAACATTCAAAATTCCTGGAAAATCTCCCTGGTATCGATGAGTATTGACCCATTATTCTCTTGAATGGCAGAAATGCTGCTCCAGTCATCTTTTAAAATTTTCTGTTTTGTAAACTGAAAGCATATACGCATATTCACTGACTCCGTATAACTTGTCTTTCCATTGAAAAAGTGCCTACACAGCTACTATAGTTATCTAATGCTACCATTAAATGCAATATTGTTATGGATAAAATTCTTCTGAAGCAATTTCAATTACTTTCAGTATTTCAGTACACAGAGATTTTAACCCTGGCATCTTATTTGACTACTTTCTATAGCACATTATAGTCAAAATGAGATATTCTAATGTATTAAACAAGAAAACCACATGTGCAATTCCCCCCTCCCACACAAATCCCCAATGGAGTGACTTATCTTCTTGAACCAGAGCCAGTTAATGTTAGATATGTAATACATTATCCTGATCCCTTGTGACTTAAAACAACTAACATTCTAGGGATTGGCAATTTAGTGATGTTGGGGTGTGAGTAGCCGCTGTATGTTTTCATCTTTGTGGGGTTGGGTGAACTGGGTGCTGACTGGTCTAGCTTGACTTATGCTGGGATGGATTCCTTTTGCATCAAGAGGGCTCTGACCCTCCAGCCTGCTTGTCCAAGTTTGTTTTCGTGACAGCTTCTCAAGGTTTCAAGATACTAAACAGGTTTCTAAGATACTGAGCAGAGGCACAGAAGCCTTTGTGAGTCCTTGGAAACAGTATGACATTACCTCCTCCAAATTACATCAGTCAAAGCAAGTCACAAGTCAGGCTCTGAAGTGCACAAAAAATAGAATCTGCTTTTTAATGGGGGGAGCCTTAAATTCATTTTCCAAAGCATATAGATACAGGAAAGAATAAAGATTTGGGGGCATTTTTATAGTTTGCACAAGTCTCATATCTCCAAAACGAATTTCCAATACAGAAAGTAGCAAAACACTAAAAAAATGAGATTCCTAGAGACTGGGCTCACAATATAACTGAAAGCCCACATGAAATCACTGAAAATGGGCAGTTTAGCTAACTCATTAACCTCCTAAGATTTTGTCTTCTTCTTAAACTAGTAGAAAGCTATGGGTATTTAGTCCAATCTGTGACAGAGTAATTTCTATGCATGAGAAAACGAACACATTAATAAGAACCATCATAAAGTTCAGAAATCAATGACAAGGATTTTTTGGTTTACATGATGCAAACAGAAAGATAAACCTAGAAAATAAATGATTGGTGATAATTTTTTTCTGCTATGGAGAAGTTCACCAAATGGAGCTGGCAATATGGTGTTGAAGGCTGTTTTTTTGTTTGTTTGTTTGAGATGGAGTCTCACTCTGTTACCCAGGCTGGAGTGCAGTGGCATGATCTCAGCTCACTGCAACCTCAGCCTCCTGGGTTCAAGCAATTCTCCTGCCTCATTCTCCCAAGTAGCTGGGGCTACAGGTGCACTCCACCACGCCCAGCTAATTTTTGTATTGTTAGTAGAGACGGGGTTTCACCATGTTGACCTCTCAAACTCCTGACCTTTTAAACTCCTGACCTCTTGATCTGCCTGCCTCAGCCTCCCAAAGTGCTGGGATTACAGGCGTAAGCCACCATGTCGGGCCAAGGGTTGCTTTTACAAGTGAGGAAGAGGTTCAGAGACTTTCTGTTGAGTCAGCCCTGTCATATCACAGTGCCTGTTGTTTGACCTCATAAGATAGTGACTGAAAGTCTGTGAATTTCAAGTTTACTACCAATAATAATTGTGACAAAGTAAAAATATTTGGTTAGAGATTTAGCACGCAGTCCATGGAAAATATATTGAGAAACTCAGATTTGGTTTTTGCAGGAGAGGAATATTTTACCAATCATGATATTTTCTGGAAAAAAAAAAGTAAATTTTAAAGAAATTGGCGCATACCAGAAACAAAAACCTGAAAGAAGTTATGAAACTGGTGAAATTAGTGTTATATATAAATATATATATATTTTTTACATTTAAATTATTCCTAGAATGGAATAGGAAGAATTGAAGAATACTTAGATGTTTATAAGCAAACAAATTTTATTCAATGAGGAGAAAATAAAGATCCAGAAAAGTAGCCAATTTAGGCAAGTATTCATAGCTAATCTGTTGACAAAGCTGAGACAAGAATTTGGGATTTCTGATCTCTAGAACAGAACTGTCTGCTATTCTATTCCTCATGATATTTTCAACCCCTGTAAATATGCATAAGTTTGCCTTCATTTTCATGTGTTTATATACTACCTGTGAGTGCCTGCCCATGTGTGTCTGTGTGTTTGTGTGGTGTTTTAAAGAAACATAAATAAGATCACCGGGCGCGGTGGCTCACGCCTGTAATCCAAACACTTTGGGAGGCCGAGGTGAGCAGATCACAAGGTCAGGAGATCGAGACCATCCTGGCTAACACAGTGAAACCCTGTCTCTACTAAAAATACAAAAACAAAATTAGTCGGGTGTGTTGGTGGGAGCCTGTAGTCCCAGCTATTTGGGAGGCTGAGGCGGGAGAATGGCGTGAACCCGGGAGACGGAGCTTGCAGTGAGCTGCACTCCAACCTGGGCGACAGAGCGAGACTCTGTCTCAAAAAAAAAAAAAAAAAAAGAAAAGAAACATAAATAAGATAGTAAAAAAAAAATGTTTGACTAAATATTACTCCAACATTCTAAGTTTACCACCTCAAGAAAGTAAGATGGTACGGCAGGGCGCAGTGGCTCACGCCTGTAATCCTAGCACTTTGGGATGCCGAGGCAGGCGGATCACCTGAGGTCAGGAGTTCAAGACCAGCCTGGCCAACATGGTGAAACCCTGTCTCTACTAAAAATACAAAAATTAGCCGGGCATGATGGCAAGTGTCTGTAATCCCAGCTACTTGGAAGGCTGAGACGTGAGAATAGCTTGAACCCGGGAGGCGGAGGTTGCAGTGAGCCGAGATCGCGCCACTGCACTCCAGCTTGGGTGGCTGAGCGAGGTTCTGTCTCAAAATAATAAGAATAAGAATAAGAATAATAAGAAGAAACTAAGACAGTACAAAGGTAAGAAGTGTCAGGAACATGTTAACAAATTGAAAAACCCCAATGAAGAAGTAAACTTGTAACATAATTTGAACAACTTTTAAGATAGCAGAGTGTATCAAAATGTTTGTGTTTTACAATGCAGAATAAAACCAAGACAGGTCTTTATTTATTTTAAATTCTTACTACTTCAACGCGAGTGGGAGAAGTGAATATTCTGTAACCTTTTCCTGGATTCATCTCCAGCATATAAGAATCATTTCTATGATAAAAATATTATAATGTTGCCATCTTCCATGTGATTTGCTTTTTTATACAGATTAATATTTCACATATTACAAATTTCACTAGCTATACACGTTTCCCACTATTTTCCAATACATTGATGAAAATAATAACCCTGTACTTCCAGCATCACAGGCTTTTTACCAAACAAGAATTTCCTCCAAGAAAAGTTATGGTTATTACCTTAAAAGAGATGTGTTATTTTATTTTTCTGACAATGGAAGGCTTCTACAAGTCCAAAGTGAGAAGCAATTATATACTATAGAGCAGAATAATAGAACACTGCACTAGGATAAATTTTGTGCCCACTTAATTGAAATACTTGCCAAGGAGCTAGGTGAGAGCAGTGTATTTCAATCCCTCTAAACAATGGGTAAATTAGACACATTCCTTCTAAATGACACATTTTAGCTGTCTGGAAGCCTATTCAGAGTTGTGCGTGGTAGCATAAGTTTGTCACTCTGTTCCCTACAATTGGTCCATTTCAAGCTGTGCTTTGAAGCTGTTTATGCCAAAGAGCCTTCTTAATATTAAAAAAAAAAGAAAATGTTTTTAGATATAGCACGCACACCAATACTTTTCAGCTCTCTCTAGGATACATGTATGTGCAGTTGTTTTTCTGTGTCTCTCCGTCTGTGTGTTTCTCATGACATACATATAAAATGTAAAATATGAATACATTTTATTAATTGTCATATTAAATCAAGTTGGCAGAAATTAGATATTTTTACATTGCAATCCTTAGCTGTGCTTTTATTTATTTTTCTAAAACTGGAATATAATGATGATTAGACCGTGCCAGTAATTCAAAGAGCAAAGAAAATAACTAAATTTGTTTTAATATCAAATTCTTGAAGAAGTATCTTTTTATACTTCTGAAAAAAAAATTACAATAGAAAATTAAAGAAAAGATAATTCATTCCTGAAGAAAGCAAAATAAAAATAAGAGAAAATAAAAGCGAGCAACACGTGGCTTTATCAGTTACAGGCAGTGTGGCCATGATAAATCACCCAAATCATACATTTTTGAGAGTGAAAGAGGGTATTATTAATAACTAAGCCAAGACCACAGACATAGCCTGGAAATCTAGCAGTCAAACAAGGCCATACGGTTCCTCTGGCCACCATACTGTAGGTTTTCAAACCTTGAACATATTTTTAAAAATAATATTATATTTAGTTTGCCTATTAAAATTATTTAATCTCTTATATTTTTATGTATAGTTTGAAAATTCTTTAAAGACAAAGGGTTGAGTTGGAGAAATGCTCTAAAAAATGGCAAAATTTACTTCTAAGGCAATATAAAACATATTTCCTCTCTGTATCTCAAGTTGAAAGTCCCTCAAGAAGTTTTGAATCTTAAATATCCCACAGCTTAATGTGAACTAGGTTTAAACCTCTAATTTATCATTGCATCTGAAAAAAATTGTTATTACATGGGTAATTAACAATCTCTCTCAGGAATTTTTAATTTTCTTTTTTGGGTTTCAGTTAAAAAAATCTATCTCTTTTTTGTAAATTTGATGGAGTGCAAATGAAGAGCTCACCTGAACATGAAGAGTGCGAAACCGTTCCATAAAGTGTGGGAAACACTAGGGCTTGATGCCTTCAGAAAACTATTCTGGCTTTACCTCTAAACCTGCTCTTGCCCCTACTATGTTTGAGAAGGAGCTTCTTCAGTAACTTCATACGCCTTCTAAGAACACGTTATGTATTTTGTTTTTTTGTTTTAAAAAAATCACATAATTCATATGGGACATTTGATTACCCCTTTTAAAAGTAGTGCTTATAATAAAATTACTTAATTGTTATTGTGTTCTTGTGATATTTTTCTATGGCCATATCATGAAGGCAGGAGTAGTGGAAGGAGAGCACATCCTCAAAGCTGAGTACAGGGTAAGAGAAAGTCAGATATAAAGAAGTGAATCAATTAAATATGAACATGTTGGTGGGGTGCTACTGCTATGAATGAATGTCCCTCAAACTTTATGTGGTGAAAATTAATCCCCATTGTGGGGATATTATGAGGTGGGGTCTATGGGGAAGTGATTAAATCATAAGGGTTCCACCATCTTGAATAGATTATGCTTGATATGAAAGTGTTGGAGGGAACTAGGCTACTCTCCTTGTGCTTTGCTGTCCTTCTACCAAGTGAGGACACAGCATTCATCCTTATTTTGTGCCCTTTGACCATGTGAGGGCGTCTTTGGTGTCATCTATGAGGCACGGGCCCTCATCAGACATTGAACCTGCTGGTGAATTGATCTGGACTTCACAGCTTCTGGACTGTGAGAAATAAATCTCTGTTACTTATAAATACCGAGTCTCGAGTATTTTGTTATAGCAGCATAGAGACAGTCATTTAATTCCATATGGATATATTTAACATCAGTTAATTAAGCTAAGGGTTGGAATTATGATTGGAATATGGTCTCAGAGACTCAGTTCACAATAAAGAGTAAAAAGAGATCTAGAATGAGTTTCTGAATAATTGTGGAAAGCCTTTTTGGTGAACTTCACTAGACTGAAGAATCTAGCCCTAAATTTCAATTTATGATCAAGGGCCTTTAGATTGTGAAGTTTTATAAATATTTCTAAGATAGGGATTAAGAAGGAATTCAAGGGGAAAACTTTTTTGATTTTTCATTTAATTGGATCATCACAACTCTCTTCAGTGTTGGGAGAGTGAGCAGAAGCAAGTTCCTGGCTTTCCTGGTAGATTGCTGTCAGTCATGTCAGCATCTGTCCCAAAAACTCATATTGCAGAAGAGGATCAGGAGGATTAGTAAGCTAGTTTCTAACATTTACTGCCTTTTATCCTCAAAACCTAAAGCTTTCTTTGCCTCACTTACTGACTGAAAGACAAAAAAGAGAATGTCTTCTTATTTTATATGTTGGGTTTGGTAATGGTGGTAAGTAGGGTAGAGTCAAAGTTTGACACAAACTATATATTTTTTAGTTCCTCTGGGTGAGATGTGAGATCGTTAATTTGAGAAACTTCTAGCTTTTTGAGGTAGATGTTTACTGCTATAAATTTTCCTCTTAACACTATTTTTGCTGCATCCCAGAGATTTTGGCATGCTGTGTCTCTGTTTTCATTCCTTTCGAAGAATTTTTGGGTTTTTGCCTTAAGTTTGTTGTTTACCCAAATTTTATTCAGGAGCAAGTTGTTTAATTTTTATGTAATCATGTGATTTAGAGAGATCTTCTTGGTATTAGTTTCTGTTTGTATTCCACTGGGGTCCAAGGGTATTATTGCTATGATTGTGATTTTTGGAATGTATTGAGACTTGCTTTATGATTGAGCATGTAGTCAATCTTGGAATATGTTCTGTGTGAAGGTTAAAAGAAAGTATATTCTGTGGTTGATGGGTGAAGCATTGTGGATGTCTATTAGGTCCAATTAGTCATGTATCAAGTTTAAGTCCAGAATTTCTGTTATTTTTCTGCCTTGATGATCTGCCTGGTAGTATCAGTGGGGAGTTGTAGACTCCCACTATTATTGTGTCACTGTCTAAGTCTTTTCATAGGTTTAGAAGTACCTGTTTCATAAATCTGATTGCTCCAATGTTGGGTGCACATATATTTAAGATAGTTAAATCTTATTAAATTGATTCCTTTATCATGATTTAATGCTTATTTGTTCCTTTTTACTATTGTTTGTTTAAAGTCTATTATACTTAATATAAGAATAGTGACCTCTGCTCTTTTTTGTTTTCCATTTGTGTGGTAGTTCTTTTTCCAACCTTTTATTTGAGCCTGTCAGTGTTTTTACACATGAAATGAATCTTTTGAAGATAGCAAAAGAATGAGTCTAATTTTTTTATCCCACTTGCTTTTCTCTGCCCCCACTCCTGGTTCTGCTCCAATATCGAAGTGAGGTTGAGGCTCAGCCCAGGTGCTGTTTCAGCCCAGCTGGGTGTGCACACACTAGGGGCAGTGTTGATATGCCAGCCTTCTGCTGCCTCAGCCCTCTCTGTACTTTGGGTGTCAAGGAGCATAGGAGGGGAACCTAACGGGGGGTGCTGAGGGCAGCCAGGTGCTGTCCTGCAGGTGCCCCTTGGTGCCAGCAGCCTGTGTGCCATGGATGACTCTGGGAGGCAGACAGGCTCCTAGGTGGAAGGGGGCGGGTCCCTAGTGAAGCCTCACCTTCAGGCCCAGGGCAGGCCTGAAGCCTGGGGGCTGGGATGCCAGTCCTGTGGGCTGGAGGGGGAACTCATGGTGCTTTTCTCTGGGCCCAACCATGGCTGCCCATGAGCCATTCAGCATGCACTTCTTCACTCTGAGACCCATTAAAGCCCGAGCTCAGCCAGGGCAGGGCAGAGAATGAAGAGGACAGAGAGGAAGGGAAGAACAGCTGCAGAGAGGATGTACCCTATCTGCTGAAAGCTGGAGGTGATGGGACAGCCAGCTGCAGAAAGGAATTACCTTCTTTGCTGAGAGCTGCACAGATGATGGGATGACCTGCCAGCAGAGAGAAGCCACTCTCTCCAGTGCCTACTCTCTGCTGAGAGCTGCAGACATCAGGCAACTGAAGGCAGAGAGGAGCTACCTTCTCAAGGGCCTCCTGTCTGCTGAGAGGTGAACACTCCATGGAATGACCTGCTTACAGAGGGGAGCTACCCACTGTAGGTCTCCTCTGAGCTGTTCTAACACTTAATAAAGCTCATCTTTGCCTTGTTCCCCCTTCACTTGTCTGCATACCTCGTGCTTCCTGGACGCAGGACAAGAACTCAGGCAAAGGTGCCACTGGCCACAGGTTTTCAGCCAGAAAATTGACACTCAAAAGATCCCATAAGAATATCAGTCAAAAATGGATATTGTAGAAAATGTAGGCAGACCATAATCTTTGAATAACTTAATATTAAAGGTTATATTTGAGTGCTATAAAAGGAAAGTAGTATTTATAAGTTTTTCAGTTATATGGAAATAGTTGGACCACCAATATCGCTTCATCAAAAAATCCAAGTAATAACTGGGGTAAAAAGACAAGTTGTGAGATTAAACAACTTGATTTGCTTAACCTCAAAGGAATATATATAATTCTTCTTGTGTCTTTGAAAAAATTAATACTGTAAATTTCAAATTTTGTATAAATTTGGCTAACCTGGGGATTAAAAAATAGCATATGCAAAACTGTATCACAATATTCAGAACATCTGGATATTCAAATAATTTTAATTACCCCCTTTTCTGGCTCAGTTTGAAAGATTTTTCAAATGCACTTTTTCTGTATTATTTCATCTTTCTCTTATCTACAAGTTTATGAAGTTTAGTCTTTGAGCAAAATTACTTTTTGAAGAAAGAGAAATATTAAAAGCAGAGATGAATATTATTGCTTTAATAAAAATAATAGTGTTGAGATTTACAGTTTCCAAATCAATGACACAGATTTAACTTGTATCTAATGGCCAATACGTGTTTCATTATTTTTTCAGATGAGAAAATGGGTTAACAGCTTAAAGAGACTTTCTTAAAGTACTTTCAGAAAATGTCAAATAGTAAATAGGTGACAGATTTATCCAAAATTATGTTAACTGTATCCAAATACTATGCCATTTTTTCCTAAATTTATTTTTCTTTTTAAAGTTTGCATTAATATTAAGCCAGACTTTAACATCATCTATGTTGTCTTACTGGAGTAAAAAAGTGATTGCAACAAAAGCTATTCAGTCTTCGAGTGTACTTTTCCTGAAAATTTTTATGAGTTAATGTTTGAGGGAAACTAGTGGCAGAAACAAAATGTTTTCTCAATGCTTTTCATACTCATCCTAGAGATAAATACGCATCCATTTGGTGCGATTTGTGAAAGATGTGAGTGAATTATCCATCTTGTCATTTTTTTTTTGGACTTTCCTTTGAAAATAAGTCACTATCTGTTATTTTAACTACATTTATTCATAACATCCATATATTTTCTTGTTGAATTAGAAAGGTAAATTGCTATTCCAGGAGTTATGGACTGGAAATTATTTACTCAAATGCTGAGCTCTTTTCTGGACATAAAATTTGTCCAGTACTCTATTTGTCTTCATGGAGCTCATAGTATAGTGGAGAAAGACAAAAAATATTTACATGTTAGCCGAGCACGGTGACTCATGCCTGTAATCCCAACACTTTGGGAGGCTGAGGCAGGAAGATCATGAGGTCAGGAGATCAAGACCATCCTGGCTGACATGGTGAAACTCCGTCTCTACTAAAAATACAAAAAATTAGCCAGGTATGGAGGTGGGTGCCTGTAATCCCAGCTACTCGGGAAGCTGAGGCACGAGAATCACTTGAACCTGGGAGCGGAGGTTGCAGTGAGCTGAGATCATGCCACTGCACTCCAGCCTGGGCGACAGAGTGAGACTGCCTCAAAAAAAAAAAAAAAAATTACATGTTGGGGGATTATCATGCTACAGAGGAAAGACAAAGCTAGGTCAGGAAAATAAAGGAAATGGGGGAGGTGTTATCATATTCTGTTATTTGCTATGGGAACTCTCTAATAATGCAACATTGTGGAAGAGATAAAAGGAAAGTGAATGAGTGAGCCTAGTGGTTTTCTAGAAGAGAGCATTCAGGTTAAAGGAAGTAATAGATGCAAAAGCTGAGGTTGGTGTGCAAGAGAGCATCCAGGGAGCTGGCACACTCAGAAAGCATTGCACATGTCATTAAATTAAGGATCTTGAGATGAGGAGATTATTCGAGATTACCCAAATAGGTATTAAGTTTCATGCGCGTCCTGTGAAGAGACCACCAAACAGGCTTTGTGTGAACAATAAAGCTTTTAATCACTTGGGTGCAGGCGGGCTGAGTCCCAAAAGAGAGTCGGCGAAGGGAGATAGGGGTGGGGCCATTTTATAGGATTTGGGTAGGTAAAGGAGAAAGGGGGGTTGTTCTCTGGCAGGCAGGAGTGGGGGTCACAAGGTACTCAGTTGGGGAGCTTTTGAGCCAAGATGAGCCAGGAGAAGGAATTTCACAAGACAATGTCATCAGTTAAGGCAGGAACAGGCCATTTTCACTTCTTTTGTGGTGGAATGTCATCAGTTAAGGCAGGAACCGGAGATCTGGATGTGTACATGCAGGTCACGGGGATATGATGGCTTGGCTTGGGCTCAGAGGCCTGACATTAAGTATAATCACAAGGACACTTAGGGGAACAAGGGGAATTTTGGCATCCAAAAGAAAGCAATGTGATAATTAAAATATAATGCCATGATGCTCATTTTGATTGGGTAAGAAAAGTCCACAAGCCAAGGGATGCAAGGAATGCAGCTCTAGAAACTGAAAAAGGCAAGGAAAGGGATATTCACTTAGAACTGCTAGAGAGAGCCCAATTCGGCTAACATCTTGAAACTCACTTTGGATTTCTAACCCACAAATCCAAGAGACTAAAACTGTAGGGTTTTTTGTTTGTTTATTTTAAACCATCAACTTTGTGGTAATTTGTTACATCAGCCATAGGAAACTAATATGGGTGGGACCTTTGGTAGCATTTGAGTAGAGATCGGGTAGAAATAGAAAGAAGAAAAATCACCATTTGCTAAGAGGAGGCGAATCATTCCCAGAAGTGGAAAAAAGATGATGTGAAAGACAGAGGAGAAATGCCTGGAGAGATGTTCTTTTGAGGGAACAGGGGAAGTGATCCTGGGTACAAGTTAGAAGAACTGGCCCCAGGCAGAAGCAAGAGCAGCTCACTGACTTCCACTGGAGAGCAGGAAGAGTATTTGAATTTAGATGCAGAAGTTTCTGGAAAAAAAGCCAAAAAAAGACCATTGTGTACACTATTAATTTTTAAATAGTCAGTTTCTTGCGCGTCCATGTGAAGAGACCACCAAACAGGCTTTGTGTGAGCAATAAAGCTTTTAATCACCTGGGTGCAGGCGGGCTGACTCCGAAAAGAGAGTCAGCGAATCTCTGGCGGGCAGAGTGGGGGTCACAAGGTGCTCAGTAGGGGAGCTTTTGAGCCAGGAAGAGCCAAGAGAAGGAATTTCACAAGACAATGTCATCAGTTAAGGCAGGAACAGGCCATTTTCACTTCTTTTGTGGTGGAATGTCATCAGTTAAGACAGGAACCGGCCATCTGGATGTGTATGTGCAGGTCACAGGGGATATGATGGCTTAGCTTGGGCTCAGAGGCCTGACAGTCAGCACATATATTCATATATTGCCATTACTAAATCATATATATCAGCACTAAAGCCAGAAATATTTTATTAATCCCTTAAAGTTATTCAAATACATTTTCATTATTTTCTTAGCAACCGGAGATGTAATGATTGAGATCCCAGCTTTGGCCCATAAAAATTTCAATGGCGCTTTGTTTTATCCTGATATAAAATAATTTATAAGGAAAACTTTATTAATCAGAGGTTTTGTTGCTTTTGTTATAATCAATTTAAGGAGATTTCAATTTTGTCTGACATTAGAAAGGCTGGAACATAGACTATATATATTCAAACAAAAACAGATTTTGTCAGGCCTCTGAGCCCAAGCTAAGCCATCGTATACCCTGTGACCTGCACATATACGTCCAGATAACCCAAAGCAAGTGAAGAATCACAAAAGAAGTGAAAATGGCCATTCCTGCCTTAACTGATGACATTCCACCACAAAAGAACTGAAAATGGCTGGTCCTTGCCTTAACTGATGACATCACCTTGTGAAATTCCTTCTCCTGGCTCATCCTGGCTCAAAAGCTCCCCCAATGAGCACCTTGTGACCCCGCCCCTGCCCGCCAGAGAACAACCCCCTCTGACTGTAATTTTCCACTATCTACCCACATCTATAAAATGGCCCCACCCCTGTCTCCCTTCACTGACTCTCTTTTCGGACTCAGCCTGCCTGCACCCAGGTGATTAAAAAGCTTTATTGCTCACACAAAGCCTGTTTGGTGCTCTCTTCACACAGACGCCAGTGAAAGATGTAATAGCGCTTTTTACCTAAATTTAAAAGAAATTTTACATTATCATTATCTATAATAAGAAGTCATACAGTCTAATTGTTCTAAAGTATTCTGAAATCAGTTCACCTAAGCTTATTCCCAACACCACCACTATTAGAATTATGAACCTGGACAGGTTCTTTAACATTCAGTGTTCTCATGTAAAATGCACAGAGTAAAAGTACCCGAGTGACATAATTGAAAGAGTAATTTAGAAAAATGCCTGCTGTTAGCTTTTGTGACTTTGGTTACCATTATCTTATAAAGGTTCATTTTTTAAATTTTATATGCGAGGTGTTGACAAAAAGAGTCAGACTCTGTAGAATATTTTGACATTTATTCTGAGCCAAATATGAGTGACCATGGCCCATGACACAGCCCTCAGGAGGTCCTGAGAACATGTGCCCAAGGTGGTCAGGGCACAGCTTAGTTTTATATGTATTTTAGGGAGGCATGAGACAGCAATCGAATATGTTTAAGAAATATGATTGGTCCAGAAAGGCGGGACAACTCAAAGTGGGAAAGCGGGTTGTTGCGGGGTGGGGGTGTCCGTAGAAAGGAAACCTTCAGGTTAAGATAAAAGATTGCCAAGGCCAAGTTTCTTTTGAAGTCTTATAGTGGCTGCCCTTAGAATAGAGAATAGATGACAAATGTTTCCTATTGAGACATTTAAAAGGTGCTAGACTCTTAGTTATTCTCTTCAGGATTGGGAGGGCCTGGAAGAAAAAGATCTAGCTATGTTAATAGAGGTGCTTTACAGATGCAAAATTTCCCCCAAAAAGGACAGTTTTACAGGGCCATTTCAAAATATGGCAAAGAAATATGTTTTATGGTAAGATATTTTGACTTTCTTCTTTGTTATGCCAGAGTCAGATTGGAAAGCAAGTCATGATACACAGAGTTCCATTAAACCAGTCTGATGAGAATTTATAGTTTGTAGGGTATGACTCCCCAGACCCCTTAGGTAGGAATTTGGGCAAGATAAAAATTTCAGAGCCTAGTCCTCAGAGGTTTTGCTAGTCATATGGTGAGAGTTATATGTATATTTTTTAAATGTAGTGCATATATTTAAGGTATATGACATGATATTTTGATATACATATGCATAGTAAAGTGATGACTAGTCAAGCAAACTAACATATCAATCACCTCACATAGTCACTTTCTTGTGCATTTTTGTGTGTGTGTGAATGTGTAAAGAGTAACTATAATCTACTCTTTTAGCAAATTGGCAGTATTATTAACTATATTCCTCATACTCTCTAGTAGATCTCCAGGCTTATTCACCTGACAGAATTGCAACTTTGTACATTTTGCTGCATACATCTTCCTTGGTAACTACCTTTCTACTCTTTCTATATATCCATTTTTTTATTCCACATACAAGTGAGATCAGTCAGTCTTTTTCTGTCAAACTTATTTCTCTTAGCATAGTGTCTTCTAGTTTTACCTATGTTGTTACAAATGGCAAGCTCTCCTCTTTTAAGGCTGCATAATTATCTATGTATCTATCAATATCATCAAATTTAACGCACATGTAGGTTGTTTCCATATCTTGGCTATTGTGAATAATGCTACAATGAATATGAGAGTCTTTACAAGTTCATAATATCATTTCCTTTGTGTATATATGCAGAAGAAGAATTGCTAGGTCATATGATAACTCTATTTGTATTTTCTTTAGAAACTTCCATACTGTTTTCCACAATGACTGCACCAACCATCATTTCCACCAGCAGTGTACAAGGGAGCTACCTTTTTTCCACACCCTCAATATTTGTTATCTCTTGCCTTTTTAATAATAGCCATCCTAAAAGGTGTGAGGTAATATCCCATTGTGTTTTTTGTTTGTTTGTAGAGATGGGATTTCACTATGTTACCTGCAATATTGCTGGTCTTGTACTCCTGGGCTTAAGCAATACTCCTGCCTCAGACTCTCAAAGAGTGTGCAGTAATATTGTGTTGTTGTTGTTGTTGTCATTGTTTTGTAGAGATGGGGTCTCCTTAAGTTGCCCAGGCTAGTCTTGAACTCCGGTACTCAAGCGACCCTCCTGCCTCAGCTTCTCAAAGTGCAGGGATTACAGGCATGAGCCACCATGCCTGGCCTCTGGTAGTTTTGATTTGCATTTCCCTGATTTTGATTTGCATTTTCTAGTAAGGTTGAGCGTCTTCTCATATGCCTGATGACCATTTTTGTCTTCTCTGGAGAAATGTCTATGCAGGTCATTTGCCCATTTATAAAAGGTTATTTGTCTTTTTGCTATTGAGTTGTAGAGTTATAATTCTTTTTTTTTTTACTTTTTTTTTTTTTTGAGATGGAGTTTCACTCCTGTTGCCCAGGCTGGAGTGCAATGGCGCTATCTCGGCTCACCCCAACCTCTGCCTCCAGGTTCAAGTGATTCCCCTGCCTCAGCCTCCTGAGTAGCTGGGATTCCAAGCATGTGCCACCACACCTGGCTAATTTTGCATTTTTAGTAGAGACGGGGTTTCTTCATGTTGGTCAGGCTGGTCTCAAACTCCAGACCTCAGGTGATGTGACCGTCTTGGCCTCCCAAAGTGCTGGGATTACAGGCATGAGCCACTGCACCGGGCCTAGTGATAATTCTTTAAGATACGGTTCCTCCATTTCCTAGTCTACACAGGACTCCTGTTAATGAAAGAAAAAAAAAAGATGCATGAAAATCCTTGCAGAGAAAACTATCTATAACCAATGCCAAATAATAACATTTATTAAGAAATTAGAACTTGACCTCGAAGGATGGTACAAAGGTCTGAATGTGTATGTCATTCCTATAGTTTTATTTTGCAACCTAATTATCAATATGATGCCATTAGAAGGTGAAGCTATTGGTAGATGGATGATTAGGTTGTGTAGGTGGAACCTTCATGGTAAGATTACTGCATTTATAAAAGAGGCCTCAGAGGACTGCCTTGCCCCTTCCACTATGTGAAAATAGAGTGAAGGAGTCATCCATGAACCAGAATATGGGTCTTCACCAGACACAGAATCTGCTGGTGCTTTGATCTTACATATAAAATTACTTCTATTGAGAAAACAGTCTTACAGTTGAAAAATAAGAATATAAAAATTTAATTTTTAAAACATGAGCAACAGAATTGAACACAGAGTTTATTGGAGGAGATGTACCAATGTCAAATAAGAAGATGAATAATAATTAACATGCTTATTTATCAGGATCTGCAAATTACAACTATAATGGAATACCATTTAACAACCATTAGAATGACTGCAATTGTAAATACTAAAGAAAATTTAATGTAAAACAAGTGAGATTCTCATATAATAATGGAAGGAATGTAAACTACTACCACACTCTGGAAAACTCTTTATTTTTTTATTACTTACTAACTTATGTGCTAAGCTTTTGCTAACCTATTGGCTTTTCTTTACCAAAGATGAATACTTACGTTTTTCTTTCAATTTATATTCTAGTGGTGAGTATGCTATTTTACTGAAAATTCAACTAATTCTAAGTTTATAACGAAATGAAAATTCTTTACCTAATTGCAATCAACTTGTTTCATCCAATCATAGATTTCAGTTGCACCATAACGTAAGATAATTCAAAAAAAATTACATAGTATTAATTTTATGTGACAAAATTATTAAGCTATTAAAAAAACTATTTCAGACCTCAAAATGATTTTTCTTTTTTTTTTTTTTTTTTTGAGACGGAGTCTCGCTCTGTCACCCAGGCTGGAGTGCAGCGGCGCTATCTCGGCTCACTGCAAGCTCTGCCCCTCGAGTTCACGCCATTCTCCTGCCTCAGCCTCCCGAGTAGCTGGGACTACAGGCGCCCGCCACCATGCCCGGCTAATTTTTTGTATTTTTTTAGTAGAGATGGGGTTTCACCATGTTAACCAGGATGGTCTCGATCTCCTGACCTCGTGATCCGCCTGCGTCGGCCTCCGAAAGTGCTGGGATTACAGGCGTGCGCCACCATGCCCGGCCCTCTTCTCTATCTTTTGTTAGGAAACTGAGATGGACTCCTGTGAACTCCACTGCCTAAACTCTCAACTCGTATATCAAGCTGCCTACAGGATGTCTAAGAAGCATGTAACTCAATACATCCTAAACTGATTTCCTAATCTTCCATACATGCTTTACTTACTACTTTCCCCACCTCTGTTGTTGCTGATAGCATTTTTTAACTTGCTTAGGTCAAATTCCTGGGGGTGAATTTTTACTCTTTTATCAAGTCAAATATTCTAATCTGTCATGAAATCCTACTGGCTGTTCCTACAATATATTTAGTATCAGGACACTTGGAACTACTGAACTGTCCCACTCTGGCCGAAAGCAACCAATATTTCTTGCCTGGGTTATCTCCGAGCAGAACTACAATCTAAGCTTTAAAAACAGCCACTGCTCATTCAAAATTTAAGTTAAATTAAGTAACACATCTGCTAATAAATTTTCTGCGCCTCCCTTTTCAACTCAGAGTAATAGCCAAAATTCTTTCAAAGGCATGTGTGTTTTCCCCTGGCTCGAACCCCTTACTTCTAAGGCCTTAAACACTCAACACCCTTGTTCTTCTTATCATTCTCTGAGACACTGGACTTCTTTGTGTTCGTTGCAAAGATCAGGTATGCTTCTGTCTTAGGGCATTGTTCAAGCTCTTTTCAGTACCTGGACTGGTCTACAACAGCTATTTCCTTGCTAACTGTATTGCCTTCCTTAAGTTTGGGAGGAGGTGGCATCTTCTCTTTTAAGATTACCCGAATCACTCTACTTAATACTGTAGCTTGCTGCTTTCTCCAGAACCCTCCCACATGCACACATTCACAATCCTGTTTGTTCTACTGTACATTTTTTTTCTCCTTTTTTACATGTCACTTGTTATTTTCTCAAGTACAATTTCATTTACTTCTTAATTATGTTAATTGATATTAACATAATAATGCTTCCACTTACAAATGTAAATAATGTAAATAATGCTCCCCCTTACAAAAATATGAGATCCCTGAGGTCAGGGAGTTTGACTGCTGTATTCACTAATGTATCCTGAATGCCTTGTGCATGCCTGATATATAGTAGGCACTCTACAAATATTTGCTGAATACGTGAACAAATTACTAAGCTGCAGAGGATCTCAGACAATTTGGTAGAAAATATTGGCCGGGCATGGTGGTTCACGCCTGTAATCCCAGCACTTTGGGAGGCCAAAGTCACCTAAAGTCAGGAGTTCACGACCAGCCTGGCCAACAGGGTGAAACCCCATCTCTACAAAAATACAAAAATTAGCCTGACATTGATGGTGGGTGCCTGTAATTCCAGCTACTCGGGAGGCTGAGGTGGGAGAATCACTTGAACCCAGGAGGCAGGGGTTGCAGAGAGCCGAGATCAGGCCATTGCACTCCAGCCTGGGCGACAGAGTGAGACTCTGTCTCAAAAAAAAAAAAAAAGAAAGAAAATATTAAGAGAGATGTACCAGATTTTCTGACAGTAAAGTATGAGAATATTACATTTGAAAAACTGAATTTAAATGACGCAATTATAATTATATCTTAAATTAGTGAAGAGGACCATTTATATACTTAAATTCAAAGTAAAACAGTTATGGTACATGTGAACATTTGTAGCTAAAAGACTAAGAGCTCCTTTTATACTCTGGATTTAGATTAATTTCTACAGGCACTATTTGAACATGCAGCTCTACCTTTGGCTCTCCTGCCACGTATCCTTCATTCCAATTCTAAATTTTGTATTAGGTCCACAGAACCCAAGCAACTAAAATGCACCTTCAAAGGAATTATTAATTCATCAATAGCCTACAGATAGACAAATATCATTGCTTCTAAAACAGTAAGAAACCAATTATAAATATTACAAACCCTGGAGTTTTATATTTTTATTTGAAATTGTTCTTCCCTATTTTTTAGGAACGTAAAGAGACAATATATAAACATTTAACATTAATATTATTATCTATCTATCCATCTACTGTCATTTGTAAGTGAAATACATGTTAACTAATTCTGCAAATAATAGTAAACATTGGCTATATGGAAGACACTGCCGCATGTTGGTTCTAAAAGGGAAAAAAGGATCACAAATCCTTTCCTTAAGCATTTAATGTGGAGGACATATTCATAAGTAGTTAATTGTATTATAATATTATAGATACAATTATGTCAGCTTACGTGGTTTATTGTATGCATGTGCAAACATGGAAAAAAAACCTTAAATAAGAAAGGGTTGCTGTATAACTAAAATGTCAGCACAGAGTTCTTGATGATGAGCAGATGTTAGATGACAAGATGCCGTAAGTCCAGGTAAAAATGGTGGTGGAGATGGACAAGTTATTACACAAAGTGAAAAAAAAATCTTTTCAAGAATTTGATGACAAAAAAAAGCATGAAAGAGAGTGGGAACATCAAGCTCTGTGGAAATGAGAATAGAAACTATTTAAGGCAGAAAATTATAAGAAAATCTGGTGGCAATTTGGGGATTAAAGGGCTGGTTTGAAATGATTGAATGGTCTAAATGGTCAAAACTTTTCCATCTCTATATGTAATTAAACTGTTTAAAAAATTTTAAACCATAGAGTTAACATAAAAAGTCCAGTAAGGAATAGATCATTCTTATAATAACACATGTGGAGGGTTTTTTTTGGAAAAATAAAACTACTTATTATTGAAAATAATATTTCTTTTGAAATTCTTGCGTTCTGGTGTCTTTAACATATGAGAAGCTTGGTGTAATTCAAAACTGAAATTATACCATCAAGGAAATTGTATGCCATGTTGACAGTTGGATGTAGTTCTGTGGTTGATGGGAAATTTCTTTCTTTCTTTTTTTTTTTTTTTGAGATGGAGTTTCTCTCTTGTCACCCAGGCTGGCATGCAAGGGCACGATCTCTGCTCACTGCAACCTCTGCCTCCCGGGTTCAAGCGATTATCCTGTACTAGTTGATATGTCTATCAACTTTTTGAATGAAAACAAATCACCCTTGACAAAATTTGGCACACAAAGTTTAAAAGGATAGAAAGTAATTTGTATTTTAAATCAAGATTGTATAAAATTATATCAATATGTTGAAATTATAGACCAAAAAGAGTAAGGAAAAAATAGAAATAAAAGCTCCTGAACTCAGATACATAAAACCATTCATAAAATTAAGTATAGGCAAACTATGGATTTTAAGCAATTGTGTCAGGGGCCCAGGGCTGAAAGATTGTTTGAGTCTAGGGGTTTAAGACGAGCCTGGACAACACAGAGTGATAACATCTCTACAAAAAAAAAAATAATAAAATAGCTGGATGTGGTGGTGCACACCTGTGGTCTCAGCAACTTTGGAGGCTGAGGTGAGAGCATCTCTTGAGCCTAGGAGGTTGAGGCTGCAGTGAACCATGATTGTGCCACTTCACTCCAGCCTGGGTGACAAAGTGAGACCCCATCTCAACCCTGCCCCCTGCCCCACACACACAACAAATGAAAGGAAGGAAAGAAGAAAGAAAGAGAAAATAGAAAGAAAATCCATAAGACCAAATGGTTTTAAACTGTCTCTGAAATCAAGTTGAATCAATAGAGTAATAGTTTCTAAGACAAGGAAAATGATAATACACTCCTCTTTTCCATTCAACGCACAAATTTGCACTGAACCGATGATCTAATGATGTTTAGAAATCATATTTTTTACCTGTTAAGAGGTCCAGCTTGGAATCAGGTAGATACAGTTTGTATTTTGACTCCACAACATTTTTGTTGTTTGACGATCACTTATTCTTTCACTGTCTTAGTTTCTTCACTAGAGAAGTTCTATAAATGTCAACACATAAACTGAAAGAAAACACTATAACACAATGCATTTCATGTGGCAAAAGTGAAATAAATGTTATGAGTTGTTAAGTACTGTATTCACATTCAATGTTGCACTCAAATATGTGTACTGAAAAAAATTTAGTTCAGGGATAGCTTATAAGGGTGGTAATTGGTTACACTTATATAACAAATATATTGAAAAAGAGTATTTAGATGACAATTGGAAACTTTTGTTAAATATTGGAAGGGTTTTCATGTGCAAAATACAGTAGCACTATTTTGGGTAACGCCTAAGAAGAAGCCAGAACAACAAAATTGCAGGGAAGTTCAGGATGACTTTCATCAAAGAAAAAATATCTGTATCTATATTTATGTATGTAGCAGTCAGATACATTCAAAAGTAAACTGAGATGTCTTAACTGATAGGGAGATCTCTGTTCCCAATGGATTTAAGAGCAAAGCTCAAGTTATGAAATATATCGAGTCTTGCAAAATTAATTTCTTAGTAAATTGGAGTCACTTCCCTATTTAACTACCAGTGGTTTCTTTAATTCACAGGGGAAAAACAGATCTCTGTTAATAGATGCAATAGTTTGCTGGTTCTGCCATAACAAAATAACACAAACTGGGTCACTTAAACAAGAAAGTTTATATTCTCATGGTTCTGGAGACTGGAAATCCAAGATTAAGTTCTCAGCAGGTAGTTTCTTCTGGACCCTCATTCTTTGGCTTGCAAATGGTTATTCTTCTTTCTGTGTCCCCACATGGCTTTTCCTCTGGTTATTTCGTGTCCTAATATCCTTTTCTTATGGATGCCAATTATATCAGATTAGGGCCCATTCATAATACCTCTTTTTACCTAAATTACCTCTTTTAAAGCCCTGTTTCTAAATGGATTCACATTTTGAGGTGCTGAGGGTTAATATTTCAACATATAAATTTTAGAGAGGCACAATTCACCCTGTAACACTCAAGTGCCATTATTTTATAACATGGTCCCTAGTCACCCTTATCACTTAAACTTATGCCTCACCATTCTTACATGCCATAGCCTACTGTCCAACCATTCTTTTCTCATACTCTGTGTCCCAATCATATCAGGCCAGGGAGTGGAAGCTCTCTTCCCATCTATTCCTGGCACTGAATTGAGCTGTCTTCTCCTGCTTCTCAGCCTGGTTCCCCTTGAGCCTGACTTGAAAGACTCCCTAGACTCAGGAGTGTAAGAGTATACTTGAAAATAAAGAAAACAGTACTCAGAAACACTTGAGAACTTGATCCAAAAGTCCCATTATATGCATAATACCTTAGATTTTCCTATTAAAAACTATACTCTCTATTTGTTTGAGTTCTTGTGAAGACGAGGGTATTGTAAAGTCCATGTTTTCCTTGATCTTCATCATAATTCACTTTGTAGGGATTGTTATGAGGTACACAAATTTCTCTAGAGCTCTTCTAAAGTTTGTATTATGCTACTGTTATTAACATAATTTTGTGAAAACATACATCTAGAAAAATTAGTATCTCCAAATTAGAATTATGGATATTTTGTTTAAACTGTTAAAATATTGATTTGTTGTTTTCTCTTCTTTTCTTAATTTTCCAAACATTTTGGAACAGAGTTTTCTTAATTTTCTTTTTTATATATGCATTACGAGGAAGCTGAGCAAGAGGGAATTAAGACTGAGTATATCTTAGCTACAATCTCAATAAATTTTTGATCGTATGCACGTGAGTTCTTGATAGCAAGTAAATACAGGGGAAATGCTTTTTAAAAGGTATGTTTTCTCTATATGTTACATAAAGTTTATGTAATTTAAAAATGTTGATGTTTGCCGGGAGCGTATCAAGGACCTATTTAGAGACATGAACTCTTTGGACGACTGCAAATGTGATGTGGAAGGCAATCACAGACCATCAGTATAAATGAAAGATTAGAAACGTTTTAAGTCTTCTACTTTATTGATTGAATGTAAGTGATATTATGATGGTGGAAACAAATTATGAAGACACTTCAGAAAGTATTGTGTTTGTGTACTTATGGAGTCGTTGTGAAATTTGCCTCACTGATGCAGGTTTGGATGAGACAGTGCCTGACCCCTAGGAAACAGTGGAAAATTTGTCAGTAAACTCTTATTTTTTGAGATAAACATGGATTCATCTTCCTGAAAGATGCCCTGGGATGTTAAATGTTCTCAGGTTCTGGAATGGTGGGTGTTGACACCAGTAACAATATCCATTAGGATGTGTAAGGATTATGATGTATATTATTTCATTAGCAAAGCATTTGAAATTTCCAGGGTCATATCAATTGTGAAGAACAGAAATTTATAGGATAGAATACTTAATTGGGCCTTACATTGACTGCTAAAGAAACAATATATTTTTTATTGTGAATATAACAGTTTTCATGCAGGAATATTTGAAAAATACCCAAAACAAACAAATAAACAAACAAAAATGGCCAGGCATGGTGGCTCACGCCTGTAATCCCAGCACTTTGGGAGGCCGAGGTCAGTGGATCACCTGAGATCAGGAGTTCGAGACCAGCCTGACCAACATGGTGAAACCACATCTCTACTAAAAATACAAAGTTAACTGAGTGTGGTGGCATATGCTTGTAATTCCAGCTACTTGGGAGGCTGAGAAAGGAGAATTGCTTGACCCCAGGAGGCAGAGGTTGCAGTGAGCCACGATCATGCCATTGCACTCCAGCTTGGGCAACAAGAGCAAAACTCTGTCTCAAAAAAAAAAGCCCAGCTTATCATTTTGATAAGTGATCATCCACATACAAATGCATATGTGCATATGCATCCATGTGCATGAATGTACTATATTTTAAATTATGCTATCATTATCACATATTTATCTATGCCATTAATTTCTTTTTTTATGTGTTGTTCAAAGGGGTCATGGGTACATATCAGCAGCACGATGCATATTTGGGGAAAGATAAGCAGAGAAGTTACAGAGTGAGCACAATGATTCTCATAGCATACCACAGCTTGGGCTGAGTCAAGAAAACCTTCAAGTGAACACCATGGTCAAAATGCCACTTGAGTCTCTGTATGAATAGTAGACAAGGAGTGACGATCTATATGACTATGTAACAATGGATGCACTCTGGATAAGGAGTTGTCCTTTTAAGAAAGGGAAGGCCTCTGAAAACCAGTGCCTAAAATTAGTCTGTCCTGCTTGGGGGCTTAGACATAGTGAGTTCTCTAAGTAGAAAACTGTCTCTGCTAAGCTACTGAAAGAAGGAATAATTATACTTCAGAGCCATACAAATTTCTTTCACAATCATGTAAATAACAATCATGTCATATAAATATACACTCAAATTTGCTTGGATAGAAGACACATTGTTTTTCATTAGCCTATATCCAATAAACTCATGTTTCAGATGGAGGTCCTGACAGTGGTCAGTTACTGTTTTCTTTTCAGTGCCATTGTAACTGTTCTGGGCCACTCTATGGCTTAAGAACCCATGAGGACTTTTAGTGGATTTAGTCTGGCATCAATGATGGTAGAATAGCTCCCACATGAAGATGCATAATGTCTTAGTTCGGAGTCTAAAACAAAATACCATAGACTGCATGGCTTAAAAATCAGACATTTGTTTTTCACAGTCCTGGAGGCTGGGAAGTACAAGATCAGGGTGCCATCAGATTTGTTTCTTGGTGAAGGCACTCTTTCTGGCTTGTAGATACTGCCTTCTCATTGTATCCTCACATGGCAGAGGAAGAAACCTCAGAGATCTCTTCCTCTTTTTATAAGGGCACTAATTTTATCATGAGGGCTCCACCCTAATAAACTCATTTCAACCAGCTCCCTCCCAATGTCCCACTTCCAAATACCATCACATTGAAGTAACCTTGAATTCAACATATAAATTTTGAAAGAACACAAACATTCAATCATTAACAGCTGGGTACATTTGTTTATTTACAGGTGTTATAGAATATTGTAAAAGATTCTGATGTATCCAATGTAAGAGAGATATTACTAATCGTTAAATTTTCAAATAATTTCTCTTGAGATTATGATGCAAACTTTACTTAAGGTATCTTATATAAAGTCTCCTTACATATCACGGTATAATATATATTGATAAGTATGCTAAGTAAAAAGTCTGATATTAGTTTCCAAGTAAATATGTGAGTATATATAATAAGGAGCACTAATTTAGTAAGAAGCTGTTGTCTTACTTTTTTGAGAGCTCAGACTTACTTGAGAGAACTTTAAACTGAGATGTAAAAAATATGTCAGATCTTACATAAAAAATAACATTTAAGAAGTTAGAAAAATAATAACAGACTATCTAGAAGTAAGTAGAGGGGAAAAGATAATAAAAGTAAAAACATGTGAAATAGAAAGCAAAAAAAATGTAATGGAAAGATGTATCACAGAAAATAATTTGTTTTGAAAATATTAATACCTGTGGTAAATTGTGTCAAGAAAATAGAAAAATCACACTAATAAACTGTTGTATAAATAAATCTGGGTACATTGATAGAGATTTATTGGATTGTAAAAATATCAAAGTTATATACATAACAGCTTAATGCCAACATTTGAAAACTTAGTTGAAAGGGACAAATAACTAGACAAATACAAATATTACTCTCAAAATATAGGAATCACAAATTTAAATCTTTTTCAAGAAATTAAACCAATGTTGAAAAATATTCACAAAATGCAAATGCAAGATCCAAATAGTGCTGCAGTTGTGTTCTCCTCTTCAAATAACAGGTTATTTAAATAATATAAAAATTCTTCTAGAGTGATAAAAAGGGGATACACATCTCAACTCATTCTGTGAGGCCAGATGAATCTTGGTATCAACACCAGATATCACTAGGGAAATTACAGGGCAATACTGCTCATAAATATAGAATAAAATTTTGGAGAATATTTGAGCAAATCAAACCCATCTGTGTATTTAAAATAAAGAGAATATGTTGTGACCAAATAAGGTTTATACCAGAAGTGCAAAACGGTTACATATTCTAAAATCTATAAAAGTCATTCTATACTAAGAGATTCATATGATATTTTATTCCGATGAATGGAGTTAAAGCCTTTTGTGAAAATCTGCAGCCAATTAGAAATTTAAAATAAAACCCTAAGTAATAGGAATAAGAGAATAACCTCATAAAGGATGTCTATCCAAAACACAGTCAACATTATTTCTACTGGTAATCATTAAGCATTATATTTATGAACAGGAACAGGATAGGGAACTCAATATAGGCTATTCTATTTAACATTATCATGTATATCCCAGTCACCAAAATAACACACACACAAAGGACATCATGCAAGGACAAAAAAGATGTACTGAAATTATTACTATTTAAAGAAGCTACAACTTCTACAACTAAAACTGCAAAAACCTTATTTTATTATTAGAATTAATAAGAATTTGCATTTCTCTACTCCAAAAATAGGTAAAAATATATTCTTAAAAGTGATAATATACCAACACAGTAAATAAGTTTAAGGCATCTAGAAATGAATCTAGCAATAAATCTTACAAGATATATGACACAAAGAAAATTCAAAAAATTACTGCAAGATGCTATCAAAATCATTATTATAAAGGCATTATTTCTCTAGAAATTAACTCAGAGACTTAATAGAATTTTAATCAAAATCCCAGCAGGATTTTTGAGAAAATTGACAATATAATTTTAAATTTCATATGTAGATAAAGGGACTAAGAATGGCAAAGTCACCCCTAAAAGAAGAAATTTCCTCTCAGTTATTAAGACATTTATGAAACTATAGTAATTAAGTCAATGTGACATTAACCCAGAGATAAACTGCATTGACCAATGGGACACAAAGGTAGCTGACAAAAAGGCCACATATGGAAACTTGCTATATGGCCAAAGTCGCATCAGTTTCACTGGGGAAGAAGTGGTCTATGCAATAAATGGTGTTGGATAACTTCCCATCTCAGAGGTCATTTTGAAATTGCATCTTCACAAATGAATACACAAAATGTCAATTCCAGAAGGATGAAGGATTCAAATGTTAAAGTATACTTAAGGCCAATGTAGAATACTCTGATGCATTTGTTTTCCCAGGAGACACAAAATATACTATCTCTCCTCGAAAAGGCTGATCACCTGAATAAACTAAAATTAAAAAAACAGTTTATTGAATAAATTGTCTAGAAAATAAAAAGACAAGTCACTAACTGGAAGAAAGTATTTGAAAAAGGAATTACTTTTCAGAATATACTCACAAGACTCAATAGGCAAAACACAAAAACTTAGTATATACATGGACAAAAGACATTTATAGGTATTTTAAAGAAACAAAACCTTTTTATTTAATTTATATTTCTACATAAATTAAATATTTTTATAAATCAAAACCCAAATACCCTTGTTAATATAGTGGAAATTCATATTTGCACCATAATATGATACAAATATGTAGACAAAAAATAAGATACCTGACTATATCAAATTGTGGTAAAAATATGGGTCAACAGGGATTTATACATTTTAGTGAGATGGAAAATTGCTAAAAACCATCCTGCTAAACAATGTGTTTATCTTTTAAAATATGAACATTAAAACTTAGACATTCCACTTCCAAGCATACACATATTTGTCAGGAAAATTATGCTTAAATTTGTTCATAGCAACAATCATTCATAATAGCAAAAACTAGACACAACAAAAGTGTCTCTAAACCCAATAACACATAACTAAATTTGGCTATATTCATGTCATGCAGAAATTGGTATACTATGGCCCATGAGCTAAAGTTGGCCAGCCTCCTGTTTTAGTAAAAACATTTCTCTTGGAACACAACCATATCATTTATTTTCTGTATCATGTGTGGATGATTTTCCTGTATGACAGCAGAGTTAGTTAATTGCGACAGATTATATGCACCACAGACTCAAGCATGTTAACTATCTCTCCATGAACAGAAAAACTTGCTGATCTCTGGCCTAATGGAATATTATGTAGAAACAAAAATAAAATAATCATGAAATAGCATGAATGAATCTCAGTGATGTAATGATAGCTAGAGAATGATACTACGTTTTAATAAAGCTCTAACGTATATGGCAAACATAAGATATATATATATTTTAGGAATACCTAAGTATATCATAAACATATTTTAAAATGCAAAAAAAGAATTAATGGACAAAAGTTTTGGTGATTGGTTATTTTTATTATGGTAAGAGACAGCTGGACAGATTAGATAACTTTCAATATTATAATTCCTGTTGGATAGCAAGTTCAAAAGTGTTTATGTTTTACATTTATATCTTACATAGTCATTATATTGATTGCTTTGTGTGGCTCAGTTATCATATTTTTCATACCAATATAAAAGTAGTCCTACTAAAAGTGAGAAGGATATGCGCATATCAGTGGGTCTATGAGAAGATTCTCATAGAAAATTATCAAGTGAAAACAGAAAGTTACAAATATCTAAGAAAAGAAAAGAGAAAGATGAATTCAAAAGAGTAAGCCTAGCTGGGCCCAGTGGCTCATGCCTATAATCCCAGTACTTTGGGAGGCCACGGTGGGTGGATCACCTGAGGTCAGGAGTTCAAGACCAGCCTGACCAACATGGAGAAACCCCAACTCTACAAAAAATACAAAATTAGCTGGGCGTGGTGGAGCATGCCTGTAATCCCAGCTATTTGGGAGGCTGAGGCAGGAGAATTGCTTGAACCCAGGAGACGGAGGTTTTGGTGAGCCGAGATCATGCCATTGCACTTCAGCCTGGGCAACAAGAGTGAAAAAAAAAAAAAAAAAAAGAGTAAGCTATGTGTATGTATGTATTTACATATGTTATTACTGTCATTATTATTCACAACTCTAATATATTTTAACAGCAATATGTAGTAGTGGTTTGAATAGGGTCAGAATATACTTACAAGACTCACAGAATATATGGATTTGAATTATAGATCACAACTTCCTAGTTCTTTAATCTTGGGCAAATTAGTGTATTTATAAAATGAAGCTAATAAAGTACTTAATGGATTTATTGAAAGAATCAGTGGAGATAAGGCTTTCTGAAAACATAGAACAGCATTAATAAGAGCTTATTTTTTCATTTTTAATATATATGATCTGGAAACATTATGTTTGCATTTAAGACAACCTGAAATTATTATAATTTAAATAAATATATAGTAAGTTGGGAAGCACGCTCTAAAGTGCATAAACTCTAAAGTGGTATCTACTGGTTTAAACATTTTTGAGAAAAGTGTGAAAATGGTAAAATGAACTTGGCCATTTGTTTGACTCCAGTTGGATTTTTCTTAGTTATACATGAATTTACTTATTTTTTTAAAGTCTGAGCACTTTGGAATTAGGAAGAACATGACAATATTCTGAATTATTTTGTATTTCGGTTACTACAAAATGATGTATACACATCATTGAGAGTGATCTTGCTACATTCAGAATCTCCATAGTCCCTTTCATGTTTAACACGTCTAGCTTCTCACAATTTAGCTCGATCACCTGGAATGCTATTCCATCACACACTTTCAACACTGGTTCTGTTTGGTCATATGAATGTTAATCAAAGCCCACCAAGTCAAACAGTTGTAGGCCAGACTACCCAAAGTAAATAGTTAATAAAAGATATATTACATAAATGAGGAAAGAAACTAAGTTTCTATACTTTAAAATTAAATATTTTTAAGATGTTAATCTCTTTACCTTAACATATACATTCTACTTAATGTCCTAAATAAGTTTTATAGAATTTCAAAACGTTATTTCAAATTTTGTTTTACTTTTTAATCTGGAAATTCTAAAGTATTATAATGCTATGTCTTGTATTATTTCATAATATTTTAATAGCATACAATTACAAATTGTTTTATGTATTTCTTTATCTTTTGTCTAATTTGCTAATGAAATGTGTGTCTTCTTGGCTGTTTTTTTTTTTTTTTTTCTTTTTGGTGAATTAGTTACTCCTGAGCTGCTTTTTATATCTATATTTATTGGCTATTTAAATTTTTTCATATGTGTATGTTCCTTATGTTTCAATTAAGGGTGTTTTTATTTTTTAAGACATTTCTTGAATTCATTAATGAGTAAGTAGAAAAGCCTTTATGTATTACATTATCTGGTCATGCGTTGGCAACAAATATGAATTATAGCCATGTTTTTATAGCTTAACATTTGTTTCTGATGTGTGAAAGTTATATATAACCAAATCTATTACTTTTTCTATTTATGGTTTCTTCCTGTTTGATCAACACTCGGATGCCTTCTCAATCTAAAACTGAAGAAATATTACCATGTATTTTGTTCATAGTCATTTATGGTTGAATTTTTTTTACCTAGATATTTAACTGATCTGTTGTAACATTAAGAACTCTTTGTAGACTCTAAGAATTTTTGTTAATCTGCTTGTACTGGTCATTTCTGATATAAAACAAAGATTTTATATATATATATTACATTATACATATAAATGTAATATATATATATGTAAGTGTGTGTGTAATAGTCTTGTAATTGACCATGATGATGAAACTATGAAAATATTTCTAAATATATTTTTACTATTTTCTTGGTTTTTTCTATTTTTCCCTGTTTGATATTTGGAAATAAAAAACATTTTAAAATAGTGGTATTTGTGACCTCTCAATTATAGAAAAACCCATATTTATGCCTCATATTTATTATATTGGTTAAATTGTCTAGAACAATATTAAAACAATTCTGGCCTTATTCCTAACTTCAGGCAAAACAGCTCTAGTGTTTCCCTACTAGTTGTGGTATAGGCTGATGGCTTAAATACACACACAGACACACACACACACACACACACACACACACATATATATGTTAATACTTACATATAATTTACTATAATACATATAACGATACTAATATGTATAGTTATGCATTATATGTATTATAAATTATGGTTTATATTTCTTCTATTATACTGTTTTGTCATTGGTTACTACTAGAATGTTTAACTTAACTGAATATAAATTTTTATTTCACTAATTGTATTTTCGTAAGCTTCTACACTGAGATGATATAATTTCAGATAAAGAATACCTATTTTACCTTTAAGTTAGGCTTGTTGTAACCTTTTAAGAACCCTATAGGTTCTAATGACCTTGTTCAGAAAACAACTCTCCTAAACATTTCTCATTTTATAGATAAAGAAACCAAGTCCTAGTAAAGTTAAGCAATTTGTCTACAGTTGACACAGCAGAATTGGAAAGATATGCATCTGATTTAATTCTTTCATCCTTTCCATGTGGGATATAGATATGACTGTAATTATTTTACCCTCATTTTATGCTTTACTAAGAGGAAACTTACAGTAGTTAGCTGATGTGTCAAGGAGTTTGAATTGAGACATGGCTGAAACCCATGTTTCTAGAATGGTACTCTGATGATGTTTCCAGTTTCTGTAGCACAGAACAGGCAGATTGACTGAGGGAGGTGTTCTTTCTTATCCTGATGTTTGAAACTAAGCATATGACACTTGCCACTTTCTTCTAATCAAGTGTGTAAGAAGAATGAAACACCTGTAAGCATCATTTCTTTGAACTGACTACCACCTTTGCAGTCTGCAATACGAGCTCCCTTTGCCCTGTAGGGAAATGTCAAGAATACATAGCCGTTTTCAGGTTCCTGTCATCTGTGTTATCCAGTAACTGAGGCATTGTCATCTCATCAGCAATGTCGATTCCTCTTTTTCTAACAACATTATAATTGTCGCTTTCCTGACAGACATCTTAGGAAATTCACATACTTGCCAAATTTTAGACAGAACTACTTTAAAACCTCAGTGTTGCAAAGAAGACTCATTCTAAAACAGAGAAGTGGACAAAATGCCCTTCATATGTCTTAATAACAGCTGTTTGGAATAGTTGTGTGTCTTGAGAAAACCATGGAGCCTGGTAGAGGGAGGATCCAAAAGTGCTAAAAGTAGACTCCTTCCTTTGGATCAGGAAGGCTCTCCTGTTACTGTTTCAGCAGCCAGACAGGCATTTTAAATCAAAACTGAGGCATATGACCTAGATTACTTCAACTAATATTTATTTGACATAATTTGAATATGTCTTACTCATGTTGTCACACAGAAATAAATCCATTCAACAACCATATATTTCTAGTATTTTATTTATTGTCCATATGAGTCTGGGTCCAACAGATAATGACATGCTCAAAGAAGAAAATTAATAATTGTTTAATCGAAGGATCAATTACATAAGTAGGGCTAGATTTAAGAAAACCCACATGAGATAGCAAAGGAATCCAGAGCATTTATACCAATAGGCCTGAAAATTACCAGCATCCCACAAGACCTAGACCTGCAAAGGGTACATCCTAGAGAAAACAGCAGCAGCATCAGTCTTCAGTCTGGCACAGAGAAAAACAATTACTCTCCTGCTGGTGCCTCCTATTCACTGAACTCAACTGAAAGTCAGAAGGCAAAGTTTATTGATTGATTGATTTCATAAATGTCAATCTCCAGAGGCACAGATTAGAGTGGAGGAATATGGGAAGTAGAATGAGCAGGTAAGTGAATAACCCCAGCACATCCTCATCTCACAAAGGAGGTGTATTAGTCCATTCTCACATTGTTATAAAGAAATACCTGAGACCGGGTAATTTATAAAGAAAAGAGGATTATTTGGCTCATGGTTCCACAGGCTGTACAGGACGCATGGCAGCATCTGCTTCTGGGGAGGCCTCAGGAAACTTACAATTATGGCTGAAGGTGAAGGAGAAGCAGGCACATCTTACATGGCGGGAGCAGGAGGGAGGGAGAGAGGGTGGAGATGCTATACACTTTTAAACAACCAGATCTCACAACTGACTCGCTCACTATCAGGAGAACAGCACCAAGGGGATCATGCTAACCCATTCATGAGAACTCTGTTCCATGATCCAATTACCTCTCACTAGGCCTCACCTCCAACATTAGGGATTACAATTTGACAGGAGATTTGGTGGGGACACAGATCAAAACCATATTAGGAGGTGAATGAATTCTTAGAGTGTAAATAAGTTGTCTAGCATGAAAGGACATGTAGTTGCTGAGCTAGGATTGAATTCATGATTGTCCAACGTCAAGCTCTGTGTTCTTGCTCTTATCCCACTTCCTGTTGAAAAGAAATTTATTCACTACACCTTTCCTTCTTGGTAACACAGAATTTTATTTTAGCTGAACTCAAAAGAGTGCAAAAGCCCATCTCAGAGTGATAAATGCTTATTTTAGCACTACAACATAAGGTTGCCCTCTTTCTCCTTCAACCAATCAGTTCTTCAACCAATCAGTGTATTTCTCAAATACACATACACTTCCATACACTCATACTGAAGTATGCATGAAAAAAGGTTTCTCATGTCTAATACTTAATGTATTCTTGAAATGCATAGTTAAATTATTTAAAAAATTAAATAGAATAAGTGTTGTAATAAAGTAATCAACTACATGGGAAAATGGGTAAAAATCCTCTTATAAAGTATTTCACAATAAAATATTCTCCATTTAAATATTCTCCCAGAGGGCTATTGTAAATTTTTTAAACTAGCATTCAACAATTCTTTTCTATTTGCAAACAAATAATTATAGAAATTTATATAATGAGTCATTATTTAATACTGTAAAATAAAAATTTAAGACATTTTTCTTATTGGAGATTGGATCTTGATGTTTGATATAATTCTAAGTACTGAATTGTACCTTGCTTTTATAGGATAATTTTGCAGCAATATATTCCATGGAAAGAGCCAATAGAAACTTTTCAAAAACACAGAGGGTTTTTATATCTGAGTAGCCTTCCAAAAATAAAAATATAGAAGTGCTGCTTTGCAAAGTGCCATCCATAACTTTTGTTTGTACAATGAGACTTTGAAGATAAGCAAATGCTTGAATTTGATGCTGGAGCCTTAGGTCGGTCCTCAAGATGAGGATAAAATACAGAGCAGCAGCCTCCTGGCACATAGGTTGCCAAGAGTTCAGTAGCCTTCAACCCTGGGATAACAGTGAGGTTAATAGTCACTGGCAAATCAACCACTTTAGCAGCACTAGAGAACTTATTAGGATAAGCTTTTATTGTTTCAGGTTGGACTTCAGTTGTCAAGTGGGGTATTTAGGTACTATCAAAACTGTGCTAACAGGGCACTGTTATTCTACTGACCTCCCTCTGGAAACACCTGAACCCTTTGATTTGTGGCAGGAAAAATGTCACAATGACAATAAACTTTGGGCATTATCATCGAGTATCTAATCAATAAATGCATTTCTAAATTATTGACTACCTTTGATGTTTCTGACTCAATATAGCCTTCCAATAACATTTTCTGTCTCTCAAAAACCCATAGACAATTTAACTATATACCCCAAATACTATATGTAGTGTTTATGTGTCTTGAATACAAAACACACAAGACAAAGAGTGTCTTTGCACACACGAATTATTTAGCTTCCGGCGCCTTTCTAACCAAACATGGCCATAAGAAGGCAGCAGAGATAGGTAATATGAAGTTGTTTAACTTACAAATTTCTCTCATGAATATTAATCACAAGTTCTTGGAATTAGAATTTCTTGACTCTCAGTGATAGTAGTGAAGCTTCTGGAAGAGTCTCCATTCTAAAGAAGTGAACAAACAAAGCTAGATGAGAATCAGCTTCATGTTTTAAAGTCAATGAATAATATTGCATGAGTGGGAAGTGGGAACCCTTAAGTCTTAAGTGACAGATGCCATTTCCTACCTTATGAATGGAGGAAACTCATATGTCCAGTTATCCTCATTCTATTCACCTAATTAGACCACCTGTTGGAATTCTCAGGCATCTAGAGAAATAAAAAAGTTTCATACTTGAAGGAAATAATTCAGACATCAAGATGCAATAAGTAGCAAGCCCATATAAATACTTGTTCTCATAGTGCCCGGTTGTGAATATAAATTATTCTCTTAAACTCAGTTTGGCCCATCAATGCATTGAGCCACTCTAGCAGTGTTATATGCACTTACAGCACTAAGCTCCTGAATGAAAGAATTAATAACTGTACCTAAAATCACAAGAAGCTTGTGGAAAAAGTCATAATTACGGGCACTGGAACAGGCCCAGGTTAAACTTCTTTTTTCAGAGTAATGATTAATAATGCCCTCTTTCACTCTTAAGAGTTCAGTTTGGATGACAAATCACAAGGCCGCCATAATTATAAGATGACTTGGAGATGTCTTTTTTATTTTGTATTATATTTTTAAAAAGGAACTGAATTTTAGAAAGTTGGATTTGTTGCAGTTTTAGATTTCATTATGTGCAATAGTATTCCATATGCCCATTATATGTATATACTATGCATAACTTTTAAAAATTAGTATGAGAATTTTAGATGTGCTCTCATTATTTTCATAATGATATGATACATTTGACATTTCTCAAGCTTTTTTTTGAAATCAATCATGCTCAGAATCTAAACCATAGCGATAAAATGAAAAGAAAAGAAAACATAAGAGATAATGAAATATCTGTATTTTTCCTGCTGTGTTTTGCCAAACACTCCATTTGACCAGTGAGCCAAAGTGCACTGTAACTGATGAACTGCAAATGTATTCAATATATTTCTGGTAAAATCTGAGTCAGCAAGAAGAGCCTACTGGAGTGCAAAAATTAGCATGACATAATGCCGAGTACATTCTCTCACAAGTTAAAGATATGGATAACAAAAGTTAATCCATGATTTCCTAGAATTAATAAATTAGATAAACCTATTTTAGCTTTAATAAGTTTGCAACACAAAGATCATTTACTTGAAGTAACACATAATTAAGTTCTTGGAAATTATAATTTCCTGTATTTTTCCAGGACACATATTCTTGATGTTGGCAGGTTTTTAAAGTATGTTCTCTGAGCCAAAAACATAATGTAGTTCCTCAAGTAATATATCATTTTTTTTAACATTAATTTTAGAATTACAAACCTGCTCTTTACTGCTACTGGCTAAAAATCTAATTGCCTAAAAGGATTTAATTTAAAACATGAACTAGTTTTTTTTTTCTTTAAGAATCTCATGTAAACACATTTTTAGTCCTCCAGAGCTAACAAGTACGTGTGTATGTGTGTGTGTATCTGTATGTGTGTAATATGACATTTAAAAAGTGACTTCTGATTATTGTAAAAGCCAAGAAATACATTTCCAAATACAGTAATTTTTATCATAAATGCCAGCTGAATCTTCTTTTACTGGATTTAAAGCAAAGTCATTTCAATAAACATGGCTTTTTAAAAATTCAAATGATAGGATCAAGACTTTTATGAATGTTGTTTTAAAAACCTAGCTGATTTTATTCAAAATTATTTTAAAGAATTTGAATTTTCCACTTTTAATCATAACCTTAAATCTCTTTTTTTACAAATTGCACAAAGTGACTTTGGAATGTTACTTTTATAGAATAAAATAAGTTGATGAAATCAAAGACTATCAAAGAAATTACTAAGTAGCCAGCAGGAGAATATTTTAGAAGTACAAAAGAAAAATATATATTGAACATGTGAAGTAAAAATCAGAGCTGGAGAATTTGAAAAAGCAATTAGTAAGCCTTGATTATTCACAGAAATTATTATTTAAAGAAAAGATAACTTGTGTTCCCTCCTTTAGAGCTTTGCTAAAATTATGTAAAAGTGGCTGACATCTTGCTGCATCTTGTTTATTTAATTGATAGGGGCTATATACACACACATAGATACACACACACTGACATGAATATGTACTCACATATATATAAACTTTCCCCATTACAGCAGAGTTCCATGCAGAAAGACTGCAGTAAATTATAATTTCCAAGAACTTAATTATGTGTTACTTCAAGTAAATGATCTTTGTGTTGCAAACTTATTAAAGCTAAAATAGGTTTATCTAATTTATTAATTCTAGGAAATCATGGATTAACTTTTGTTATCCATATCTTTAACTTGTGAGAGAATGTACTCGGCATTATGTCATGCTAATTTTTGCACTCCAGTAGGCTCTTCTTGCTGACTCAGATTTTACCAGAAATATATTGAATACATTTGCAGTTCATCAGTTACAGTGCACTTTGGCTCACTGGTCAAATGGAGTGTTTGGCAAAACACAAGGAAGCCAAAGAATGCATGCAACTCATAGTGCATGATAAGCATAAAAATCATTGCTTAATGTAAATATAAAATAATTTAGTAAACATGCCAAGTAAGGTCTACATTTATAGATTTTGGTGGAGCTTGGATGATACAGAAAAATAATCCCTTAAAATTTTGTGATGTTTGATTTTTCATTTAAATGGGGAACATATAAATCTAGAATGTAAATTGAACCGGTGATAATAGAAACTTCTATAAGCAATTGAATTTACCATCAATAACAATATATTAAATATGTTATCACAAAGCCTCTACATTATCTTTTTGACTCCTCTAAGTCATGGAGGGATGGCTTTGTGAATTATTTTTAAAGGACTTGGTAAAGTGTCCACATAAATACAACAACTGCTGGATATCATATAATACTAAGATAATGTAAAATTTTTAGACTTAATAATTAAAATTAAATTATATAAAAGTCATATTAAAACATACATAGTTAAATAATAATGAATAAAACATAAAGTTTCTTCTCCCTTGGCTTTGTCTCAAACTAATCCAGGAAGAGGGAGAAGAAGTAGATGGGAATGCAGATAAAATGAGACTGGCCCTGAGTTAAACCACTTAAAGTTGTGTAATGGATTTATTAAGTTTTGTTGGACTAATCTCTGCTTTGTTTGTGAAATTTTTTATAATAAAGAGGTTCCCACAATAAAGACATATATTATCTCATCTATATATATGAAAAAATAAGTCAATTCAAAGGCAGGAGGGAAAGGTTGTACGATGCGCACATATCGCACGTCATGTTTTTTGGTTTTCAGGATATAATAAACACTTTCAATGTAGATTAAGTGTATGAGCAACTTTAAGGTTGTTGTCACCAGAAGTCTTCAATAACCTGCAAAACATGCTCCATATTCCTTTAAAACCTTCAGCCTTCTTTTTATGTCTTCTCTTACCTTTTCATCCATATGTGTTCATAAAGGCTTTTGACTGCCATAGCATTAACTACATGACTCTCCTTATCATACATGAGGTTCTGTCCATTTTTCTCTCTTCTAGTTTCTTCCTCTATTTCTCTTTCCATTTCCTGAATCTAAACTTTTTCTTAGAAATTAAAATTGATTAAAGTACAATCAGATATATTCAGTTTATCTCAGGTGACAGGAGTTTAATATAAAAAGCAAAAAAGAAAAATATCTGTAAAATTCTTATCATTTCTGTAATTCAGGATGATGAAAAAAATGTAATTTATTTTACTCAGGATGCAATTGTAGCTTCATTTGTTAGCTTCATTTTGTTTATTTATATTAATTCCCCTAAAGCACGTGAAAATACTATAAAACAGCAAGCCAAGAAAAGTGGCAAAATGCTTATTAGAAGATTTTTTTTTTAAGTGAACAAGACTTGAAAACTGTAGGTGGTAATAGACATAGCAAACCTTCAAATAGTCTTATAAACACTTTTAAACAGAAAAAGACACATAAAAACATGCCCCATTGTTTCATATATTTTAAACACATCCCTTTATTCTTGCATTGAACAGCAAAATTCATGAAATAAGTGCAAATGGTCAAACATTCCTGGACCAGAGAAAAATTGAGAAGGCAACTTTTCAAAGGACTAATATTATAAAGACTTTTCCACAATCTGTAACCACCACCTAAGGAAACACCTCCTCCAACAGACTGGAATTCTAAAAATGGTAGCATGAATAAGTAAAGCAATATCCCTCTGAATAAAACAATTATAAAATTGCATATAACTGCCAGAAAGCAACGAGTTTAGTGTCCTTGGATTGGATCAAAGTCAGATAAATTGAGAAGCATTTGCTGTTGTTTTTTTTTTTTTAAAAAAAAGGCTACAGCTTTGAGGAAAATATTGAGAGTTTGCCTTCCTCTCATGTACCTCCTTGGCATGGTCAGCCAAAATTACAGCTCTCCTAGACTAGAGTCTGTGATAGGGAGATGGGAGTGTGGCCAACTAAAAGTGGTGATCTTGGCTCAAAATCAACAGAGAAAATAAAAAGTTTTATTAGTTCAAGTTTGTATTCCAGTTCACGAGGCAAAGCATATTAACCAAAAATTTAACAGCTAGACTGTAAAGTTAGATGTAAAGGTCTGAAATAAACTCTCCTCATATGCTTAGATTACTACTGAAATCCGCATGCATGAAAAAAATAGGAGAATGTATTGTGAAAAAAATTTTAAAAAGAAAAAACTGAATACTGGCTACAATTAAAAGGGTTTTTTTCAGTGGATCCACAACTTGATCAATACTGGTTAAAAACCTCATGGGTTTGAAGTGTATGAATACAACCACTGCCAAAATCATTAGGTGATTATAAGGTTATTCAATTTACATAAAATTCATAGAAAAAAAAAAAAAAACAACTCGCTGGCCGGGCGCAGTGGCTCACGCCTGTAATCCCAGCACTTTGGGAGGCCGAGGTGGGTGGATCACGGGGTCAAGAGATCGAGACCATCCTGGCTAACACGATGAAACCCCGTCTCTACTAAAAATACAAAAAATTAGCCGGGCGTGGTGGCGGGCGCCTGCAGTCCCAGCTACGCGGGAGGCTGAGACAGAAGAATGGCGTGAACTCGGGAGGTGGAGCTTGCAGTGAGCCGAGATCGCGCCACTGCACTCCAGCCTGGGCAACAGAGCGAGCCTCCGTCTCAAAAAAAAAACAACCAAAAAAAAAAAACTAGCCAAGTGCGGTGGCTCATGCCTCTAATCCCAGCACTTTGGGAGACTGAGGCGGACGGATCACGAGGTCAGGCAATCGAGACCATCCTGGCTAACACAGTGAAGCCCCATCTCTACTAAAAATAAAAATTAGCTGGGCGTGGTGGCACTCACCTGTACTCCCAGCTACTTGGGAGGCTGAGGTAGGAGAATCGCTTGAACCCGGGTGGTGGGGGTTGCAATAAGCCGAGACAGTGCCACTGCACTCCAGCCTGGCGACAGAGCAAGACTCCGTCTCAAAAAAAAAAAAAAAAAGAAAAAAAAAAAGAAAAAAAAAAAAAAGAAAGAAAATAAAAAAATATAGAGACCAGATAGTTCTTTCAAGGTGTCAGGGGTGAGAAGGAGATTGACTGCAAAGGAGCACGACGACACTTTCTAGAATGCCAGAGATATTATAACATGAAATGACCGTGGTTGCAAGATTGTAAAATCTTAAGAGTTATCAGACTGCATACACTTAAAATAGGTGGATATTATGGTATGTAAAATATAGTACAGCTTTTTAAAAATAATAACTAATTACTAATTTAGGGGTCAGAAACTAGCAGCAAAAACATGTGGTTGGTCACAATATTTTGATAGGTGATGTGTAAGTAACAAAATACAGGGTTCAGTATACCCATACATATGTTCACATCAACATTTCTCAGTGGGAAAGTATTTATTTTACACAACAAAAGTTATGAAAGTATAAGAGGTGTCCCATATCATATTTTAGCCACTCAGTTCATATTTATTGAGTAAAATCTATTAGTTAGATACTGTATTAAGCATTTGGCATGTTTTATTTAATCTGTCATGGAGCCATCACTATCATTTCCTTCATTTTTATGGATGAAGAACTGAGATAAGACTGCTTAAGTAAACTATTGTAGGTTAATCAACTGGTGAGTGGAAAAGAGGAATTGATACCCTGATCCACCCAGCTCCATATTCTTTACCACTAACCATGCTACCATACTGCTCTTTGATACTTTGAGAGTTTACTGGCTTAACAAAAATGATATATGTAATTAGTAGAAGTTTAATTGCTAGATATAGCAATCTCTAAAGCACATCTCTAAATCAACACATCAATCACATCTCTGAAGCAACAAATGATATAGTTAGAAAGAAAGAATGTGGATTTTCAGTTAAACTGCTAATAAACTTGGAAAAGAATGGAATTTTTTTCTGTCCTTAGAAGACAGCGAATGACCTCAGGCTTCTACTTTTCCCAAACTGAAGAATCCCAGACTCTCAGTTAAAATACCATATTTACTTGCAGGATGTTCATTCTGTCTAAAGCAAGGATGTGATAATGATGCAAGTTTGAACTTAGCCTAAAACTAGTTATAAATTTAAAGGTAATATTTTTCCCTATTGTCTCTATCAAGTTTTTTTTTACATATCAAATTCTTTGCTGAGACAATTAAAAGTCTTTGATGTAATCTTTACAATAATAAGTCAGATTTCAAATTAGTAACTTACAGCAAGACTTTCTGTTTTCAGAGGTATGGAGAAAATGGTTACAAAAAGTTTCTAAACTAGTCTGTCAAATTTCCAATTATGGTCTAGATCTTATGGCCAGAACCACTGATTCCACAAACAGGCTGGGTAGAATGGCATGAGACAAGTAAATGCTAGTCCAAAAATTTGTTGGTGGTGGGTGCTGTTTGTTTATTTTTAAGCACAAACTCGCTTAAGGGAAACTCACAGACTTCAGTAACTGTTATTTGGTTGAGGAAAGAGCAACATGGATACATTTCCCACTCCCTCCTGGGTATTTCCTAGTATCTTGTATCTAAAGCACATTTTGTTTCTAGAGAATGTGCTAGACATTTTTCCTTTGCCCCTTCTGAACCACTCTCACTGTTTTCCACCTTGCTTTAATCCTAGTTCACTATGCATTGTGACAGTGGGTCTCATTTCAATGTAGGTTCTGTTCTGCTTAGCAGATGGGAATTACCTGCAGAGATCATAGGGTGGGAGGACAGTGTCAGGTTGCTAAGGATTGACTGTGCCCCTTGGAGGCCACAGCTTATTCCTCATATAGCTGCCCTATTTAGGTTTGGGTCCCTACAAATCCAACTTTGCTCTGTCCCTTCATATCTAGACATAGTAATCACCACTCCCTGCACTGTGACTGGCTGCTAGGGGTAGCACTATTAGTTATTGGTTTCTTTGGATCATTTCCAAAAATGTGTATATAGTCCTCTTATTAATCTTCTTAAGTTGGGTTAAATGTGGTAGACTTGCTGCAGAAATCTTGAATATTGTTGATAGTTATCTCTATTTTTTTTTTTTGAGATGAAGTTTCGCCCTTGTCTCTCAGGCTGGAGTGTAGTGGCGCAATCTCGGCTCAGTGCAACTTCTGCCTCCTGAGTTCAAGTGATTCTCCTGCCTCAGCCTCTTAAGTAGTTGGGATTACAGGGACACACCACCAGGCCTGGATAATTTTTGTATTTGTAGTAGAGACGGGGTTTCACCATGTTGGTCAGGCTGGTCTCGAACTCCTGACCTCAGGTGATCTGCCCACCTCCGCATCCCAAAGTGCTGGGATTACAGGTGTGAACCACCGCCCCCGGCCAATAGTTACATTATATCTAAACGGCTATTATAAATTCCTACTTGGTGCCCCTACGACCTATCTCTCAACTCCCTCAATAATTAGGCATATTGTCGCCAGACTAATGACTGTGCCACTTTCCTATTATTTTTGTTTGTTTTTAAACTTATGTATTACAACTTTCAAAACATTTACTGAGTTTTTTTTGTCTCTATGATAATATATCAAAATACTTTCCAATTCCCCTTTTCATTCCTATTCAATATCAGTCCTCAACTGCTGGCCATACTGGTATAGCAACTGCTCCAAAATTTTCAATTCAATTATTTAACTCTGTTTAACTTAAGTCATCCCACATTTCCTGAGCACTACTAAGTTCCAAAAGTAAGATATACTTCTTGTGCTCTAGGTGAAGAGTTTTAGAGGTTTAAGAGGTTGAACATATACAATATGATAGAAGACTAAGTTTCAAAAGGTACCACAGGTCATTCAATAAACTTCTGGAGAATACATAAATACATATTGTAAAGGTTTACTTTATTTGATAAAGATAATCCAAGGGCAAGGGGAATAGACTCCAAAAATTCGCTTCTTGGGGAACCTAACCAAAAACATGTAAAAAGGTGTAAATATATTTCTTACCAGTGTATTGGTCTCATGCCCCCAGTATACTTTGTAGTCAAATTCATCTTTTCTTCAAATTGCCCTCTGGCAATAATAATAAAAAAATGAATAGCCACACTAGTTCATTAGTGTCATTCATCCATCCATCCATCCATCCATCCATCCATCCATCCATCCATCCAGGACAAGGCTTTCTCCCCAACACTAACACTAAGTTTATTAAACTTTTTCAGGTTGAAAAAGTCAAAAATACGCTTGGGTGAACTTAAGTCAGGAACCCTTACAATGATGCCTGTAAAGAGCTACACCCCTCTCTTGGCTGTTGCAGGACTTTTCCTTAGTTCAGCTAAAGACAGGGTTGTTGTCCCACGGCCATGAAAATTCAGGCTCGCAGACAATTTGAATGGTAAGACAAGGTTTTATTGGGTGAAAAGGAGGAAACAGGGACTCTCCACAAAGCCAGAATTCCTGCTAAGAGTACTTCCAGCCTCACAGCTTGAATCCCAGGTTCCACAGGGATAGAAGACAGGCCAGGCTCCTCCCTGCTGCGAACGACGCGAACTTCTGTGGCTCCACCCCAGTGCTTATTCTCAGTGTGCAGGCCAGGTGGAGTTTTGCCAGGGACCCCCTCCCACCTGGCTATCTCGTCGCCATCAAGAATCTCTATACTTACGATGGGGAATGATCTCTACACTTTCACAAATTTTCAGTTCAAGCTTAAAGACAAGCAACAAAAATTAGCATAATTATTTTCTGGGTTGTCTGGCTTACTACTATATTAATAGGCAATTAGTGTGTAACAGACAATAATGCCATAATAATTCAGTGGCATTCAAAACTAAGCGTATAATTCTTATATGTCTGTGGGTAGGCTAAAGCAAATTTGTTCCACCTGTGTTAACTCTGGGTTCCAAGGTGAAGGAGCAGCTGCTGATCAATGCAATGCAGAAACATAAGAGAGAAAGTACAATCTTAAAAGCAACTTTTAAGACCCTGCTTATGCCATCTCTGCTAACATCCCTTTGTCCAAAGCTAGTTACATGGTCAAGTTGAAAAGTAAGTGTCATAAATGTGCCTTAAACCTCAGTGAAAGTGACTGAACATTTACAAACAGGGCATGGTGAGGGAATAATTATTACTACCAATTAGTCTATCACAGCACAGTGATGGTGATGGAAACACTTTAATTCTTTTTGTTGTTGTTGTTAAATGAATGTGTTCCAGCAAATTGACAATTCAATGATAACAAGGTTTCAGTATGAAAGGTTTTGTAGATTGAATGGACAAGGGTGGTATGACTCACGAGTCATCAGGTGGCACACGCTACTGAAAGTTGTCAGACACAAAAGGATCTGTTCCAAAGAGAGGAGTTCATTATTGTCAGTCTAAAATGATTCTATCCCTGTAATTACGTACTCACAACAATTAGTACTACACAGTTGATCAGGAATAAATGTATAATGAGAAATAATTGTCTTCTTTCAGAATCTAACAATAAATACAATGGATAACCATTTAATACAGATATGAACAGCACTGGAATGGTAAACTGTTGTCAAATACAACGTGAGAACATCATAGGGTTATTCAATGAAGCCTCATTAAAATTGCCACTTAAGCATTCTACACTCTCATTTTACTAAAGATGGGGGTCAGATTTTTCTACTAAAGTACTGTTAAAATTATTAATGTATCCTGTACATATTTGTTTAAAGTATTGTTCTTTGCATTTGTGTTGTTGGAATCAAATTCATAAACAGATAAATATGGAGCCAGACGTCAGTCTAAATCTTTCTCTTAAACCAAACATTGGTGGCTTAGGTCCAATATCAGATCATCACAAGTAATATTCATTGGGTAAACTTTATATCTTCCCAGTTACTGCCAGTATAAGTTATCAATCCATAACATACTTTGACAGTTTTCCATCCTGTCCAATTTCTTTATCATTTTTTCAGCCTCTGCTCACTTGTAGTCCAGTACACGAATTCACATACTTTATGTTTTATTTATATGACAGCACACCAAGTATAGGCATCAATTTCTGAATTAATTACACAGTGCCATGGTCATGCTACATGATTACCCATCCCAAAATATGGAGGCATAAAACAATACACAATTATTCATCTTCTGATTCTACAAGTCTGTGTTTTAGCTAAGGGTAGCTTTGGATTTGATTTTAGCTTTCATTTGGGAATTGGCTACTGGATGCTGGGAATTCAAACACTTGCAAATCAACTGTCTTTTGGCTGAAGCAATTTAGTGCAGCTTCATGTTTCTCTATTTCTATCCACGAGGTTAGAATAGATGGATTCTTTTCATAGGGCGAAGATACAAGAGGGGAATATATGAGTCATCTTGAGGCCTACGTTAAGGACTACCATTGTGCCACTTTTGCCATATTCCACTGCCAGAAAAAGTCACACGGACAGCTTTCTTTAATTAAGAGGAGCAAAAACATCACATGGCAAAGAGTGTGAATAGAGGTTGTCTTAAAAAACTCATAACAGTTAACATCATCAGTCTTTCCCAGTTTTTATTGAATCAGTTTTGTTTTAAAAATAACATTCTATAAGCATAAGAAATTGTAAAGTGTTTTTTTCAATAGTCACATACTTTTGAAACAAACAATACAAATTATTCAATTAAATAATTGTTAATCTTGGGAGATTTCTTGGTCATTTCACTTATTTTTAACCTATACTGGTTCATACGCACTAATAGTTCATATACTATTCATGTTTGAGAATCCGTGCCTTTTGATTAGAGGTTGTTTTCAATACGCATTGGGAATTAGAACAAATGTAAACTCAGGCTATTCAGTTTAGAACACAGTTAAAAATGCCACAATAGTATTAATAGATGAATAGCAAATCAAGTTAAGAAGAAGGAAAACAGTGGTTGAGAGCATGGCTGCCAGATTTAGTAAGCCTGACTCCACTATCTTCCACCTCTGTGACCTTTAACAAAATATTAGACTTCTGTTTTCTTATCAATGGAGAGTATAGAGATAAAAACAGTACTTACCTTATCTGGTTGTGTTGAGAACTCAATGAAACACACACACACACACACACACACACACACACACAGAGTTTAGAACAATGCCTAGCACATATTAGGCACTATGTAAATGTAAGTTACACCTATTATTATGATAAATAGTCAGCTCTTATGTTTTTTTTTTTTGTCTTGCTTCTGCTTGGTGATTAGTAGCATATCTCTCTGGGCATTTTACTTTCCAAAAGCACTCTGAAGAGAGGAACTGGGAATAATGAATTGTGATAGCAATGGGACATTTTATAAAGCATGGAGATACGTATGAAGTGCTTAGGTCTATTTATTTTATAATGAAGGAAATTATTCTTTTTTTAATTGACATTGTATTTTTTCCAAATTAGTCTTATTATTAATAAAAATAGATACAGGCAATGAGTCTACATGTTTTCTTGTATGTACATATGATTTTCGGCCCTAAATATGTGAAATGAAATTGTATTGGGTTAATAGACTTTGCGCATATACAGATATAACACTTTATATAAATTATTCAGCAAAAAAATAAGTAAATAAATGTTACCAATCTGATGGATAAAATGTAACATAATTTACCTGAATACTACTAAGATTCATCATGTAATAAAATATTTATTGTACATTTATATTTCCCTTTTTTATATTTTATATCAAAAAACTTTTCCGTTTTTCTATTTGTTGTCCTGTCTCTCTCTCTCTCTCTCACTTCCTTGCTCTTTTTAAATGGGGTGTGGTCAGTTGCTAAGCTACATTTTCAGAAGGAGAAAACTTGCTTATTGCAGGAAGATTTTTAATTTCTCTTTATCTTGAAACCTCCAAAGCCTATAACAGTAAAATAAGATAAGCAAGAATATATGTTGTGCAAGTTACAACTACAGCATTTAGTATTATGCCAGTTGGCATAATGTTTTAATAAGGTTTTGTTCTAGTCACTTATGCATAATGACATCTTAATTCCAATGTACATGATTAAAGCAGTGTCCTAAAGGCCCTTTAGTGTATTACAAAACTTTTGTGATGCTGTTGTGAGCTGTTTTACGAACTTTATTACTTCAATATTTTTTTTAGATTATTACTCATCGTTTTTTTTTCTTTTACATTTTCTTTCTTTAAAATGTTCGTATTTGGCTGGGCATGGTGGCTTATGCCTATAATCCTAGGACTTTGGGAGGCTGAGGCAGGATTGTTTGAGCTCCTAGAGTTCAAGACCAGCCTGGGTAACATAGCAAGACCCCAGTACTATCAAAAAAAAAAAAAAAAAGAAAAAAAGAAAAAAAAAGAAAAGGAAGAAAGAAAGAAAAGAAGAAGAAGAAAAAATAAAATCTTTATATCAACAGTTTTTTTTTTTTTTTGAGACACAGTCTCACTCTGTTACCAGGCTGGAGTGCAGTGGCGCGATCTCAGCTCACTGCAACCTCTGCCTCCCGGGTTCAAGCGATTCTCCTGCCTCAGCCTCCCAAGTAGCTGGGACTACAGGCACATGCCATCACGCCCAGCTAATTTTTGTATTTTTAGTAGAGATGGGGTTTCACCATGTTGGCCAGGATGGTCTGGATCTCTTGACCTTGTGATCTGCTTGCCTCAGCCTCCCAAAGTGCTGGGATTACAGGCGTGCAACACTGTGCCTGACCAGAGATTTTTGCTTTTCTCTTTATTATCACAATACAATGATCTTAAAATGAGAAGAAAATGCATGGGAACTATTTTTGTAGCATGTACAGATTGTATTTCCTAATTTATAAATATCAACAAAGTCCTTGATACATGCTTTGGGTGGTCTATATCATTTTATATTCTTACTAAAAAGGTAACTCGTGACCACAATAATATACCAGTACATAGGTACCAGAATGGCTAAAATTAAAAGAATTACCAGTGTCAAGTGTTGGCAAGTTTGGGAAATAACTGAATGTCTGTTTCATGGCTTGTGGTACTGTCAATTGGTACAACCTCTTCAGTAAAATATGGGACTGTAACTATTAAATGTAAATATTCCCTGTGATCTGGAAATTCCATTCAAGGATATTTACCCAACAAAATACCTGTGTATGTCCACTAAAAACCATAAATAAAAATATTTATTGCAGTTTATTCACAATATCACCAAACTGAAAACAAGCTGTATTTGTTTTGTATTGGTGTGTAACAAATTACCACAGTTTTAGTGGCTTAAAACAATACTTGTTTGTTATCTCGCAATTTCTGTCGGTCAAAAGAGTGGCACTACTTAACTAGGTCCTCTGCTTATGTTATGAAAAGCAGTAATTAGGGTGTTGGCCAGGCTAAGTTTTCACCTAAGCCTCAGGATTCTCTTCAGCACTCACTTGGTTGTTGATAACATTCAGTTTCGTGCAATTATTGACGTGAGAGCTTACTTTTTCCTGCTCAGCTCATGTGGCCACCCAAAGTTTCTAGTGATTGCATGCAGTTCTTTGTCACATGGTCTTCCCAATGTGATGGTGTTGCAGGGCTGTTTACTCTCAAAAACAGTCTGTAGTCTATTTTCTTTCAAAATTTATCTGTTGAAACCATAATGATCAATGTGATGGTGTTTGGAGATGGGCCCTTCAGAGGTATTTGGGTCACAAAAGTGGATCTCTTATGATGAGATTATTTCCTCATTAAAAAAAGAGACAGGCAGAAGCTTGTTCTGCTCTCCCTGCTCTCCTCTATATGAGAATACAATGAGAAGATGTCCATTTGCAAACCAGGAAGAGAGTCTTCACCAGACACTGTAGCTACTGGCATTTTGATCTTGAATTTCCCAGCCTCCAGAACGCAGAGAAATAAATGTTTCTTGTTTAAGCCACCCAGTGTATGATAATTTGTTATAGCAGCCTGATATGGTTTGACACTGTGTCCCCACCCAAATCTTATCTTAAATTGTAATCCCCATAATTTCCATGTGTCGAGGGTGGGAACGAGTGGGAGGTGATTAGATCACGGGGGCAGTTTCCCCCATGCTGTTCTGATGATAGTGAGTGAATTCTAATGAGATCTGATGATTTTATAAGTGTTAGACTGCTCTTTCTTCACACACACTCTCTCTCTCCTGCAGCCATGTAAGACGTACCTGCTTCCCCTTCTGCCATGATTGTAAGTTTCCTGGGGCCTCCCCAGCCATGTAGAACTGTGAGTCCATTAAGCCTCTTTTCTTTATAAATAACCCAGTCTTGGATATTTTTTACAGCAGTGTGAAAATGCACTAATACATACCCTGAACTGGCTATGATGGGTGACTTAGTTTATAAAGCCAGAAAACAGAATATGCCAGCAAAATGGAGTAATATAGCACAATCAAGAAAGCCATATCTGATTATCTTTACCATATTCTGTTAGTTAAAAGTAAATATGGGGTAATTGATCTCATTATCATTATGTAATGTCCTTCTTTATTCTTGGTAATTTTCATTGCTCTGAATCCTTCTTTGTCTAGAATTAACAAAGCTACTCCAGTTTTCTTTTAGTTAGTGTTAGCATGTTACATCTTTTTTCACCCCTTCATTTAAAAAAAATTTGTAGGTACATAATAGGTGTATATATTTATGTGGATATATGAGACATTTTGATACAGGCATACAATAAATGGTAATCATACATGTCAGGAAATGAGTATCTTATCACTTCAAATATTTACCTTTTCATTGTGTTACCAACAATCCATTTATACTCTTCTAATTATTTTAATATACAACAAATTATTGTTGACTGTTGTCACCCTGTTGTGTTTTCAAATACTAAATCTTATTTATTCTATCTAGCTTTATTGTCTGTACCCATTAACTATTCCCACCCCACCCCACAATTACCCTTGCCAGCTTCTGGCAACCATCATTCTACTTTCTATCTCCATGAGATTAAATTGCTTTAATTTTTAGTTCCCCAAAATAATTGAGAACCTGTGAAGTTTTTCTTTCTGTGCCTGGCTTATTTCACTTAACATAATGTCCTCAATTTTCAATGATGTTGTTGCAAAATGACATGATCTCATTATTTTTTATGGCTGAATAGTACTCCATTGTGTATATGTACCACCTTTTCTTTATCTATTTGTTGACAAACACAGGTTGCTTCCAAATCTTGGCTACTGTGAATAGTGCTGCAAAACACATGAGAGGGCAGATATATCACTGATACACTGACACCCAGCAGTGGCATTGCTGGAGCATATGACATGTATATTTTTAGTATTTCAAGGAATGTCCAAACTGTTCCCCATAGTGGTTGTACTAATTTACACTCTCTCTAACAGTGTATGAGGTTTCCCATTTTTCCACACTCTTGGCAGTATTTGTTTTTTTCCTGTCTTTTGGATAAAAACCATTTAAACTGGGTGAAATAATGTCATTGACATTTTGATTTTCATTTCTCTGATGATCAATGATGTTGAGAAATTTTCATACACCTGTTTGCCATTTGATTGTCTTCTTTTGAAAAATATTTACTCAGATCTTTTTCCCATTTCAATTAGATTATTAGATTTTATTCCTATAGAGTTGTTTGAGCTCCTTATTTATTCCAATTATTAATTCCTTGTCAGATAGATAGTTTGCAAAGATCTTCTCCCATTCTGTGGGTTGTTTTTTCCCTTTTTGATTGTTTCTTTTGCTGGGCAAAAGCTTTTTAACTTGATGTAATCCGATTTGTCCATTTTTTCTTTGGTTGCCTGTGTTTATAAGATATACCCAAGAAATAATTTCCCAGACCAATGCCCTCAAGAGTTTTCCCAATATTTTCTTGTAGTAGTTTCATAGTTTGGCTTCTTTGATTTGTCTTTAATCCATTTTGATTTGATTTTTGTATATGGTGAGAGATAGGGTTCTAGTTTCATTCTTCTGCATATGGATATACAGTTCTTCCCAGCATCATTTATTGAAGTGATTGTCCTTTTCCCAATATATATTCTTGGAGAGTCTGTCAAAAATGAGTTCACTATAGATGTATAGATTTCTTTCTGGGCTTTCTATTCTGTTTCATTGGTCTATGTGTCTGTTTTTATGCTAGTACCCTACTGTTTTGGTTACTACAGCTCTGTAGTATGATTTGAAGTGAGGCAATGTGATTCTTCCAGTTTTGTTCTTTTTGCTTCCCCCTTCACTTTTAATCCATTTGTGTCTTTATATTTAAAGTAGGATTCTTATAGACAACATATAGTTCTGTCTTGTTGTTCTTACCTACTCTGACAGTCTGTTTTTTAATTTTATATTTAGACATTCACATTTAAAGTAACTATTGATGTAGTTGGATTAATATCTACCATGTATGTAATTATTTTCTTTGTATTATTCTTGTCCTTTCTTTATATTTTGGTTTTCATTATTTTTTAATCTTTCTTTGGTTTTAACTGGACATTGCACATAATATTATTTTCTGTTCTCTCTTATCAATTATTTTTAATTAATTTATTTTAGTGCTTGCCTTAAAATATGGAATAATAATTTAGATATTAATCCAAGTTCTCTTTAAAATAACACTATACATTATCACAGGTGAGACAAGAAGAACAAATTTCTTCCCCAATGTTCTTTTCTTTATGTAGTTTCAAGTTTCTCACCCATATTATTTTCATTCTCTTTGAATAACTTATTTTAATATTACTTATAAGGCAAGTATGCTTCATTTTTGTTTATCTAGGCACTTTTTATTTCTTCTTCATTTTTGAAGATGAATTTCACTGGATAGAAAATTATAGGTTGATAGTTTTTTTCCTTTTACTCTTTAAATATTTCACTTCATTCTGTCCTAGCTTACATAGTTTCTGAAGAGAAGTATAATATAATTCTTACATTTGTACATCTGTAGGTGTATGTCTAATATAGATTTGGATGTACCTATCAACAGAACATCAAAATGTGTGAAGCAAAATTGATAGAACTATAAGGATAAATAGATAAATTCACTCACGGTTGAAGATGTCACCATTCATTTATAAGTAATTGACAGTTCCAGCAGGCACAATGCTGAGTAAGAACATAGTTGAATTGTACAACACCAGAAATCAATTATATATCATCAAACAACAGCAGAATGCACATTCTTCTCAGGCTCACATGGAACATTCACCAAGATAGAGACCGCATTCTAGGCCATAAAGAACACCTTAGTAAATTTAAAAGAATGATCATTATACAAAGTATACTAGTCAGAAAACAATGGAATTATATTAGAAATCAAAAACAGAAATACAGCTGGAAATTCACAAATTATTTGGAGATTAACCAAGTTACTTCTAAGTAACACATGAATCAAAGAAGTCTTAAGAGAAATTAAAAATATTTTAAATAAATAAAAATAAAATACAGCATATGAAATTTTGTGAGATGAATTGAAAGCAGTAATTACTTGGAAATTTATAGTATTGCATGCACATATTAATAAAATGAAAAGATCAAAAATCTATAACTAAGATTCTGTTCTATGGAACTATAAAAAGAATAACAAATTCAAAGAATGAAGGTGGAAAGAAATAATAAAATACAGAGCAGAAATTGATGCAATTTAAAACAGGAAAGAAATTGAGAAAATCAGCAAAACGAAAAAAAAAAAAAACCCTGTTTTTGAAGAAAATGGTGAAATTGTTAAAACCTTACACAGCTATCCAAGAAAAAAGAAAGGATATTGTTAGTGACCCCAGGAGATTAAAAAGAATAAGAAAAGAAATTAATGAACAATTTTGTGCCCACAAATTTGATAACTTAGATAAAATAAAACAATTCCTTGAAAGACACAGTCTATCAAAACTCACATGGATAATCTGAATAGACAGTATTTGTTAAAGAAATTGAAAAAATACTAATAACTTTTTTAAAACAGAAATCACCATGCCCACATGGTCTCACTGGTTAATTCTACCAAACATTTAAGGTAAAATGATATCATGTATCTACCATCCATCCATTCTAGAAGTAGAAGCAGAAGGAACACTTCCTAACTCAGTTTTTTTAGGACAGCAGTACCCTAATACAAAAACCATGTTCATGGATAGGAAAATCTGAGTTTATAGGATGTCAATTCTTCCCAAATTGATGTATGGATTAAATAAAATTCTAATAAAAATTCCAGCAAGTCAGTTTGTTTATATTGACAAATTGATTCTAAAGTTAACATGGAAAGGCAAAAACTCAGAAAAATCAACACAATATTGAAGAAGAGGAACAAAGACAGAAGATAAACACTACCCTACTTCAAGTCTTGCTGTAAACTTATAGTAATTAAGACAATGTGGTATTGATGAAAGAATGGACACGTAAATTGATGGAACAAAATAGAGTCCCAAAATATTTCCACACAAATGTAATCAACTGTAAGGAGAAATAAACCCATAGAATTGTACAACACAGTGAACCCTAATGGAAAGTATGGACTTTATTTAATAATAACATATCGACATTGGTTCCTCAATTGCAATATATTTACCACACCAATGAAAGATATTAATAATACAGGAAACAGGGTGAGAGAAGAGGAATTTTATAGGAATTCTACATACTTTCTGCTTAATAGTTTTGTAAATATTGAATATTGTAAATATTATAGGCAGACTAATTTATGTATGATTGAAATTAGTGTGGTTATGCTTGTACTAGTTTACTGAGGAAATTCCGGCATTGTGGGAAATGTTCTATTATTGTCTCTTGATGATAGTTACATGGATATATATGCAGAATTTTATTGAGCTACATAGTAAAATGTGTAATTATATTGTGTGTAAATTATGCCTCAATACAAATAAATAATATATAGAGAAAAAATCAGTTACTTTCTTCAAGCTGCACACAGACAGTGTCTTGAGATTTATTCATATGAGACTATACAAATAAGCAGCAACTTGATTATTGGCTAAGAGCACATCTTCAGGCACCAAAAGTCTGAATTCAAATCCTGAATTTGAAACTTGTTAAGCTTGGATAAGTACTTTAGTTTGCGACTCTTTGTCTTCTGTAAAATGGTGAAAATCGTAGTACCTGCTTACCTAGTATTGATGTGAGGATGTAAATGAATACAAGTAAGGTATTTTGAGCATTGACGGATGTTTAATAAGCTCTCAATGTATGTTCATCACTTAGGAAACGGTAGGTATTCAATAAATATTTTGTACTTATGCCACCCATTCCTAAAATTTTAACACTTAGTTTTCTTTAGGATATTTGGAGTTCACAACATGGGCCACCAACACAGTCTTCTATGCAGTGTGACTTGAGAGGCCCTTTGCATAAAATAGTTCCCTTCCCATGTTCCAGACTCTATTTCTCACTGATTAATCATTACTGATTTTTGGCAATACAAAGGAGTTTTTCTATAGAAAAACACATTTAAATTGGTACTATTAGTAAATTTCCTTACTTTTGAAATAATGATTATGTATTGAATGTCTACAATATATAAATTAGTATCCTACATATATTAGATTATGAGGGTAAGGAGAAGACTTTGGAAAGTAATTTTATTAAAATGAAAAGTGGATTTTCTGTATCTGTATTATCTATCTGGTAAAACCCTCACTAGCATTTTAATAATTGTGAAATTTATTGATGATTTCATTGATGACCAAGGTTCAACATATTGATTCTTTATGACGGGAAGTGGCATAAAAAATAATATAATATCTTCTAGATGAAAATAATAAAAATTTGAAGTTTACTATTGTCCTCTTAACTGCCTATCTTGCATGTCTGAACCCTGCTGAACATTTGTGCTATAATCTCACTGTAATTGTCTCTTTCAGAATTTTGAATGACCTTAACATATTTATCTAGACAATTTCCTATTGTCAACTGCAATATTTATTGGAACACTCTTATGACAAATAAAGAATCTAAAATGAAAAATCAAGCTATATAGGATTTATCTAATATTTGGAAGGCCTGATGAATTTAAAAGCCTGATTCTCCTTAGACAACAGGAATGTGTGATTCATAAATATTTCCTAACAATCAAAGAAACATATGCGTATTTATTAGGAATTGATATGGTTTGGCTCTGTGTTCCCACACAAATCTCTCCTTGAATTGTAATAATCACCATGTGTTAAGGGTGGGATGAGGTAGAGATAATTAAATCATATCGGTGTTTTCTCTCATGCTGTTCTCATAATAATGAGTGAGCTCTCATGAGATTTGAAGGTTTTATGAGAGGCTTACCCCTTTAATTGGCACTCATTCTTTCTCCTGCCACCCTGTGAAGGAGTGCCTCCCACCATGATTGTAAGTTTCCTGAGGCCTTCCCCGTCTTGCAGAACTTTGAGTCAATTTAATTTTGAGTCAATTTTCTCTTTTCTTTACAAATTTCCCAGTTTTGCATATTTCTTTATAGCAGAATGAGAACAGACTAACACAGTAAATTGGTGCTGAGGTAGTGGGGTGCTGCTATAAAGAATCCTGAAAATGTGGAATCAACGTTAGAACTGGGTAACAGGCAGAGATTGAAACAGTTTGGAGGACTCAGAAGAAAACAGAAATAGTTGGGAGTTTGGAACTTCCTAAAAACTTGTTGAATGGTTTTGAACAAAATGCTAATAGTGATGTGAACAATGAAGTTCAGGCTGAAGTGGTCTCAGAGGGAGATGAAGAACTTATTGGGAACTGGAGCAAAGGTGATTCTTACTATGCTTTAACAAAGAGACTGGTGGCATTTTGCCCCTGCCCTAGAGATCTGTGGAACTTTTAACTTGAGAGAGATGATTTAAGGTATCTGGTGGAAGAAATTTCTAAGCAACAAAGCATTGAAGAGAAAGCAGAGTGTAAAAGTTTGGAAAATTTGCAGCCTGACCACGTAATAAAAAAGAAAAACTCATTTTATGGAGAGAAATTTAAGCCTGCTGTAGAAATTTACATAAGTAATGAAGAGCCAAATGTTAATCACCAAGACAATGGAGAAAATCCCTCCAGGGCATGTCAGAGAACTTCACAGCACCCACTCTCATCACAGATCTGGAGACCTAGGAGGGAAAAATGGTTTCATGGGCCCCCTACTCTATGTAGCCTCAGGACGTGGTGCCCTGCATCACAGCTGCTTCAGCTCCAATTCTGGCTAAAATGAGCCAAAATACAGCTCAGGCCATTGCTTCAGAGGGTGCAAACCCCAAGCCTCAGTGGCTTACACATGGTGTTGGGCCTGTGGGTGCACAGAAGACAAGAAGTAAGGTTTGGGAACCTCCATCTAGGTTTCAAAAAATGTATGGAAATGTCTGGAAGTCCAGGCAGAAGTCTGCTACAGAGGTGGAACCCTCCTGGAGAACTTCTGCTGGCGCAGTGCAGAAGGAAAATGTGAGATTGAAGCCCCCACTCAGAATCCCCACACAGAGGCACTGCCTAGTGGAGCTGTGAGATGAGGGCCAGCATCCTCCAGACCCCAGAATGGTAGATCCACTGACAGCTTGCACTGTGCACCCAGGAAAGACAGAGACACTCAATGTCAGCCCGTGAAAGCAGCTGGGAGGGGGCTGTATCCTGCAAATCCATAGGGACAGAGCTGCCAATACCTGTAGGATCCCCGCTCTTGCATCAGCATGACTTGGATGTGAGACATAGAGTCAAAGTAGATCATTTTGGAACTTTAAGATTTAATGACTGACCTACTGGATTTGCATGGGGCCTGTAACCCCTTTGTTTTGGCTTATTTCTCCCATTTGGAGTTGGTATATTGACCTAATACCTGTACTTCCATTGTATCTAGGAAGTAACTAACTTGCTATTTTACAGGCTCATAGGCAGAAAGGACTTACCTTTTCTCAGATGTGACTTTGGACTTGGATTTTGGGGTTAATGCTAAAATGGGTTAAGACTTCGAGGCACTGTTAAAAAGGCATGATTGTGTTTTGAAATGTGAGGGCATGATTTTTGGGAGGGCCAGATGCAAAATGATATGGTTTGTGTCCCCACCCAAATCTCATCTTGAATTGCAATAATTCCTATGTGTCATATAGGGGCAGGACCAGGTGTAGGTAATTGGATCATGGGGCTGCTTCCCCCATGCTGTTCTCATGATAATGAGTGAGTCTCAGGAGATCTGATGGTTTTGTAAGCATCTGGCATTTCCCCTGCTTACACTCATTCTCTTTGTTGCTGCACCATGAAGAGGTGCCTTCCACGATTGTAAGTTTCCTGAGGCCTTCCCACCCATGCAGAACTGTGAGTCAATTAAACCTCTTTTCTTTATAAATTACCCAGTCTCGGGTATTTCTTTATAGCAACCTGAGAACAGACTAATGTAGGAATTTAAATAGTTATATTTAGGTTACTATCCATTTAGCAAAAATGATTATATTCCCAACCTTAATTAATATCTCTCTCAAACATGTTTCTTAACATTTTCCCTGTTGAAAATTAAATTTTTATTTTTTAAATAATACATCAAGATATAGAATGCAGAGCATCCAATAAGAAATATCAATTTAACTCAGTCTTACCCAATGGCAGAGTTCATACACACCAATGAATATTTCCCTATATTTAACTCCTGTTAGGAATGTTAATATGTTTTATTCAGTATTTTTATGTCAAAGTCGTCCTAGTTATGCTTATTCTCCAGAGATATATGTAAACTAAGAAGCAAGAGCTTACAAAAATTTCTATAGTATTTGTAACAGTTTATTAACAAATAAACAATTTATTCTCAACAATATCAAGTTGCCATTTTGCTTAACTTGTTCAAGCTCATTCAAATCCATTTACTTTTCCAAATGTCAGCAGTAATCTAAACTGTTCCACATCACAGGCTGCTGACAGTTGGTATGTAAGATAATAAACAGAATTGTATTCACTTGGGCAGTAAAATTCATAGATTTTTCTTTCTATGGACCCAGTTATCACATAATTTAGAAATTAGTTTGTCACTCTGATTTTCAATTCATAGAGTTAATATAATTGAACTGAGCTCACAGGTGTCAAGAGAAATATTAACTATATACAAACTGGTATGTAGGCCAGTGAATTTTATTATTTCATAGTAGAATACGTGGAAATTTTTTTTTAAAATATGATTTACCTGACAAGAAAGCTTTGAAATACCATTCCCATAATGTGATTATTTTATATAGATGGTTAAGAAAGTGAAGTTTGCTTTTTCAGGAGGATTTTGGCACCATGAGACACAAGCTATCAATTCTTGCAATGCTAGCTTTATGAATTCAGATACCAAAAAAGAAGAAAACCTAAAATGTTTTACTATCATTTGCAGAAAACATTGGCATGCAAATAGAGAGGAAGCATGCAAGTAAAGACTGAATTAGTCACTGATTTTGAATCATATCCTGTAGCCATTTGTTTAGGAAACAGATGACAGAAAAGTACAATTGTTCTGACCTCTCCAGCAATCTCTTTAAAGGTATCTTTTCTCCCTCTATTAATATCATGACAGAGCCTGTTGTTTTCAGAGAATTTCAGTCAGATAAACTAAATCATACTAGGATGTTCTTAACTTCCTGAATTCCCTTCAGTAATTTCTTTTACATATTCTAAAGGACCCCAAGGTGTGAGCAGTGAAAACCTGAAAGACATGAATCTTAATTTTATTCTTTGATTTTCTTCTTCTTATTTATTCTTCAATATATAGATCAGCTGTCAACTCATTCTTTACTGAAGTCTTCATTTTTCTCATTTCAACAGTACAAATCCTATCCTCTCTAAGATACCACAGCACTACTATTATAATTCCATTGCTGTATTTATCACACCATGTTATAGTTCCTTCAGGAATATTCTCAGAAGCTAAACTTTTCTGATTTCAATCTCAGTTTCTGAGGAAAAGACAACTGAGCATCTTTTGTAGTAACTGTCAAATTAAACTCTTTCCCTGTGAATATTCATATGTTTTGCTGACTGTTTCTCTGACTGTTGATAACTTTTTAGGTTTTAATCTAGAATTTTAGGGGAATAAACTCCATCCCTTTTACCCTTTTACTATCCATACCTTTTAATTTTACTCTATAGTTTTACTTAATGTAGCATAGTGGAGGTTCAAGTATTCTTTTATATGTGTGCCTAATTTTACAGATAACAAAACTAAACCACTCAAAGGCTAAACATATGCACCGAGTCCCAGTTTCCTCATCTGCAGGAATGGGGATAATTCTTACCTAAAGAGTTTAATCTAAGACTATTTCTATGTTTGGTACAGTGCAGGGGATGTAATTAAATGCAGACTAGATGGTTAAATTATTTTTGTGACAATTTCTTAATAGCTTCAGAAAATCTCAAATTTACTTCATCTTTATTGAAAAAATTCAGAATGTTTTCCATACAAAATATTGCCTTTCTCATTACCATTTATATTTATTTGTCAATTCAAAAATACCTTACTGACCTGCTTTTTATGGAAACAAACCTCCCCAGGCTGTGGACACTGCTGTGTTTCACAGAATCCTCCAGGATAATCATGCCACATCCATGTCTACCTTGCTGCAGGTGCAATGTCTATGCAGTCTTAGGTTTGAGTTCACAATAAAGTTAATGGGTGGAATGGCAGAAATCATATAGTAACATGTACCTTTCATACCTTATTTTTACATTTTAATTATCTTATTTTTTTTCTCAAAGGCTTTTCTTATATTGTCAACCGAATTGTCATTATTTTAAAATAAAGAATTGAGACCTGATAGCACAGATTAATAAAGTTAGAGTGCCTGGTATATGCTTTCATTTTATACTTTTGTATTATAATGCACTATTAAAATGAAATATATATATATATATATATATATATATATATATATATATAACTTTTTTCTGCAAATCTATTTATTCCATTAGATTGTAATTTGTGGAAGGGCAGATACTGGGTATATTCAGTTTATAATTAGATCACTAACCCATGGCCTGTGCTCGGGCCTATAAAACCCACAACTATTTTATGAACGATTTTTTTTTCTCCCACATCATTTGCACCCCTTACATCAGCCTGTCATATGTAAATTATTAATGAAATCATAAGTGTTTCTTTTATTTCAAACCAATCCATTGCTGTATTCAGACTGTTAAAGCAAAATAAGCAGAAGGCCATTATTCTGGGATTTCTGTACCCAGAAGCCTCATGCAAGCAAATCAAAACATAACTTAGAAGCATTCCTGTTAATGATTAATTTGGAATTAAGTTTCAACAAATCACAGATGGCCTACCAACCCTTTGGTTATATTATTAGTGACTTCCCATCAGATCATACCCAAATAAGGCCAATGCCTAGGCATAGCCAAACAAGTAATTTATTTACTTTACTTCCTCACGTTTTCTATAAAAGCTCACTTCCTAGGATACTGGAGTAGAGCTCTCTGAACCTCTTTCAGTTTTGAGTGCTGCCTGATTCATGAATATTTCTTTGTTCAAATAAATTCTGTTCATTTTTTTAAAGTTTTCCTTTTAAGTCATTAATCCTTATCTTTCTTTTAGTCTTATTTACTAATCGTTCTTTTTAATTATTTTACATTATATTGGTTCAAATATGTGTAAAACTAGTATCTACATGCAACCTAGCAATGGATCTGTAATTTACACAAAGAAAAATGATCATATTAGTTCTCTTTATCAAGGTTAGAGAATGTTGTAAAACAGATTTATTTATTACCTATTTATATGCGTATAGGTATACTTACTTGCTCCTTTTTAACACCTTTTTATTAAGTACACAACAGAATTCCTAATTTATAATGCTATTCTCTCTGGAATATTCATCTAAATATGCACCTGCATGGCTGACAAACCAGTCATAACTATATTTTCCCACGATCTGATAATTAACATATGTCCTCAGCCAACGAGAGCCAGCAAACATTGCCTAATGGACATAGCTGAACAATGTCAGTGAATGCATCATATTGTGAATTCTCTCATTCAGTGAGTGGTACACTCTTCTATTTTGAGACAAGTGTTGCTTTTCATTGGTGGTCTCACTTTCTTCTGACCTGGGAAGAGTATTTCCTGATACTGGGAGACAAAATGATTGTGAGTGGTAGTACCATAGAGAAAGAATGGATGGAAGAATGGATGAGTGTCAATGTTAAAACACTAAATTTAGAATGTTTTAGTCTTCTTTAAAAATCTGTGTAAAAACAGAGTAGAGGTGAGCAATTCAACAACAAAGACTTCATAAACATTAGTGTAGCCCTAGGAGACCAGTAATTATATGAGGTCTTTATTACATTGTTGCTAAACTAAAGCATATCTTAACTCACAGGAATTTGGAGATGAAAAAGAATGGGTTACAAGGAGGCTGCAATCCACTCTCCCCTTTTATGCCCAAGAAAGAAAAGAAATGACCCATTCAAATCCCCTTATAATCATTTAATGAGCCCTCATAGCAAACACATAAATTTTATTTTCTGGCAGAAGGAGTCTTTATCTATAGAATTCCTTCAATGATATTTATCTTGTCTGACTACATTGCTTATTGCAAATAAATCTTCAATGTATGGATTTATATGGGCATTTCTAGTTGTAGAACATCTGAACAGCTGTGGAAGTAAATAAGTGTAATATGGAGCCATTTCATAAAGAAAATGATTACCTTTGAGCTAGTAATTTCACTTAGAAATGTAAAATGTAAACAAGAAATGCAACCCAATGTTAAGGTAAAGCACTCAGAACTGCACTGACAATCTCAAATTTCTCTATTTTTAACATGTTTTGATATTGCATCTATCTTTTGAATTAACAGTATAATCAGAGGAACTGTAATTTCTGTAAATGTGATTTGGCAATTCCACTCTTTGTGTTTCTGATGTAAGATACTTGGAAGGCATCTAGTTGGGCTTGTGCTACAGGAAACTCAGATGGAATTGGTTATGCGCTGAATTATGCACCCTCCCCCATATTCATATGTTGAAGTCTCAACCCCTCAGTGTCTCAACATGTAACTGTATTTTGAGGTAAGGTCTTTAAAGAGGCAATTAAATTAAAGTGAGGCTTTTAGGGTGGGAAATTAATCCAATATACTTGGTGTTCTTATAAGAAGAATCAGAGACAATGGTGATGGTGCATGCAAATAATTGGGAGGTCATTAGACTGAGACAGTCCCAGGGTTTTAGCTTCCTCCATAAGCAGAATGGAGCCCAAACTAACAGTAAAGCGAAACTACAGACTTTACCAATCAAAAGCTCCATCTAACCTCTATCTAGGGTCTTTCCACACTAAAATGATTAAATACATTTTCTTTGTCTTCCTTTGATGTAAAAGCTTGCTGCTTATGCTGCAATAGTGGAGCATTCTGAATCTCTTCTGATTCTGAGTGCTTCCTGATACATGAATTCTTCTTTGCTCAACTAAATTCTGTTAAATTTATTTTGGCTATTTTTTTTCTTTTAACAGAAAACACAGCAAGAATGAGGTCATCTTCAAGCTAATGAGAGGCTTTAGTAAAAACGAAACCTGCCTGCACCTTGATATTGGACTTCCAGCCTTCAGATCTATGATAAAATACATTTTTGTTTGTTTGTTTAAGCCACCCAGTCTGTGTTATTTTGTTAGGGTGATCTTAGTCGACAAACTAGTAATACAAACTGGTTTGGTTTGTACTGCCATTCTCAGGAATACACACTTTTTCTTAGAAGCATATGCATTTAATATGGCACATCATCAATGATTCAGCTCAAGGTTAAAGTTTCATGGAAGCTTGGAAATTTAGAGATAGTCCACTACTTTACAGATGAGAAACAAAAGCCACAAAAGCAACGTGTATAAATCGTGTGTTTCTAAATATCAGGGATTTGCGATAGACCAATAATTAACACATGTCTTTCAAACTCATGTTCTAAATATCGAAAAAATAAGGTTAAAAAAAGTAGTGGCACGTGGATCCCAAAATATCATCCCTATTACGATTAAAAGCTAACTAGAGAATGTAGTTTAGTGGAAAGAAATGGGCTTGCTAAATGCATCCCAGAATTCATGATGATACCTACGTTCTCAGAGCAGTGCTTGCCCAGGGCAGACACATCCCAATGACTCAAAGTAATAGAGTTAGATTTTTCTTTTGAAGGAGAATAGAAGGCTTGCACCTTATGTGAATGTAATACTGAAGAGATGGAAAACCAAAATATATGGAGTTGAGCCACCTTGACAACTTCTTATAGTATAATAAATTATTTCAACATGTACTGGATTAAAACAACACTCACTTATTTGCTCAGGAATCGTCTTTTGGGGTGGAGTTCACTGGAGAAAAATTACCTGGAATCCCAATGGCATCAGCTAGGACTAAAACATCCAAGATGACTTCTTTCCTAAAATGGATGAAGCCTAGCAGTGATGATGACTGGACAGGCATTTGACTGTCTCTATCTACACAGCCTGTTCGTGTATCTAGTTCTGGTTTCTTGGTACTGTGGAAGTCTCAGTTTATTCCGACTTATTAGCTGGTGGATTACTTACTCCAGAGCACAAAAGCAGAAGCTGCTAAGCTTGCTTAGTACCTGGACTTTGAAGTTTCAGAATGGTATTTCTACTGTTTTTGTTTGTTTGTTTTAATTACGATAGGCATAGAGCCAAACTAAATGCAACTGGAGGGAAAACAGACCCCACCTCTTGTTGAGGGTGTGATATGAACAAACTGCAAACTAGTTTGGGATATGAGAGATAAGATTGTGGCAGGTTTTAGAAGTATGATCTACCAAGTGATCCCCACATGCCAAGTTTATTTGTAACAAATTACAATCAGGTAAGTCACACTACTTTACCCTATATGGAATAAGTAGTGTCAGAGAAAAGCCACATATGCGAAAGTAAATGGGCTTAACCAAATATGACCATAATCCAAATGTAGAAGGAAAATGCAAGAGTGGAAGAGAAGAGTTTTCTCTTAAAAATATTGATTTCTAGCCAGACGCAGTGGCTCACACCTGTAATGCCAGCACTTTGGGAGGCTGAGGCGGGCGGATCATGAAGTCAGCAGATCGAGACCTTCCTGGCTAACATGGTGAAACCCCGTCTCTACTAAAAATACAAAAATTTAGCCGGGCGTGGTGGCAGGCGCCTGCAGTCCCAGCAACTACCCGGGAGGCAAAGCTTGCAGTGAGCCAAGATCGCGCCACTGCACTCCAGCCTGGGTGACAGAGCAAGACTCCATCTCAAACAAAAAAAAAAAAATTGAATTCTATAAAATTTTTATTTTGTACATTGTTTAATGGTTCATTGTTTTGTTTTTCATTATTATTATCATTTTTGTTTGTTTGTTTGAGACGGAGTTTTGCTTTTGTTGCCTGGGCTGGAGTGCAATGGCCAATCTTGACTCACTGCAACCTCAGCCTCCCGGGTTCAAGCAATTCTCCTGCCTCAGCCTCCTGAGTAGCTGAGATTACAGGCATGCGCCACCAGGCCCGGCTAATTTTGTATTTTTAGTAGAGACAGGGTTTCTCCATGTGGGTCAGGCTGGTCTCGAACTCCCTACCTCAGGTGATCCGCCAGCTTCGGCCTCCCAAAGTGCTGGGATTATAGGCGTGGGCCACCACACCCGGCCAATTGTTCATTGTTTGACAATGAATATTAAAGGAAATAAAATATTTTTATTTAAACTACTGCTGCATAGGCCTCATATTTGTTGAACATCTACATACTACACTTTTTCCTATCCTCTGAAGATCTCCTGTATGAACTCCATGATCTCAAAGCTTACAATTTAGTGTGGGGGATGGGGTGGGGGAAGGGTGCTTATGAAAAATAAGTGAAAAAAAAAGGTCAAAAGGACTTTAAGGAAAAGGATTATATTTTATATTCAGAATTTAATTAAATTTAGCACAGAAGCCTGTCTCAATTAGTCTGTGAAAATTCATAATTCATCAATCCCTATTTTTCTGTGGGAAAGAATGATACGTATATGTTTCTCCATAACAGTACTGAGCCCTAATATGCACAATTTGTCTATTTAAACCCTGATTTAAATGTTATTTTCTAAAACTGGAAAAGTAAACCTCGATGTATAATAGCACACGTATGTTTGGCAAAGATAAAAATCGTATGCTGCTTATCAGGAAATACAAACCTCAGAGGGCACATTTACCTATATAGGGAATCACCTCTCTGGGTCATATTGACTTACCAATTAATAACTATTACTGTTGACTTCAGTTTTCAACAAGCCACCTTGAATTATGTCAATTATTTTTCTCCTACTTTTTTCTTTACTCCATTCTATCTTGTGATAATTTGTATCCAGCATATAGTATCCATCAGGTCTTAATAGCTACTACGTTTAGCATGCTTGGTATGCCAAAGGCGCTATGTAATATGCTCTGACCTTCTTATATTTTTTATTTTATTTAATACTGACAACAATTTCTATAAAAGCAACAAAAAAAACCTTAGAATTCAGGGCTATGACGGTATTGACAGAACTCTGTGTGACTGAGCCAATATTGGAAACCAGGACTGGCCCATCCCATAACTTTTGGTCGTTAATCAGTGTCCTCTAATACTTAATGACATGCTCTAAATTGGATATTTGATATCTTTTTAGAAGTCCAGACTGGTTGCTGTCTATTACAAAATTCTCCTTGTTCCAGTTCCACTAAAAAAGGCCATTGAAATATTTTTCTCACAAAATATTGCTTGAGCTCCCTCCAAAGTTGGCAAAAATAAAATAAAACAAATATAGATAAATAAAATTATCCTTTGGCATTTGAATATTTATGTAAAGCAGTATTTAATCTTTGTTGAGTTACAATCTCCATAGAGCATATGAAATAAACAAAACTATAGACAATCTTGATATATACTGCATTCAACTCCAGAAGGGCCACAGACATTCTGAAGCCTGTTTATAGCATTCATTCAAGTGATGTTTTCTAAAGTGTTATTCGCACATTCCAAATTAAATAATATGTCAACTCATGCACTGTTATCTAAAGATATTTTAAATTTTACATACATCAATTCTGATTAGATAAAAGGAGAGACAGTTTGGTGTTACTATGTCTTTATCATCTTAAAAATTCAGTTTTAACTAAGTGAAACTAGACCTCAGGCTCGAAGCCTTCAGCAGGAAAGATTATCTATCTATAATTTAATAAAATTTCTTGTTTCATAATGTTGTTTTTGGTCATGTTATTTGCATTTTTGGTTATTAAGCACCAGAAGTTTTTTTTTTTTTTTTTTCAGACAGAGTTTCATTCTCGTCGCCCAGGCTGGAGTGCAATGGTGAGACCTCAATTCACTGCAAACTCTGCCTCCTGGGTTCAAGTGATTCTCCTGCCTCAGCCTCCCAAGTAGCTGAGATTACAGGTGCCCACCACCAAGCCTGGCTAATTTTTGTATTTTTAGTAGAGATTGGGTTTCACCATGTTGGCCAGGATGGTCTTGAACTCCTGACCTCAGGTGATCTGCCCACCTCAGCCTCCTACAGTGTTGGGATTACAGGCGTGAGCCACCACGTTTGGCCAAGCAACAGAATATTTTTTTAGGTTTGGTTTTAAGAATTTTCATAAATTATTTCACTTGTCATCAGTGACCTATGGCAGTCATACAAAGTTTCCTTTTAAATATTTAAATATGAAAAAAAAAGTTAGTTAAAGCTAGAAGATGACATAAATGTTTGTCAAAAGATTATCAGTGTGGTAAGTGGATTACTAAAACTTGGGAGGTATTTTCTTAATGAGTGTCCAATTATTTTGTATAAAATAAATGACCAACCTCAGATGATTTGTTCTTTTTTATTATAATGTTAGTTTTCACCATTCTGGAAGAATTGTGTCTAAATGATGGAAGATGATAATTAGCTACATGTGAAGGACACAGTGTGTGTGCTCCATGTTACTACTGTAGATTGTGTCAGTGATTGTCTAGTTTTAGTTATGTTATCCTCATGAAAGAATTTGAAGTACAAGTTGACTGGAAGTGATGATGGAATATTTGTGACTCATCCTCAGATAGAAACTAAGGGAAAATAAATCTTATTCTGTCTTACCATTCTTGACACACGTGCCACTGTTTGCTAATACTTAGTCATCTTTATTTTTACTTTCTTGACAGTATTACATGTAAATAGGTATTTACATAGAAATGGGGAAATCACTGGTTGTCAATAGATTCCCATAAATCTGAAATAAAGTCACTTGCTTATAAGGAATATATATATATATATATATATATATAGGCTGAAGTAATGCAATTCATACAAATGCACTATGAAAGCTACCATCATAGCACGAAGTCCATGTTAACTATCTGGAATTAGATTGTAATAATATGGAATAGTAATTGCTATTATCTTCTTTGGAAAACATGTAGAATGACAGGAAAACAAAAACAGAAAACATATTCTAGAGAGAAAGAAGAATATATAAAAGAATGAATGTTTTGATAATGATCACCTTATATTTGAAAATCATAGCAAGTTATAGTTGTCCTTCTAGTTCATTAGATGTAGTATATGGATATGTTAGAAATAAACGCATTAAAATCTTCTCAATCAAAATTTTCATGATGTTAGTAAATGTTCTCTTTCATTCTTCCCTTTTCTCCTTTCTAACTCCCTGAGATATGCTTCTCCTCTTCCTTCCCTTCCTTCTTCCCTCCCTCCACTTTCTGCCTTCTTGCCTCCCTTCCTCCCTCATTTTCTTCCTTCCTCTCTTCTTCCCTCCCTCTCTTCCTTCCTCCCCTCTCTCCTTCCTTCCTTCTCTCACTCCCTCCTTCCCCGCTTCCTTCTTCATCTGGGCTTCCCATCCTCCCTGCCATTTTTTTCTTACATTTCCTCTCTCTTTAGTTTCTTTTCCCTTTCACAAATATGTTTTAGGCATTGTTATTTTTCAAGAAAACATTCTATATAATGTGGTAAATAAATGTAAACCGTCAAGAAGCTTGAAATGTGCAAACAACTTAAAATAACAACATATTTAGAAATTGAAAAAGTAATCACAAAACTCCTATTTTGAGATTGGAATAAAGTTCTAAAAGAGTTCCTGCCATGTGGAGATCAGTTATAACCGACAGATTTCATGAGAGAGCTTGCATTAGGTTAGAGCATGAAACCTCAAACAAAAATTCTACAAAGGCAAAGTACGTTGGAGGAATTGGTATTGTGTCCGGAATTGGTGGGTTCTTGATCTCAATGACTTTAAGAATAAAGCCGGGGACCTTTGCGGCCAGTGTTACAGCTCTTAAGGTGGCGCGTCTGGAGTTTGTTCCTTCTGATGTTCGGATGTGTTCGGAGTTTCTTCCTTCTGGTGGGTTCGTGGTCTTGCTGGCTCAGGAGTGAAGCAACAGACCTTCACGGTGAGTGTTACAGCTTTTAAGGGAGCACGTCTGGAGTTGTTAGTTCCTCTTCGTGGGCTCGCGGTCTCGCTAGCTTCAGAAGAGAAGCTGCAGATTTTCACGGTGAGTGTTACAGCTCATAAAATCAGTGTGGACCCGAAGAGTGAGCAGTAGCAACAGAGTGAGCAATAGCAACATTTATTGCAAAGAGTGAAAGAACAAAGGTTCCACAGTACAGAAGGCGACCCGGGCGGGTTGCTACTGCTGGCTCGGGCAGCCTGCTTTTATTCTCTTATCTGGCCGCACCCACATCCTGCTGATTGGTAGAGCCGAGTGGTCTGTTTTGACAGGGTGCTGATTGGTGCGTTTACAAACCTTGAGCTAGATACAGAGTGCTGATTGGTGTATTTACAATCCCTGAGCCAGACATAAAGGTTCTCCAAGGCCCCACCAGAGCAGCTAGATACAGAGTGTCGATTGGTGCACTCACAAACCCTGAGCTAGACACAGGGTGCTGACTGGTGTGTTTACAATCCCTGAGCTAGACATAAAGACTCTCCACATCCCCACCAGACTCAGGAGCCCAGCTGGCTTCACCCAGTGGATCCCGCTCTGGGGCTGCAGGTGTTAGCTGCCTGCCAGTCCTGCGCCATGCGCTCACACTCCTCAGCCCTTGGGCGGTCGATGGGACTAGGCGCCGTGGAGCAGGGGACGGCATTTGTCGGGGAGGCTCCGGCTGCACAGGAACCCATGGAGGCAGGGGAAGGCTCAGGCATGGCAGGTTACAGTCCGGAGGCTTGCCCCACGGGAAGGCAGCTAAGGCCCGGCGAGAAATCGAGCTCAGCACCGGTGGGCCGGCACTGCTGGGGGACCCAGTACACCCTCCGTAGCCGCTGGCCCGGATGCTAAGCCCCTCACTGCCCGGGGCCGGCAGGGCCCCAGGCCACTCCGAGTGTGGGGCCCGCCAAGCCCACGCCCATCTGAAACTCCAGCTTGCCCGCAAGCGCTGTGCGCAGCCCCGGTTCCTGCTCGCGCCTCTCCCTCCACACCTCCCTGCAAGCTGAGGGAGCCGGCTCTGGCCTTGGCCAGCCCAGAAAGGGGCTCCCACAGTGCAGCGGCCAGCCGAAGGGCTCCTCAAGTGCGGCCAAAGTGGGAATGCAGGCAGAGGAGGCGCCGAGAGCAAGCGAGGGCTCTGAGGACTGCCAGCAGGCTGTCACCTCTCAGTATCTCAGAGAAGAAAGCAACTTTATAACAGACAGTGACAGAGGAAAAGTGGACAATATTCTTAGAATTGAGCATAAAGTTTTGTAATAGTAGGTGTATACAATCCTGCATGTCTATTCTAGTTTTCAGTAGAATCTTGTGAACTGATAATTTTAGAAGTATATTCTTTACTCATTACCTTTAATCAAATGCTAAAAGGGGGTAAATTTCTAATTCTTTTCAAACAGGTAGATAGGTATAGGGAATATATAAGGACCTTACATATTCCTGTATCTTTCTTATTTTTTAAGATCCTATATAAATAAAAAAATTCTAAAATAGAATTTTTGAATAATTTTACTTAGGTGCAACCATTTGGCTATCTTAGTTAAAACCATGTTTCTTAATAATATATTTATTATTTTTATTTTAATTAATATGCAAAAACATTTAAAATGTATCTAAAAGGGTAAATAGATGATCACTTGTTTTAGGGAATGAAAAAACATAGATATGTTAATTCTTTTTTATATAGAGGAAGCATTTTATGATAGATAAATGTACAGACATCCTAGGATGACAGTTCTACTTTTTATCTCACTGCCATATAACACAAAAGTATTTGGGTTCCTTTTGACAGCAGGAGGGTAAACACATCAGGTGTTAGTTCTTTGTGCGTTTGCATGAGAATGACACATGACACTTCTGATCACATTGCATTGGCTAAAATATGTCATGTGATCATTGCTAACCTAAGTGGGTATACACCTGGAGAGACAAAACATACAAAGTCTTAGAGCACTCTGCTCCTGTCTATTATAGAAGGTTAGGTATTTTTTGTGAGAATTTGTTCTACTGCTATACATTTTTATCTTTAGATATAGAAATTTTAATGAATGCCACACTGACCTTTTCCCTAGGTAAAAAGCTTTCCTCCTTTCCCTAGAAGAAAGGCATGTAGTTCAGAGGAGAGGCCTCAAGAAAAAGAAGTAAGATACAATGAAGTTTTTCCTAGAAAGTATTAATTGAAGTAGCAAATCACTTGAAAGAAATCCCCTATACTCTGCCATCTTTCCCTCTGTGAACTCTTTATGAAAAAGTAACAAATGCAAATAAACCTCATTTCAAGAAGGGTAATAACCTTAATTCATTATATATAGAATTCAAACATAAACACTCTTTAAAAAAAGAAGGAAAAACACATAGCACATATCACATATATATATTACTGTTTAATCATTATTTTATGCAACATTATGTTTGTAATATTTATCCATCCCATTGCATATACATGTATTTTGTTTATTTTTTAGCAAGGATACATTTAGTAATCTGTCATAAAATGATTTTAAAATTTGAAATTGGAGGTTTTTTTAAACTTTTATTTTAGGTTCAGGAGTACAGGTAAAGGTTTGCTATATAGACAAATTGCTTGTCATGGGTTGTTTGGTGCACAGATTATTTTGTCACTCGGATAGTAAGTATAATAGTCAATACGTAGTTTTTCAATTCCTCTCCCTCCTGCCATCCTCCACTCTCAAGTTGGGCCCAGTGTCTGTTGTTCTCTTCTTTGTGTCCATGCGTATTCAGTGTTTAGCTCCCACATAAAAGTTAGAACATGTGATATTTGGTTTTCCATTCCTGTGTTAGTTCAGTTAGGATTATGGCCCCAGCTCCATCCATGTTGTTGCAAAGGACATTATCTTGTTCTTTTTTTTATGGCTGCGTGGTATTCCATGGTGTATTTGTAACACATTTTCATTATCCAGTCTACTGTTGGTGGGCATTTAGGTTGATTCCATGACTTTGCTATTGTGAATGGTGCTGTGATGAACATATGTGTGTGTCTTTATGGCAGAATAATTTATACTCCTTTGAGTATATACCCAATAGTGAGATTTCTGGGTTTAATGGGACTTCCATTTTAAGTTCTTTGAGAGATTGCCACACTGATTTTCACAATTGCTGAAGTCATTTACATTCCCACCATCAGCATATAAATGTACCCTTTTCTCTGCAACCTCACCAGCAACAGTTCCTTTTCTTTTCTTTTTTTTTTTTTTTTTTTTGACTTTTTAGTAATAGCCATTCTGACTGGCCTGAGATGATACCTCATTATAGTTCTGATTTGCATTTCTCTAATAATTAGTGATGTTGAGCACTTTTTCATATGATTGTTGGCCATGTGTGTCTTCTTTAGAAAAGTGTCTGTTCATGTCCTTTGTCCACTTTTTAATAGGATTGTTTGTCTTAGCTAGTTAATTTGTTTAAGTTCCTTATAGGCTCTGAATATAACACCTTTGTTGGATGCATAGTTTACAAATAGTTTCTCTCCTTCCATAGGTTGTCTGTTTATTCTGTTGATAGCTTCTTTTGGTGTGCCACTCTGAGGAATGCAATAAAATGATACAGGAGATAAAAGAGAAAATCGCTATTTCATAACAGAACCAAACTGAACTGATAGAGCTGAAAAACTTATGTCAAGAATTTGATAATACAATTGCAAATATTAATAGTAGTATTAACCAAGCTGAAGAAACAATCTCAGGACTCAAAGATCAGTTCTCTGAAGTAATTCAGTAAGACAAACAATAAAGGAGAATGAACCAAACCTAAGAGAAATATGGGATTAGCTAAATAGAACAAATCTAAAACTTATTGGTGTCCCTGAAAGAGAGAAAGCAAGCAACTTGGAAAACATATTTGAGGATATAATCCATGAAAATTGTCCCAACCTTGCTACGGAAGCCAACAAATCCAGAAAAGGCAGAGAACCTCTGCAAGACACAATGCAGGAGGAGCATCCTCAAGACATGTAGTCATCAGATTATCCAAGGTTGAAATCAAAGGAAAAATGTTAAAGACAGCTAGAGAGTAAGAGCAGGTTACCTACAATGAGAACCCCATCAAGCTAACAGCAAACCTTTCAGCAGAAACCCTACAAGCCAGGAGATGATGGGGTCCTATATTTAGCATTTTTAAAGCAAATAAATCTAACCAAGAATTTCATATCCAGCCAAACTAAGCTTCGTAAGTGAAAGAGAAATAAGGTCATTTTCAAAAAAGCAAATGCAAAGGGAATTTGTTATCACTAGACCTGCCTTACAAGAGGTCCTTATGGGAGTGCTAAATATGAGAAGGAAAAACCGTTACTGGCAACCACAAAAACACATTTAGGTATGCAAACAACTAATACCATAGCATATATGCAGCCACTAAAAAATAAAACACATCGCATAAAAATAATTCCAGAATAATACATTGTATAGATTAATTTATTCAGTCCTCAAATATTGAAGAGCATAGTTGCTGTGAGTAATTAAAAACACACTTCAAACATTAGAATACAAATAACGGTAAGAGAATAGGACATACACTTTTGACATGGCTGGGATTAGGTGAGCTACAGAAAGAAAGTAAACAAAAACCACATGGAAATAAAAGTCCATGAGACTCAAAAACAAATAAGCAAGAGAGTGCTATAAAAAAACATATGGGGCCGGGAGCAGTGGCTCATGCCTGTAATCCCAGCACTTTGCGAGGCTGAGGCGGGCGGATTGCCTGAGGTCAGGAGGTCGAGACCAGCCTGGCTAACATGGCAGAATCCAGCCTGTCCTAAAAATACAAAAATTACCCAAGTGTGGTGGCAGGTGCCTGTAATCCCAGCTACTCAGGAGGCTGAGGCAGGGGAATGGCTTGAACCTGGGAGGCGGAGGTTGCAGTGAGCCGAGATCACACCATCACACGCCTGCCTGGGTGACGCAGTGAAACTCTAAATCAAAAAAAAAAAAAAAAAAAAGAGGAGAAAAAAAAACTTCATATGTGAAAAATAAGGAGGAAAAAAGTGTAAGTAAAATGGAAAAAGGACAGAAATAAAAGAATGAAAGAGAAGAAGAAAAATATAGAGGTCAAAAGTGATCTAATAGATGCACAGTTGGCTTTGCTGAGAAGGGAAGACTAACATGAAAAAGACAGAGACATAAACTACAAATAAGCTCCCCATAAACAGCAGGAAAATGTGAATGTACACACTAAGAAATACCATTTTTTTCTCCAAGGGAATACCACACAGTAAGCAAGTAAACCATTTGCCTTCAAAATCAGAGTTAAACGATGTTGAACATTTAACTCATGTGGATAAAAATTTAACTTTCTTTGATAATGTAAGAAATGAAAGTAATACAGACATACCTTGTTTTATTGTGCTTTGCTTTATTGCACTTCACAGATATTGCATTTTTTTACAAATTGAAGGTTTGTGGCGAACCTGCATCAAGCAAGTTTATCAGCACCACTCTTCCAACAGTATGTGCTCACTTCCTGTCTCTGTGTCACATTTTGGCAATTCTTGCAATATTTCAAACCTTTTTATGACTATCATATCTGGTGTAGTTGATCTGTGATCAGTGCTCATTGATGTTACTATTGTAATTGTTTTGGGGTGCCACAAACCATGCCCATATGAGACAATGAACTTTATAAATATTGTGCATGTTCTAACTCCTCCACTGATTTGCTGTTCCCTAATCGTCTCTCTCTCTCTCTCTCTTTGGGCCTTCCTATTCCATAAGACACAAAAATATTGAAATCTGATCAATTAATATTTCTACAGAGACCTGCAGGTGTTCAAGTGAAAGGAAGATTGTACATATCTCACTGGAAATCAAAAGCTAGTAATAATTAAGCTTAATGAGGCAGGAAAGTAAAAAGCTGAGATGGCCCCAAAACTAGGCCTTTTGTTGCAAACAGTAAGCCAAGTAGTGAATGCAAAGGAAACATTTTTGAAGAAAATTAAAAGAGCTACTCAAGTGAACATGTGAATGATAAGAAAGTGAAACAGTCTTATTGGTGATACGGAGAAAGTCTAATCCAGAGCAAAGCCCTCACTCTCTCCAAGTCTCTGAAGGCTGAGAAAGGTGAGGAAGATTTGAGGAAGAAAAGTGGGAATGTAGCAGAATTTGTTTCATAAGGCTTCTGAAAAGAAACCATGTCCATAACATAAAAGTGCAAGGTGAAGGAGCAAGTGCTGAGACAGAAACTGAAGTTACCTAGGAGACCTAGCTAAAATAATGATGAAGGTTGATACACTAAACAATAGATTTTTTCGAGGTAGCTGGAATGGCTGTATCTGAGGGACGATTCCCATCCAGGACTTTCTCAGCTAGAGAGGATAATTCAATGCCTGATTTCAAAGCTTCAAAGGACAGGCTGACTTTTTTTTTTAAAATAACACAATTGGAGATCATAAATTGAAGGCCATGCTCACTTCCCATTCTGAAAATTCTAGGGAACTTAAGATACTAAATCTACTATGTGGTCTGTACATGAAACCACAAACCTGGGATGTCAGCACATCTGTCTGCAGCATGGTTTAATGAGTATCTTTAGCCCAGTGTTGAAACTTGCCACTCAAAAAAAAAAGGTTCCTTTCAAAATATCACTGCTCATTGACAATGCACTTTTTTGCCCAAGAGCTCTGACGGAGATGTACAAGCAGATTAATGTTATTTTCATGCCTGCTAATACAACATCCATTCCACAGCTGGACCAAGTAGTCATTTTGAATTTCAAGTCTTACTACTTAAGAAATATTAATACATTTCATAAGGCTATTTCTGCCATATTTGGTGATGGTTCTGATAGATCTGAGCAAAGTAAATTGAAAATGTTTTGGAAAGGATTCACTATTCCAGTCGTCATTAAAAACACTAGTGATGTCGTATGAGGAAGTCAACAAAATATCAATATTAACAGGAATTTGGAAAAAGTTGATTCCAACTCTCATAGATGACTTTAAGGGGTTCAATATTTCAGTGAAGGAAGTAACTGCAGATGTAGTAGAAATAGCAAGAGAACTAGAATTAGAAGCGGAGCATGAAGATGTGACTGAAGCTGCAATCTCATGATCAAACTTGAACGGATGACGAGTTGCTTCTTATAGATGTGCAAAAAAAAAGTGGTTTCTTAAGATGAAATTTACTCTTGGTGAAGATGCTGTGAACATTGTTGAAGTGACAGCAAAGAATTTACAGTATTACCTAAACATAGTTGATAAAGCAGCTGCAGGATTTGAGAGGACTGACTCTAATTTTGAAAGTTCTAGTGTGGGTAAATGAATAGCATCATGTGTTACAGAGAAATATTTCAGGAAGGAAGAGTCAATCAATGAAGCAAATTTTATTATTATCTTACTTTAAGAAATTGCTACAGTTCACCAGCCTTCAGCTATCACCACCCTAACTAGTTATCAGCCATCAACATCCAGGCAACACCCTCCACCAGCAAAAGAATTATGATGCACTGAAGGCTCAGATGATTGTTAGCATTTTTTAGCAATAACATATTTTAAAATTGAGGTTATACATTTTTTTTAGGCAATGCTATTACACACTTAAGACTGCAGGATAGTATAAAAATAACTTTTTTTTTTTTTTTTTTAGACAGAGTCTCGCTCTGTCGCCCAGGCTGGAGTGGTGCAGTGGCGCGATCTCAACTCACTGCAACCTCCGCCTCCCAGTTTCACTTCATTCTCCTGCCTCAGCCTCCCAAGTAGCTGGGACTACAGGCGCCCGCCACAATGCCCGGCTAATTTTTTGTATTTTTGGTAGAGATGGGGTTTCACCATGTTAGCCAGGATGGTCTTGATCTCCTGACTTTGTGATCCGCCCTCCTCGGCCTCCCAAAGTGCTGGGATTACAGCCATGAGCCACGGCGCCCAGCCTAAAAATAACTTTCATACGCACTAAGAAACCAAAAAGTTTGTGTGACTTACTTTATTGGGATATTGACTTTATTATGGTGTTCTGAAAAAAAATCCACAATAGCTCCAAGACATGCCTATAATTCAAGTGAGTTGTTTCTTATTATACAAATAAGATGTGATCATTACAAAATCTGGAGATGCAGTAATGTGGAATCGATAATTCTAGGACAACACATTGTTAATCTTGTATTATATTTTGTTGCAGTTATATAATAGGAGTGAAATTGCACTCTACTGGATGTTTTGAGATTGATTTATCATTTAATCCTATATCATAAATACTCTATTAGGGTTCTGCAGAGAAACAGAACCAGTAAGATAAAGATAGATAGATAAATAGAAAGATTGATCGATCGATAGATAGATAACTGATAGACAGATAATTGATAGACAGATAGATAGATTTATTATGAGTAATTGACTCATGCCATTATAAGAAATTCAGGAGGCTGGGCGCAGTGGCTCACACCTGTAGTTCCAGCACTTTGGGAGGCCAAGGCAGGCGGATCACCTGAGGTGAGGAGTTCGAGGCCAGCTGGCCAACATGGTGAAACCTCATCTCTACTAAAAATACAAAAAATAGCCAGATGTGGTAGCATGTGCTTGTAATCCCAGCTGCTCAGGAGGCTGAGGTACGAGAATCACTTGAACCCAGCAGCAGAGGTTGCAGTGAACCAAGATAGCACCATTGCACTCCAGCCTGGGCAACAAGAGCAAAAACTCCTCTAACAGAAAGGAAAAATAAAAAGAAATCCAAGGAACTTCCATCTATAAGCTGACAGAAAAACCTGTGGGTTAATTCAGTCTGAAAGCCTGAATACTAGGGGAGTCCAGGTATAAATTCCATTCTGAAGGCCAGAGAAGATGAGATGGGCTGTCTCTGCTAAAGCAGGCAGGAACAAAACAAAAAGGGACAAATTCCTTCTTCCTGGGTATTTTGTTCTATTCAGGCCCTCAAGGGATTGGATAAGGTCCACCCACATAGGAGTAGTCAGTAAATATACTTTCCACTCATTCAAATGCTAATCTCATCCCAAAACACCCTCACAGACACACTGAGAGATGATGTTTAATCTGGGAACCCCCATGGCCACCCAAGTTGGCATAAAAGGAACCATCACAAACAAATCCTTTTCCTAATTGCACATTATTTGATGACCTAATTTTAATGACTTATAATTTAAACCTGAATACAATTATACACACACAGACACACAGACACACAGACACACAGACACACACACACACAATTTACTTAATTCCACATGCGCATTCTTAGATCTTTAGACTATTTTTAACTTGATTAAATCTGCTTTTTTAAAAATAAATACTTTCAATCTATGAATTTTATCCAGTTCATAGTCTTTCGACTCTGCTTATATTCATAACTGAGTCCCAGTATCTTTTTTCCTAAACTTTCTGGATCAGTCGACCCATGTGTTTTCTTTGAAAAGTATTTCCTCCTTACTTCCTTCATTTTGGCTCTTGGTCTAACAATCCTGTCTCCAATTCTTCTCAGTTTCCTTCGTTTTGGATCAATGCTGAAATGATATAGTGCTTAAAATGTTTAGTCCTCCATGTTTTCCTATTCTAATATTACATTGGCTTTCTAGAAAAATTCTGTCATTAACTATGAAATCTCTGGATCACACTTGTTGCCAAAATTATATGCCCATGAGTCTCACATCTTACTATCTGGGTCTGATCTACCCCAGGCACTTCACTGAACAAATTCCAAAGCATACTTGTTTTCTTTCCCCCTAGGGCTTCCATTTCAGTCTTCTCTACTTGGTAACTGGTGAACCAATTGGTGATATAATCTGGAAATGTGTTAGACTTCCTGGATTTCTCATTCTCCCATAGTCATAATCCCCAGACCTAATCAATTATTCAGGAAATTTTGCAAATTGAAAATACACATTCTTTCCATTTTCTTGTCGCTGACCTAATTTAGGAGCTCATCACCTCTTTAGTAAAGCTGAAATAGTATCCTTCCAGATTGTCTTACTTTTTGTTTTATCTACCTCAAATTTATCAATTAAGTGCCTCCCAAAATGATCCTTCTAATTTGCAAGTCTGATATTCATATAATTCTAAGAGGTCTTAAACTTTTTATGCAAAAGAAATACCTGGGAAACTTATTAAAATTATTGATGCTAAGCATCACTTTCAAAGACTCTGATTGATTAAATTTATTATTAAATATTGCATTCAAATAAAAATAATATAATAAAATTTTGTATATGTCATATATTCTAATTTATAGACTAGTATATATATTATATATTATTCTAATATACAGACTAGTATAAAGCAATATGCATATTGTATATATTTTAAGCATATTTTTCAAAAAGTATATTATATAACTAATAATAAATATTTGAATATTTTGGGAGCTCCTTTAGTTTTATAGGAGAGAGACACTTCGCTTCTCACCAGTCATATCTATATCTTGCTTTCTTCAATTTTTAATATGTTTTGTTTAACTTGACTTATACTCTGACTTGCTTTTTCAATCAAATCTCTTTTTAATATTGTATTACATTGATGTATGTCACTATAGTTATTCATTTTCAGACTAATTGGCATTTCTTTGTACAACTATACTATAACGTTTTTTGCCTTTCCTGTAGATGAAAACCTGGGTTGGGATTCCCCTTGTTATTTCAAAAGTTTTGCTATAAATATTTATTGCCAATTTTTTCTGATGGCCATATGAAACAGTTTATCTAAAGGTACAATCCCACAGCAGAATTACTGTGTTATGAGGTGTACAGTTTTCCCCTTCACAGCTTTACAACATGTCGGAATGTTTTTCTAAGCAGTTGTAATAGAAGACTTGGGTCAACCTACCAGTTATTTACAACTCATGTTATAGGTTTTAGCTCTCTTCCTATCTCAGTCCTGAAAAGTACTATACTCCTGTAGCATACAAACTTGAAAAGTAATGAAGTGAGATATTTTAACTCTACTGAGATATTTGAAACATTAAATGTTTCAATTTTTGCAGACTTCTTGCTTTTTATAATATCTGAATTCTATGAATGCTGTTTTAAATTATTATCAATAATATTGTTATCAACAATAAACAATTTATATTAGCTTTTGTCATGCATGATATAGGGGGTACTCTACAAACAATTTAGATGAATGTTCTCTTAGTCCACTGAGAAATGTGGATTTAAAATAGATAAAATTACCGCACGTAAATGTGTTTCAAAAAAAGCAATACTAGCATGTGGGAATAATTAATTGCACCAGAAATAAGTACTATTGTAGTTGAATAAATAAAAAGACTTTTAGAATTAGACATACTATTGAATGTGAACTTCTACTCAAGAGTAAAACTGCTTCTGCAATATACTTAAATTTGATGATCCACAGCAATTCCTAAACAGTTTTAATAATTAGACACCCAGTAGTTCAAATTCTCCCTCAACAGAATGTAAACTCCACATGGGAAGTGATTCCTATTTGGTTGGTTCATTGTTTTGTTTGCTTTTTTGTGTGTTTGCTGTATTTTTAGTACCCAGAACAGTGTTTGGCATACAGCAGCTGCTCAATAAATATTTAGTGAATAAATGAATCATAAAATAATCAACTCTTCCTCTTTAATATTAACGTTGGCCTTAGTTCTATTCTTTAAAGCAAAACAGAACAGATTTCTAATTTGCCCCTTTCTTGAGCTTTTGTATATTTGAAACTGCCCAAAATGCAGTCCTCTGAGTCTTTTTTTTTTCTCTTTAGTGCAAATAAAAATATTCCAAAATTATTTCCAGATTTCTTAAATGGCATGCATTTAAGATCTCTCACCACACTGGTGGTCTTTTTATATACTGTCTGGTTTGCCAATGTATTTTAATGTATGACGTGCATAATTGTCTGACACATGCCAAGTACAGCATGTGAGAAGAAGCTTCCCCTGACTTTCACTTATGTCCATAGATGCACCCTACGATAGTTCTAGCTATTTAATTGTTGTAGCCACTTGGCACACTTTGATATTGGTACTAACGTAAACTACAAACTTCATTCACATGGGTGTACTGCCACATATAGAGCAAAGCATTTAGATCATAAATATGCAAAGGTTATTTGAGATGTAAAAGCTGAAGAATAACTTAGGCATTTCCTTGTGGACTAAGGATATACAAAAACATTGAATAGTTTTAAACGTATAATGATTTTGCCAAAGATACGGAAATGTAGCAATTTTCTTAATGATAGATAAACAGACCAATGACAAAACATAGAGATGATTTCACTTCAGCTTTTTTATTATCTTTGCAAAGATTTATTGTAAGCCCTTTTAAAACAGAAAATTCTTATTTTTACGCCTGCTTTAAAGTGTATTTTTCTCCTAACCTATATGTATATAATATTACTTCATCTTTCTCTGTTCCTCTGAATTCTCCATTTTTAAATTGATTTTCATCATGCTTTATCACAGTCACTTTCCTTGGATGTGCCCTCACCCTTACCCCCTCCCAGTTTCTTATACTTCATTGTAAAAACAAAAACTCCTTGTCTGTTTCAACCCTCCTCCAGTTTTTCTCTTTCATCAGCTGAGCAGATGAAGGTGGCTGGAGAAAGCACATGAACATCCCATGGGAACTCACTTTAAACATGAGACCTCTCACTTTAAGTAGGGTAATAAACCTGCTGGCAATTACAAGTGTTTTTTGTTTGTTTGTTTGTTTGTTTTCCATCTTTCCTCACGTCTTCAATATGTCTACCTCTAAAGTCAAGCTCACTGGATAGTCTTTCATTTAGAAAATAAGGGAAATCAAAGGTGAATTCCAACCATATTTACAAACCTGCATGCTTTGGTTCCCATACTTTCTGCATTATTCCTGTTGTGTATGAAGTGTTTGTCTCTTCCACCCAGAAACCATCCCTACCTGCCTGCTCTAGAACATTGATTCATAAATTTTATTTTCTTTCTCACATATCATCATTTTCCTCTCATTAATGTATTTTTTCTATTGCATCACTCCCATTGTAATTTCATATATAAATATATGTAAATAAGCTATTTTAATTATAGGTACCTACGTGTGTGTATGTGTGTATACATATGTATATATGTGTATGTATATATATATATGTATAATCTATGTATAATTTGCCCACATTCACCTCTAGCTCTCATTTTTTGCTCCTCCTTTTGCAAGGGTGCTAGAGTGTTTTCTATACTCATCCTTTCCACTTGCACACCTATTTTCCCTAGAATCCTATTCATCCATGTTATCAAAACCATTTTATTGAAACGTTTTCTGAAGGTCACAAATAACCTTTTTATTGCTGAATTTGATAACAAATCCTCAGTTCTGTAATTATTTTGACTATCAGCAACAATTGAGCAAGTTGACTATTCTTTCCTTCTTCATTTAGCTTCAGAAAAACATCCTCCCTGGCTTTTGTTCTACGTTATTGAATACTCTTCCTGTTTTCCTTGTGATTCCCTTTATATTATGATTTTGTTTCCATTTTGCTTGCCATTGATATACCTGAAATATTCTTCCCTCAGATATACACATGATTCACTTACTCACTTCCTTCATTTTTTTGCCAAACGTCCTCTTAAAATGAGAATCGATGGCCACTTTATTGACCTTTGCAATCTCCCTTTCAGATAATGTGTTCTCTGGCTTATTGTTTTCAAAAGCACTATCTAAAACACTGTACATTGTACTAAGTTGTTTGCTTCTTGACTTTCTCCACCTCACTAGAATTTGAACCTCAAGAAGGCCATCATTTTGTCTGTTTTGTGAATTGCTGTATCTGTAATGTCTATACAAGATTCAGGCAAAATGCAGAAGCTTAATAAATATTTGTAATATGAATGAATAACAACTTTTGAAAAGGACAGCTATAATTAAAAGGTAAGATTATATTCAATAGAAGAGCAGAGTATTATTGTTTGAAAGTTAGCTATCATTGAGGTGAAACAATGATATGATCATGAGGAAACCTGATAAAGTGGCATGAGAATTCAAGGTGTTTATTTTGCATAGAAAAACGTCAACTATGCTCATAGTTTGTGGTTAAATATGTTGCAGATTTTTATCTTAAAATATTCTATTTATTTGTCTATAGGATTTTACCATATCTGACAAATCAAACATAATTTCATGTCGCTACTTTAGAATTTTAAACAAGTGTATTTAACATAACTTTTAATGTCCTTGAGAAGACATACACCTCCCTTTTCTCCTTGAATGGTACAGTTTCAACTCACCCAAACCCTGCTTCTCACAATTACTGATAGAGTTCTTAGCATTTTCTATAACAATTACCATTTAATGATTGGATATTTGATGGCAACAATACATTTTAATGACATGATATGAGCACAACTTGAAATTCTTTCTGAAGAGTGGCCTCTCTATGTTTTAATTTTTCTCATTGTTCTCAGAACTGTATACACATTTTCATTTATATATTTTACCACCCTAATAACTTAAAGCTTCCCTTTTACATATGTGTTGTATATGTCATTAGAGGTTTGTGATTTCTGCATCAATAGCTATTTTTATAGATTATAAAATTAAATTCATTTTAATAGTGCTATTGATGTAAATATTTGTGGCAGTAATGGAGGTGATCCACTCAGATCCTGTATCAAAGGAGAACTTGCTGTAAGGTATGTTTTAATAGTTACTTGACAACCCCATAACTTTGGGATCTGCAAGTTCACACCAATGCCAGGCTCTCCTTGGGTCACTCCCAACCAGTGAGTGAACACAGCAGGGACAGTTGAGCCAGTCTATATCCTACATAATATAGAATTTCCCTAACAGGCAGTCTTTGCTGTCAAACCCCACAGGCCTGGTCAAGACTTTGTCAGAGTTGCTATGCCCCCCGAAGCTCTTCACATCTAATTCTCCTTCTTTCCCCTGTTCTTTCCCCAGGTGTCAGATCTATATCTGAGGATGAAGGTTTTCCCTGACTATTTCTTCTCTCTTTTACTTTTCTCTTTCACACGTGTTTGTTTCCCCTAATAAATATCTTGCACTTCTAATTTTAGGTGGGCATCTGTTACTCAGAGAACCCAACTGATACTTTTTTTTTTTTTTTCAGTATTGAAGCATAGTATGTGAACAGAGCCATTAACATAACTCAGAGGGTGGTGTTGGGCAAGATGGCCGATGAAATGCAGTCAGGTAGAACAGCTACTACAGAGTGCCCAAGATGATGGTGTGCTCCTAACAGGTCTTTGGAGGGAAGGCACTGAGAGTGGATAGAGGGAAGACAAGCCGGGCTGAAGAACCCCAGAAAGATGCTTCACAAGAAGATCATCTTTAAGATACATAATCTTCAGATTCTCCGAGGATGAAATGAAAGAAAAAATAGTAATGGCACCTAGAGAGAAAGGTCAGATCACATGCAAAGGGACACCCATCAGGCTAACAGCAGACCTCTCAGCAGAAACCCTGCAAGGCAGAAGAAATTGAAGTCAATATTCAACAATTCTAAAGAAAAGAAATTTTAACCCAGAATGTCATATTTGACCAAACTAAGCTTAATAAGCAGAGAAATAAGACCCTTTTCAGACAAGCAAATGCTGAAGAAATTTATTACCACCAAACCCGTCTTATAAGAGCTCCTGAAGGAAGCACTAAATGTGGAAACAAAAAAATATTACTAGCTACTACAAAAACACACTTAAGTACACAGACCAGTGACATTATAAACCAACTGCATAAACAAGTCCGCATCATAACATCATAATGACAGGCTCAAATATACACATATCAATGTGTGTAAGTGGGCTAAATGCCTGAATTAAAAAGCACAGAGTGTTAAGCTTGATAAAGAACAGAGGCCCATTGGTATGCTGTCTTCAAGTGACCTATCTCATATGCAATGATGCCAATAGATGCAAAACAAATGGATGCAGAAAAATCTACAAGCAATTGGAAAGCAGAAAAAAGTTGGGATTGCAATTCTAATTTCAGACAAAAGAGGCTTTAAACCAACAAAGATAAAAAAAGACAAAGAAAGGCCTTACATAATGGTAAACGGTTTAATTCAACAAGAAGACCTAACTATTCTAAATATATATGCACCCAACATAGGAACACCTAGATTCATAAAGCACATTCTTAGAGACCTTCAAAGAGATTTAGACTCCCACACAATAATGGTGGGAGACTTCAACATTCATGGCAGAAATTAACAAAAATATTCAGGACCTGAACTCAGCACTGGGTCCCATGGAACTGATAGACATTTACAGAACTCTCCACCCAAAAAGATCAGAATATACATTCTTCTTATCACCACATGTCACATACTCTAAAATCAATCACATAATCAGACACAAAACACTCCTCAGCAAAGGCAAAAGTACTGAAAGCATACAAACCACTTTGTCAGACCACAGCTCAAAACAATTAGTGATCAAGACTAAGAAAATTGCTCAAATCCGTATGATTACATGGAAATTGAATAATCCACTCCTGAAAGACTTTTGGGTAAATAATGAAATTAAGGCAGATATCAGGAAATTTTTGAAACTAATGAAAACAAAGATACAACATGTCAGAATCTCTGGGGCATAGTAAAGGCAGTGTTAAGAGGGAAATTTGTAGCACTAAATGCCCAAGTCAAAAAGTTAGAAAGATCTCAACTTAAAAACATAATATCACAACTAAAAGAACTAGAGAACCAAGAGTAAACCAACCTCAAACCTAGCAGAAGATAAGAAATACCCAAAATCATGGCTGAACTAAAGAAAACTGAGAGACACCACAAGAATCATTCAAAAGATCAACAAATCCAGGAGTTGGTTTTTTTTTTTTTTTTAAAAAAAAAAAGCATGGATAGACCACTAGATAGATAAATAAAGAAGAAAATAGAAAAGTTTCAAATAAACACAATTAGAAATTAAAAAGGGGATATTACCACTGACTCTACTAAAATACAAATAACCATCAAAGAATATCATGAACATCTCCATGCACACAACCTAGAAAATCTAGAAGAAATGGACAAATTCCTGCACACATACACCCTCCCAAGACTGAACCAGAAGAAATTAAATCTCTTAACAGACCAATAATGAGCTCTGAAATTGAGGCAGTAATAAATACCCTACCCATCAAAAAAAGCCCAGGACGGGACACATTCACAGCCATTCTACCAGATGTACAAAGAAGAGCTGGTACCATTCCTACTGAAATTATTCCATAAAACTGAGGAGGAGGGACTCCTCTTTATCTTATCCCATGAGACCAGTATCATGCTGATACCAAAACCTGGCAGAAACACAACAAAAAAGAAAACTTCAGGTTTATATCTTTGGTAAACATCAATGCAAAAATTCTAAACAAAACGCTTGCAAACCAAATCCAGCAGCACATCAAAAAGTTTATCCACCATGATCCAAAGTAGGCTTTATCCCTGAGATGCAGGGTTGGTTCAACATAGACAAATTAATAAATGTGATTTATCACACAAACAGAGCTAAAGACAAAAGCCACACGACTATCTCAATTGTTGCAGAAAAGTCTTTCAATAAAATTCAGTACCCTTTCATGTTAAAAGCTCTCAATAAACTAGTTATTGAAAACCCATACCTCAAAATAATAGGAGCTATTTATGACAAACCCATAGCTAATATTGTACGAAATGGGCAAAAGCTAGAAGCATTCCCCTGGAAAACTGGCACAAGGATGCCCTCTCTCACCACTCCTACTCAGCATAGTATTGGAAGTTCTGGCCAGAGCAATCAGGCAAGAGAAAGAAATAAAAGACATTCAAATAGTAAAAGAGGAGTTCAAACTATCCCTATTTGCAGACAACATGATCCTATATCCAGAAAATTCCATAGTCTTGGCCCTAAAGCTTCTTAGGCTGATAAACACTTCAGAAATGTCTCATGATACAAAAATCAATGCACAAAAATCACTAACATTCCTATACACCAACAATAGGCAAGCTGAGAGCCATATCAAGAACACAACCTTATTACCACTAAAGAATAAAACACCTAAGAATACAGTTAACCAGAGAGGTAAAGGTCTGTATTGGGAAAACCACAAAACACTGCTCAAAGAAATCAGAGATGACACACAAAAAATGGGAAAACATTCCATGCTCATGGATAAGAAGGCTCAGTATCATTAAAATGGTCATACTGCCCAAAGCAATTTATAGATTCAATGCTATTTCTGTTAAAATACCAAAAACATTCTTTATAGAATGGTAAAAATCTATTTTAAAATTCATATGAAACCCAAAAAGAGCCCAAATAGTCAAGACAATTCTAAGTAAAAAGAACAAAGCTAGAGGCATCACACTATTTGACTTCAAACTATACTACAGGGCTACAGTAACCAAAACAGCATAGTACTGATACAAGCATAGACACATAGCCCAATGGAACAGAATAGAGATCCCAGAAATAAGACCACTCACCTACAACTATCTGATCTTCGACAAACCTGACAAAAAACACGCAGTGGGGAAAGGATTCCTTATTCAATAAATGCTGCCTGGATAACTGGCTATCCATATGCAGAAGACTGAAACTGGACCTCTTCCTTACACCATTTACAAAAATTAACTCAAGATGGATTAAAGACTTAAATAAGTAACCCAAAACTATAAAATCCCTGGAACACAACCTTGGCGATACTACTCTAGACTTAGGAACAAGCAAAGATTTCATGACGAAAATGCCAAAAGCAATTGCAACAAAAGCAAAAATTGACAAGTGGGATCTAATTAAACTAAAGAGCTTCTGCACAGCAAAAGAAACTATCAACAGAATGAACAGACAACCTACAGAATAGGATAAAATTTTTGCAAAGTATGCATCTGACAAAGATCTAATGTTCAGCATCTATAAGGAACTTAAACAAATTTACACACAAAAAACAAACAACCCCCTTAAAAAGTAGGCAAAGAACATGAACAGACACTTCTGAAAAGAAGACATACATGTAGCCAACAAGCATCTGAAAAAAAGTTCAACATCCATCACTTGTCATTAGAGAAATGCAAATCAAAACCGCAATGAGATACCAATCTCACACCAGTCAGAATGGCTATAATTAAAAGGTCAAAAAACAAATGCTGACAAGGTTGCAGAGAAAAAAAAAGAATACTTATACATTGTCGGTGGAAGTCAAAATTAGTTCAACCATTGTGAATTAATTTACAGTTCCATACTGTTCCACTGTGGGAAACAGTATGGTGATTCCTGAAATACCTAAAGGCAGAAATACCATTCAACCCAGCAATCCCATTACTGAGTATATACCCAAAGGAATACAAATAATTCTGTCATAAAAACACATGCATGCCTATGTTTATTGCAGCACTATTCACAATTGGAATCAACCTAAATGCCCATCAATGGTAGACTGGATAAAGAAAATATGGTGCATATACACCATGGAATACTATACAGTCATAAAAAAGAACAAAAATCACGTCCTTTGCAGGAACATGGATGGAGCTGGAGGCCATTATTCTTAGCAAACTAACGCAGAAACAGAAAACCAAATATCACATGTCTTCATTTATAAGTGGGAGCTAAATGATGAGAACTCATGGACACATAGAGGGGAACAAGAGACATTGGAGCCTATCAGAGAGTGGAGGGTGGGAAAAGGGTGAGGGTCAGGAAAAATAACTAATGGCTACTAGGCTTAACACCTGTATGACAAAATATTCTGTACAACAAACCCTCATGAAACAAGTTTACTTATATAACAAAACTGCACCTGTACCCCTGAACTTAAAACAGTTCAAAAATAAAAAATAAAACATTTAAAAAGCAGAAAAAAAGAGAAAGAAAAAAAAGAGTTTGATATGAATGGTAGCTACCTGGGTGTGTGTGTATGTATATACATATATATATATATACATATATATATATACACATATATATATACATATATATATACATATATATATACATATATATATATACATATATATATATGTATATATATATATATGTATGCATGCAAAAATTTATTAAGCTGTATAGGTAAGATTTGTGCCTGTTGAGGCTATATTTTATAGCTCAATTAGGAAGAAATCACCATTTGTATGCAGAGCTATTATTTGTTATTATAACAGGAAACATTAAGCTTTCTACAGAATTTTTGCACCAATATACTATTATTTTTGAGCTTGAGTTCTGGCAGCCAGTGAACTACAAGTCATTCCACAATTTAAAAATGACTTCATGCTACTGTAGATATTATTGCCACATTGTGTCTAAGCCATTAGCCCTCAGTATTGGAGTAGTATGGGATTGAGCAATACATTGGATTATAAAATTCCATAAATGGATTTGCAATTTGAAGTCTTTATAAACAATTTAGAACTTTATATCAGGATAGTCTGTAAATTGTCTTGGAAAGCTTTCATTTCAATAAGTTGCAGACATCCTGAGAAGTACTCAAGACAATAATCGATTATAATTTCTCTTGCCCTCTAGTCCATCCTTTTAACTGTGTAAGAGTTTCTCTTAAAAAAAAAAGTTGTTGCAACATCAGCCTATAATTGTGAAACATACATAGATTCTATGAAATGATTGTTTAACAATTTCAGTTAACTTGATATTTCAAGCATTTTCTTTGTCCTCATTGCCCCTCCTCCATCTTCCAAAGAAAACTGTCGGAATGTGGCCAAATTTGCTAGGAAAACGTAACTGAAAAGCAAAAAATAGTGACAGGCTTCTCTCTCTCTCTCTCTGTCTCTCTGTGTGTGTGTGTGTGTGTGTGTGTGTGTGTACACATGTGTCTGTGTTTCTCTGTGTGTGTGTATGCATTTGTTTCTCTGGGTGTACATGTGTGTGTTTGTTTCTGTGTGTGTGTGTGTGTGTGTACATGTGTCTGTTTCTCTCTGTGAGTTTCTTTGCGTGTACGTGTGTGTGTTCCTTTTTCTGTGTGTGTGTGTGTGTGTGTGTGTGTGTGGTCTAATTAAGGCTAATGATGCCACATAGGACTTATTAAGCTAATTTTGGTTTGACTCAGTGAAATAATCAGTTTATTTGGTGTTTTTAAGAAATAATCTCTGGTTTGTTATCTTTCTTTACACATTAAGTTGAAAACTATGTAATAGATTCTTCATACTTTTCTCCATCCTCCCTAGTAATATATGTGATTAACTAATTCTAGATTTTTCTGTCATCAGAGTGGCTCTCACCACCTGCTATGGATGCTGCTGGATTTTATGTTGCTCCCCATGTTTACAGGCCTTAAGATAAATGCTCAGACATGTTTTACTTCACCATGATTGACAATATCAGTAGAAAGAACATGAACACTATCACAAACTCAGACTTCCTTTCTTCCTGATCTGAGTTTAAGCTTACAATTTAAAATCAAGTAAACAGGAGAAAAAATAAGCTTCTTAAAGAGACAAGTATCTCAAAAGTATGTGCCTTGAAGCAAAGATGCTGGAGAGCATACAATTAGTCTTGAGAGAACCTGTGACCAAACTGCAATGAAATGACTTGATATTAAACCCCTATAAACAGAAACCAGGCATTGACCTACCTACCCTAAGCTATACGTAAAGAAGCAAAGGTCCTCAAATGCTCTCTTATTGTCACTAGATGAAGCTTTGCAGCTAAAATTTCTAACTTATCATGACTATATTTAAGGATAATTATTTTGATGATGAAAAGACAGTATTTGAGGAATAAAATAACATGAAATAGCTTTTGTCACCAAACATAGATGAGGCAGCAAAGTACCTATGAAACTTTCTTCCCAGATGGGTAACCAAAAATATTTGCATCCTTTCACGTTCAGAACTGCTATAAACCCTTGAATATGTATCTCCTGCCCCTTTTCTAAGTTATGGTTCATATTTACTAATCCAAGTCTCTCATTATCTTCTAATGTAATTTTGCTGAATCCTTGCAATACTTTGACTCTAGTACCTGTTTTTAACACAACTGTTCTTCCATTAATCCAGATCATTAACGGAGATATACCAAGTAAAAATTATGAGGTAAAATGAAAAGAAAGCTCAAATCAAAATTGTGGTACAGGAGATGCCGTTACAAATTCTGATTTAGTGATAGTACTTTTTAAGGAATAAATCATTTTATTTTAAACTCAATAAAATGTTTAAACTTTGTACACTTGTATTTTGTACATCATAACTTTGAGTATCATAATTGTTCAGTAAATATTTGGTTAAAACATTGTTATTTGATGACTTGCTGAGCATTATATTCATGGCAAATTTAATAGGAGATTACCATTTAAGCCAGACCACACCTAAAAGAAAGCTTTTCTGTACTTCTTTATGTAACCTCTGGTTCTTCCTATTTTATCCTACTAAACATTACCACTGATTGCTTTGTGTGTCTTATGTTACTTTACTGTATTTATTTTGACTGAGTTCTCGTGATTTTACAAAGTATTTTTATTGAATATCAATTATGAAAAAGGCTTATCACTGGAGCTTACCGTGGAATGAACAGATTGCTCGTCTACAATATAGTTTTTTTTACCTTACGCTTCTAATTATGCCATGATGTCTTGTTTTAGGAATGTTTTCAATGTTCGAGTGGTATATCCAGGGACATTGTCCTTAAATTATTTCTAATTAATTACTTTGAAATCTTTAGAATCTCAAAAAAAAAAAAAGCACCTTATTTTCAAAAGATCAGTTTCCAAGCTAAAACCAATTAAAATTTGAGGGTAAAGTCTTTTTTGTTTTGGGTTGTGTGGCAAGGTAAAATGGTTTTAAGTAAACATTGGCTGAATAATTTAAAACAAAATTCTTGACAGAAAAATTATGAATATGACAGGAAGAAAAATATGTAATAATGCAATGATAAATACTTCACATTAGAATAGAGGACATCTCAGAACTAAATTCTATAGTTTTATAGATTTTGTTTTTATATTGCTTTCTCCACCAGGCTGGAGCATGTTCAGATACAATTTAGGGTTCTGCCACGAGGATGAAAGCCATTGTACCTGTGGAAGAGAAATGATCCCTAAAAGCTGAAGACTACGGCGATACACACGTGAAATTGAATGTATTTTTCCTGTTGAAGCACTAATGAGTGATCATATATTTAACCTACATAAGTCCATGGACCAGATTCTCATTTTTTGTTGTTGTTGATTTTGGTAATTTTTATCCCGCCTACCCAGACTGCCACTGAAAACTGAGCCTTTCCAGAACATACTTTCTTAATGTCAGCTCTTCACTTAAAACACATAGCTCTACTATGAACAAAATACAGTATTTGGTTTTGTATTAAAAGTCCATTAAATCTGTACTCAAACTACTTTTTAAAAAAATTAGTAATTCATACTCCATCTATTTAAAAACCTCATATCATGTTCTTACTAATCTATTTGATAGTCATCAAAGAAAACCTGGGCTTTCCAATTTCATGTATTTGCCTCTGTTTATTGTTCTTTTTACTGGAAATGTCCATCATTCTATTGCTCACATAGAACCAATTTTTATCTTTCTGTCAAGTTGGATTACCTGACATCTCTCTGAATTTCTTTATGTAAAATAATGATTGGCCTTCAGAAAAATGCAAGTTTTTTTTTCTGCTTCTTCCATAATACAGTAATGACACTGTGTATAACAGCTGTCTGTGAGTTTGTATCATCATGAATAACAATACAGTTATATTAAGTGTTTAATAAGGACCAAGAAGCCTGCTAAATGCTTTGCATGCCTGAACTAATTTAATCAGACAAATACTATTTTATATCTATTGTAAAAATAAAAAAAAGACTTAATTAACATTAAGCACCTTGCATAAGGTTAGAGTCAATGTGGTCTTGCTCCAAAGCCTGAAAATGGTGACCCTCACAACTGACAGTAAATATCTGTAGGACATTCTCTCTTTTCTGTATTTGCATATTCTTTACAATTATTATAGTGATTGTACTTCCTAAACCAGGGATTTCCAGTCATGTTTCCCTTAACCATGGACTGTGTACTGAGAATAAGCAACATATTCTGAGAAATGTGTCATTAGGCAATTTTATTGTTGTGCGAACATCATAGAGTATAATTACACAAACCTAGATGGCATAGCCTACTGCACACCTAGGCTATATGGTATAGCCTATTGCTTGCATGTTAGAAAGAAGAAAACGTTAAAAATTTCTGTGTCAGAATAAACCTCAGCCCAACCATAGCAGAATCTGTAGGGTAGTGCTTGCGGACAGATGAGTGGTGAAGGCTCCTTAGGTAAGTCTGTTAAGTCACCTGAGTAGAGATCTACTGGTCTGAGCTTTCATTTTATATCTATTGAGTTCAGTGAATGAATAAAGGTAAAATATAAATTATGTTCGAAAGTGTATATGGTCTGAATATGGTACAAATGAACACACACTTGCACACATACATGTACAGACAATGTTTAGGTGTGGCTTGCAAATAGTGTAAATGTAGAGAAGAGTCATTTATCATATGCATCCAAAGAGGTTAATTTCTTTTTTCTTCTTCCTAGTTTTTGGAAAAAAGATAAGCCACGAATAAGCAGTAAAGATTTTAAGGAGGAGAGTAACACGATAAAAAGTTTGCTTTAGAAAGAGCGATGCAATAGGAAAATGTAGAATACATTGAAATGAGGATAGTCTTGTGCCCCCAATAACGATGTTGTAGTCACCCACCAACCACATATACAAAGGTGGTCCCATAAAATTATACTTTATTTTTACTGTATGTTTTTCTATGTTTAGATACACAAATACTTGCCATTGTGTTACAACTGCCTACAGTTTCCAGTACAGTAATGTGCTGTACAGGTGTGAAGTCTAGGAATAATAGGCTATATCATATAGCCTAGGTGTGCAGTAGGCTATGCCATCTAGGTTTGTATAAGTATACTCTATGATGTTCGCACAACAATAAAATTGCCTAATGACACATTTCTCAGAATGTGTTGCTTATTCTCAGTACATAGTCCATGGTTAAGGGAAACATGACTGTATTCCCAAAGCTAGAGTGCTTAATACCCACTGACAAGTTATTGCATTTCCCTGGTCATAAAGAACAAAGAAACTATGTAAGTAGGAAGGAAATAAAAGGTAAAATATGATATGTGTTGAAAAGAAAAGATTGATTCAAACTTAATATATTGTACCTAAGAGTGTTTTTAAATGTGTGATGCAATTCTTTCACTATTCACTGGGTGGCCAGACAGTATGGTGAAGGTAAAAAGCAGGTAAATACCACTCAGGGAAGAGACTAGTTTCTGATTTGAGGTCTCTGAAGATGGACAACATATATGCCTGGCTTAAGTGGTAGACATTTTACTTCCAGCAAGAGGGGAGCTAAGGGCACACAAGAGCCAACTTCTGGCACTGTGCCAGACCCCTGCAGTCAGCAGATCCATTATGCAGCCAACATAGTCCCTATGCCTGTAAACAACCCACTCTCTGCTGCGTGGAAGGGTCCCCTCTCCTTCCCCCATGCCATCTGAACCACAGAAAGCTGTGGGCATGCCTGGGGACCACTAATGCAGGTGCCAAAGCAGAACAAAGGAATGTACAATAGGTTCAGAGCAAGGAAAGATATTTCATTACTAGGTAAGAAGCCTAGCACAGGGCTATGAGGGCTCTTTATCTGGGTGAGTTAGGATGGAGAGCGGACTGCTTGACTGCCTTTCCCAGTAGTAATAATAGAGAAATTACTGACAATCATGGGGAAAACAATACGAAGAAGTTATTGGAAGAATCGAACTGGAGAATGTATTTTTATATCTGCTGAATACGCTAACTTCCTATATCAATCTTAGTATTTTCTGAAGTGAGAGGTTATTCCCTTTACTAAAATTATTCTAATTTTAATCCTAGTTAGAAAAATAATGTGGGAAGAATTGTACTGCACTAAGAGCTTATGTTGCTTCTCCTACATTCATGTTATTTTCATATATTTGAGTAATTCTGGGCTCACAGTATTTCCTATATGGACATAGATGTTTTTGTCTGCAGACATCATTGTTTATAAAGGGAGATTTCCAGAATTTTTATACGCTCTCTGATACAGACATAGTTGGCCGTGAAAACATCAAATCATAACCCCATGACCTTATTTAAGGAAGCTGTTAGTGCCACTTCTTTATTCTATAGTGTCAACATTAACAAGCATCCTGACGTATTTTGGTAAGCTGCATTTCTTATTGGAAAATCTTCTCTAAAAGCATCATATATTCCATATGTTCCAATAGCATGAATTCACATTTCTGAGAAATGCACATTCAGTTCTTCAAACATATTATTTAGAAACCGTAAGTAATAGTTGAAATTTATATGTATTTTCCCCTAGAGATTAAAAACAGAGAAAGAGAAAGTATTTAAAAAGGTCTTTAGCTCTATAAATGGAAACTGTCAAAAGTTCTTTTAGAATTTACATCCATGTGTAATGTCTAGATGTTGATTTAAAGTGTGGAATTAGCTCATGAGAGATCAAGAGAGGGGATATATGAGTTGAGAATAATTTGTATGAAAAAGAGAGTTCAAGCTATGGTAATTAATTAGAACAGAAAGGATATGGAGTGAGAAGATAAGACAGATGAGGGCAAATCACAGTAAAATGTTAGTATAGGTGACAGAAAATGTAGAAAGATCAGAGAGATAAAAGAGGAAACTGCAAATCAGTATACTGGGATATTATTGAATCAAAGAGAGAGTTTTTGGCACTGTTGATCAACAGTGTTATATAAAGCATTTAAAAAACATTTCTAAAAGAGCTATTAGAGTTGGCTAATACATAAATCTTGAGAAACCAATAGCACACAAACCACTGAAGTGGGGAACATTCAGGAAATAAAGTTTTGTTAATAAATTGAACCTCATATCATTAGAAAATTATGATAGAACAAAATGCTATGCTAATTTTTCAAAAAATTATATATTTGCATTATATTTTAAAAGACCCAAAGACTTTTTTCGTTGTTGGGGAGCCAGAAGCAACAGCAACGTCTTTTGCATACTACATGATCAGATATTTGAGTCTAATATTCTTTTCTGAAAGAAAACAGTATTTTAGAAGGAAATTCATTGAGTACTTTAGAGTAAGAAAAATTCAGGATGATGTTATTGCCGAAAAAATTGGGCACTTTAAGTATGTTAGGGGTAGTTTTCAAGGGAAAGCTAATATAGTCATCGTAATATCATATGATATAAACTTTAAGGCAAAAAGAGTCATGGAATAGATAAAATATTCAAGCCATTTGGATGATGACATATCAACTATAAATTTGTGTGTACCAAATAACTTAGACACAAATATTGAAAGCAAAAATGAAAGCTCTAAAAAGGAATAATTGAAAATCTACCATCATAATGGGGAGGCATTAATAAACATCTTCCAATACCTTAAAAATCAGTTAAGGTATATAAGAGTAAACAACACAATCAACAAAATTAACCTAGTAGACACATAAAGAAAAATTTCACCTAAAACTGACAGAATATGAAATATTTACCAAAGTTGTCAATACTATAAGTTCTCAACATATTTCAAAGTATTAAAATCAAAGTATGTTCTTTGATCACAGTGAAGTTACAATAAGCCAAACATTTTTAATAAAAACACATATTAAAAAATGTTTGTAAATGAATCAATATAATTTTTAAAAGCCATAGACTAAAGAAGAAATCAAAATGTTACATTAGGAAATTAAAATAAAAATATGATATATTAACAGATGTCAAGCAACAAATGCAAATAAAGGTGAAAAATGGATGAAACCAAATACCTAAGTATCCCCCCCAAAAAAGAACATAAAAGTTAAACAAAAATTAAAGATATGTCATAAATAAATAAGAATAGCCATCAATGTTATACTCTACATAAAATCAATACAGAAAATTTTGAAAATTTAGGAAGACTAATACAATTGACAAGCACCTAGAAAGAGAAAGCACCTTTAAAGAGAAAGTGATAAAGCAAAAATTACCAGGATCAAGAATAAAATGACATCACCATAGATCACCCACACATTAAAAAATACAGTAAAAATTATTTTTCTTATATTTGCTAATTTTGATTAAATGGACAAATGTCTGTAAAATAATATGCAATATATTTTGAGAGAAGTAGAATAAAAATACTTTAATGGTAAAATATCTGTTAAACTTTTAATTTATAATTTATTTTTTAAAGAAAATTCCAAAATCAGGTGGTATGATGAAAAGGAATGACTGGACAAGTAAAACATTAATATTATTATTATAGGCAAAACCAAGTAATTTTCAATGTGATTTCATTTACACATATTTGAAGGAGAGCATACACTGAACGCAGACTTTTACTGGACATAATAAATTGGAACATTTCCATGCTTGTTTTATTAAAGCAGTATATCCCTGGTAACAACACTAATTGAGAACAACATTGCAGGGTATTCCTTTTCTGAACGTGGATTCAAAATAGAAAACAAAATAACAGAAAGTCAAATTCAGCAACATGTAAAAAGGATAATAATATGTGTCTTAAAAACTTGCAAAGTTTGTTTAAGCTATGAAAATGAAACAATGAAAATAACCATAATAATAATACAAAGAAGAGAAATATGATCACCTTAAAAGATGCAGTAGGCTGGGTGTGGTGGCTCATGCCTATAATCCCAGCACTTTGGGAGGCCTAGGTGGGCGGATCACGAGGTCAGGAGATCGAGACCATCCTGGCTAACACGGTGAAACCCCGTCTCTACTAAAAATACAAAAAAATTAGCCAAGGGTGGTGATGGGCACCTGTAGTCCCAGCTACTCAGGAGGCTGAGGCAGGAGAATGGTGTAAACTCGGGAGGTGGAGCTTGCAGTGAGCCGAGATTGCACCACTGCACTCCAGCCTGGGCAACAGAGCAAGACTCCGTCTCAAAAAAAAAAAAAAAAAAAAAGATGCAGTAAAAGCACTTGATAAAATTAAAAACCTATTTTAAATAAAGATATTTAGCAAAATGGAGAAAGTGATTTAATCTGATAAAGAAAATCTACAAAAGAAAATAGCATGCTTTACATTTAGTGATAAAATATTGCATGCTTTTCCATTGGTCAGGCTATAGCCATGTATCACTACTTGTATATAGAATTCTCCTGTAAGTCTTAGTAAAGTAAAGAGAGATAAATCAATTTTAAAAGGAAGGATTAGAAAAGTAAAATATTAATACTATTATTATAGGCAAAACCAAGTTTTTTTTTTTTTTTGAGATGGAGTTTCGCTCTTGTTGCCCAGGCTGGAGTGCAATGGCATGATCTCGGCTCACCGCAACCTCCGCCTCCCAGGTTCAAGCGATTCTCTTGCCTCAGCCTCCCTAGTAGCTGGGATTACAGGCATGTGCCACCATGCCCGGCTAATTTTGTATTTTTAGTAGAGACGGGGTTTCTCCATGTTGGTCAGGCTGGTCTCGAACTCCTGACCTCAGGTAATCCGCCCACCTCGACCTCCCAAAGTGCTGGGATTACAGGCATGAGCCACCGTGCCTGGACAAAACCAAGTATTTTTTAATGTGACTTATACCTAGTACTTTCAAAAGAATGTAAGTAATATTATTTGATTCAATAAATCATATCACTAAACAAAAATACATATTTTATATATTAGCAAGGAATCATTAGATAATTAAATTTAATATAATACTATTACAATAGCAGTAAAAACATTAAATACCTAGGAATACGTCCAATGAAAATGTAAAATCTTTGCATAGAAATTTATAAACTGTTAAGTAAAATAAAAGGGAAGTTGTTCTTTTAAAGGTTATGATTTAGAAGAAACAAGCAAGCTAGGGAGTGAGGCAGAAAAGCCAAAGATATGGCTGATGCTGAAAAGTGAAGAAATTGTCAATTCGACAAATCATTAAAAGAAGTGATGGAGGAGGTCAAATTGCACATTTAAGGTAGTTAAGGAGGAATAATATCTCCTATTATTGATAAAAAAGAAAGTGATAATTGCTGAGAAAACAAGAAAAGAAAGTGTAACAAAAAGAAGTATAATATCTACAGATGAGGGTAGATCTGGAATACAAAAGTGAAGACTCAGGGAACACTTCTTTAGGAAGCAAATCATCTGTTGAGAATGAGGGAGAGTGATTTCCAACTTGGGTAGTGAGATGGAGTAGAGATGGCCAGAACTTGTCCCTCTCACATTCAGAGATGGAGTTTATTTTTCATCCCCTTGAGTTCACGCTGGTCCTGTGACTATTTTACCAATAGAATGCATCAAAAGTGACATTATTCCAGTTCTACACCTATCCTGTAAAAGGACTGGTATTTCAGCTTTCTGCTTCTTGGAATCCTCACTGTCATATTGCAAGAAAGCACAAGCCACCATGTGGAGAAATCTATGTAGAGGGGAACTCAGTCCCCCAGTCAACAGCCTTCAGCTTTGCTTCCAGCTGCTACCCAGGACCAAATTGCCAGACATATGTGAGCCATTTTGGAAATGAAGGCCCAAGATCTATTTGAACTTCCCCAAATGATAACAGAGAGCAGAAGCAGGTTATCCCCAGTAACACTTGCTCCAACTGCAGAACTGCAAGCAAAAAATGATTTCCTTTTTTTCTCTTTTCTTTTTTTTCTTTTCTTTCTTTCTTTCTTTCTTTCTTTCTTTCTTTCTTTCTTTCTTTCTTTCTTTCTTTCTTTCTCTTTCTCTCTCTTTCTCTCTTTCTTTCTTTCTTTCTTTCTTTCTTTCTTTCTTTCTTTCTTTCTTTCTTTCTTTCTTTCTTTCTTTCTTCTTTCCTTTTACTTACAATTCAAAAGAGCATCCACCTCCCTTTAAAGTATATGTTTTGGAATATTAAAATCTAGTTTTTGACAAAAATTAATGTGAAAGTTCTTTGAATTTCTAAATGGTGATACTTTAAAAAATTTCAATAATCTTATTAATGAATATTGTTTAAAGTTTACTGATTTGCAAATGACAGGTTTTGGAGTGCTTTTTAGTATAGCAATAGAGAAGTGAAACACATATCAAGAGAAGGTCTGAAACAGCCCCATCATGAATAATATGTATAATCCCCCAGAAACTGAAAAATAGAGGATAGTAAGAAATGGAAGCAATGATGAATCATTTAGATACCACTATCAATGAGGTTATTCTATCTGGGAGAAAAAAGGATTTGAGATTGAAGGAGAGATCAATAAAAGCTAAAATAAGGAGATTCTGAGGAGATTGGAAATTTAGAGAAAAATAGCCAACTTCCACAAATCACTTTGTTTACCTACACCTTCTGTTCATACATAAGGAGCACAAATTATGATTTATGAGAGACAGAAGGTTGCTTTACATATCTACAGAAGGTTTTTCTGAACTCAATCTGCCTTTGTGATAAAATGGTGTGGCAAATGCCCTGGAAAATTGTCACGTAAGTTTGAGACAGGCCTCTCCCATAACATAGAGTTACAGTCTTCTTATTAATAAATGAATGGAATGCTGAGAGAAAATATCTGTCTTTATTCACCAGCACACATAGAAATTTAAGGTGATATATTTATATTTTTCTTTTAATGAAAGTTTCTTTAAATGAAAGCCAAATTCTATAAGAATACCTACTTTAAAATGCTGCCTTATTTGAAGTAATAACACTAAATATATTCAAAATAAGTCATTTTAAATTTCAATCTGCAAGTCCTAAACTTAGTATTATGTTGTATATGTACATTGTATGCACACATAAATATCCACTTAAAAATCTAACTGATTTATTAAATAAATAATTCTGTGAGCAGTATAATCCAAAATATAAGAAATAATACATACTACCTGACATTTGCAAATCAGTAAACTTTAAAAAACATTTGTTAATAAGATTCTTGAAACTTTTTAAAGTATCACTTTTAGAAATTCAAAGATTTTCACATTAATTTTCATAAAAAAACTATATTTTAATATTTCAGAATATATACTTTAAAATGAAGTGGATTCTCTTTTAAATTGCAGGTAAAGATGTGTAGAGTGGGTAAAAGATATATTGCAGTTTTTTGCAAGTAAACGTTTACATACATCTTTTGTACTCTTTTGCTGCTGCCATCCTTTCCTGAAGTATTAGGCTACATAAAGAAAGCAGGTTGAGCATGTGGAGAAAAGAATGTGTAAATATCTGAAGACCAGTATCTATCTAGACATGAGTGCAAATGTTTTGGTAATCTTATTCTTCTACTTTTGAGAGTTCCCTCTCCATTTACTTGTCCATTTCAAAATCTTTTACTTTTTCTTCCTTCACATAGTTATATGTTCTATAATGAGCTATGTTCTCAACTCTCAAGTCTTTATTTCTTTATTTCCATAATCTAAGATTCTTAATGGCTTACTTTGTCATGCACGAAGGTGTTTGGTTAATCAATGAGAAAAGGCTGATTTTTTTAGAATGTATCTCATTTCAAATTCTTGGGATGTGAGCAATTTCATTCAATTCTGTTTGTTATTTTAAACTAAGAAAAGGGATACATCATTTTCATGTAGTAAATCACAAACTACCAAATTTATACAGTCTTAAAAGATTTTTATTCATGAATACATCGAATATCTAGTATATGCCATCTACTGAGCAGATATCAGAAGTTAAGAAAGGAGTAAAACATGTTTTCAACTTGAAGGAATTTATGCTCTGGTATGAGCACATAAAATACTAGCACATTAAATATTCAAGTAAAATGAGTGCTTCAGATGCAACCTCATCTCAATGGAAGCAGAGATAGATTGACTTTAAGGTTAGGAAACATGTCATCAAGGAAGTGATTTAAACAGGAAGGTAAAGGCACTAATCTCATTCTTGAGGACTTGAACCTCATGATCTAATTACATCCCAAACACCCCACCTCTTAATACCATCACTTTGGAGGTTTGGATTTCAGCATAGAACTATGGGAGGAGGGGCACAAGTATTCAATCCAAACAATACTCAATTATGAATAATGTAAATTGGCTCAGACTTCAAACATTAGTGAAATGAATGAGAATAGGAGGTATCAATACTTTTATATAAATGTAATTAATTTCTATTTTATGAACATAGTTATCCAACTATTGAAAGACAAAGCCATCAAAGCCTGCTGGAAGCTGGCAACACACTTCATCAATGTACTATTTATTATAAGTATGACAGAAATATTGGAATATGTGATTTTTATGTCCATTTATCTCTGTCTGTCTGTCTAGTTTACTGATCATATTCAGCATTTACTGCAATGACAACAAAAGTCAATAGAAAAACAACTGGGCTTACCAAAGTCTTTTTTCTCTCCAAAGCCCTGCTGTCGCTGTGCATTTTCAACTATGGTGTCTTTTTTCACTACTTTAAACTCTAGTTTAGTACAATATTTCAGTTATGAATAGGACCTTTGGAATTGAATAGGCCCTAATCAATTCTCGGATCTCTAGAATGTTCTAATCTTTAGGATACCCACCTGACAAATATGTACCTAACAGAGATGCATGAGAATTAAATGAAATCATAAAAGAAAATCAGTTATCACAGTGCCATGTTGGACATACAGCAGAAAGGAATTGCTATGGTGCTGTTTTTTTGTATTTTTCTGTTTCCTGCTATTTATCTTGCAGAATGAGGGCTTAGAGCTATATTTTTGGACCTCTGACTTATCATTTTTGTGTGTGCAATTTTTTTCTTCTATCTATATGATTAAAGCTGTTTTCTGCTCTTTACTAGTGACCTTAATTTTTTTTATTCCTCACTTATAATTACTTTTAAATCTCTCTCTCTCCCTTGCAACCCTCCACTGCCATCTCTCATCATTACCCATTTTGAGCTATTTTGAGTTACGACATCTGGTATTATTTAATATATATGCTTGTTTGTACTTTACACTCATCACTTTATAGGATTGTAAGCATTTAAATTGTTTTATACTTGCCTTATCGCATTTATTTCCTTTACACTAATAAATATTCAAATGAAAGTGTAACTTACCTACCTTCTAACTTTTCTTGGAGAATGAAGTTCAACCATGCCCAATTTTTTCTTTTCCATTTTTCTAAGATTGCTGAAAAAGTGTTTGAAATTTTTATGTTTCTATATCCATGGTCTTATCTTTAATAAAATATTAACTGAAGCCCAACCTTTCCTTTTGTGCCTTTGTTATTATTAGCATTGCGCTTTCTTTGTATGCATTTATTTACAACTAGGTCTTTCTTAGATTATTTTATTTATTGTAAATTAGTATGGGCAACCTGAAGTGCTTGTTTAAATGAAAACAGATCCCTAATAGTCTGATAATTCATATTTGAATCTAATTTCTTACTGTTTCCTTCAAAATATGTTCAAGGGTTACTGAAATCATGAAAACAAAGAGCGTGCAATGTGACACACTGCTTGACATTTATTTTGTTAATACGTGGTATATAGGAAAAGAATAATTATCATCCATATTCATGTATATTCAGAAACTGGTTTAAAAAATCCATTACAACTTATATTGTCAATATCCCTTTGCAGAAGTCCACATTCTCCTACCAGTACACATTTCTTTCGCTACTCTAGTCTTACATAATAGTTAGGTTTTATTTGTCCCATTTATATAACCTCACATAACTACCATCTGATATATAAAGGAACCAATTTATTTCATAGGCATATCCTATTCTTCTCAGGTCAAACTTTACCTAGAAACCTGAGAGAAGTTTTTTCCTCTGAAAACATGTTTGGGTCTACAGAAAAAGTGAGATTTGGGTAGGTTCTTAAACACAAATGGAAAGAAGCAGCAGATAAAGAAAAGGAAAGAGGAAGAAAATAGTCATTTTCAGAAGGAAAAGTATGAACAGTAGTATAGGAATGGGCATGCTTATTAATTTGAAGAAAGTTGAGGATTATGGAGGTGAGTGGATGGATATAAAGTTGCTCAAACATGTTGACAGCCAGGCTAGAAGAGGTTAAACTTATCTCGTATATGTTCTCAACAACCATTACAAATAAAGCATTGAATTTGTGTGTGTGTGTGTTTGTGTGTTTGTGTGTGTGTGTGTGTGTGTATTTTAAAGGGTTTTTTTTTTTGTTTTTTTTTTTTGAGACGGAGTCTCGCTCCATCACCCAGGCTGGAGTGCAGTGGTGCGATCTCGGCCCACTACAAGCTCTGCCTCCCGGGTTCATGCCATTCTCCCGCCTCAGCCTCCCGAGTAGCTGGGACTACAGGTGCCCACCACCACGCCCAGCTAATTTTTTGTATATTTAGTAGAGACGGGGTTTCACCATGTTAGCCAGGATGGTCTCAATTTCCTGACCTCCTGATCCGCCAGCCTCGGCCTCCCAAAGTGCTGGGATTACAGGCATGAGCCACCACATCCGGCCAAAGGGTATTTTAAAAATGTATGTTTAAGTCATTCAGTTTATACAAATTCATGATTGCTACACTGCAAGATCTCTAGAACTGTTGCCTGCCAAGCTACCAGTGCCAGAAGTGGGTGGGATCGTCTGCCTTGCTGTGGATTTTTTTTTTTTTTTTTTTGAAGTACATCATTCTCTTCTCTTTGCCTAGAGTTTTGCATCCCCTTAGCCTCAAGGGGAAGGTCTGCCCTGTTTTTGTCCCTATTAAAAAACAAAAAACAAAAAAAAAAACAAAGACAGAGTCTCGCCTGTCACCCAGACTGGAGTGCAGCGGTGAGATCATAGCTTATTGCAGCTTCAGACTCCTGGGTCAAAGGGATCCTCCTGCCTTGGTCTCGGAAAGTGCTGTGTGTTTCTTTCCCTTCGAAAACTCTTGCCAAACAGTTGCTTTATCTTCTGGACTCCTCGATTTTCTGAATTTTCACTCCATTCAGATCTACATCTTCTTTATTTTCTGACATGTCACAGTCTTTTTCTCTCCGGATCTTCCATTCCTAATTATCTCTTAAATATTCAATTCTGTCCTTTAGTTTTGTCTCCCCTTGAGTTCAGGTGTGCAACAATGATTAGGGGACAATTGCCACATCTAGACTATTTCATTGGACATTCCATCAGGGTAAATTAAAATATCTTTTGCCTCCAAAGCACCTATCCAGGATGAAATAGACAATAAAATGGTTGCATGTCTTATTATTTTGTTAAATACTGCAGTTGACAGTTGTTTAAAGAGCTCAGTTGCTAAAAGCAAGAGAATTGTTGCTGACCCTAGTACTAACATCCCAATCCAAATACCTAGTAATGCTACTGATACTCCTGCCGATTCTGAAACAAATTCACAGCAGGACACTGTTACACTACTGTGTTCTATCAAATTTGGGACTCATTCTTTATGAATGTTCCTGAGCTAGATGTATTCTTTTGTTCACTTGGTAACTGAATGCTAGGAAGATGCAAAGCAATGAAGCAATGATCTTGCTGGCTTTTTTATTTCCCACAGCAAACATATTTTCATAAGATTGTTGCGGAGACTACCATTTGCAGATTTCATAGTTGACAAAATGGATGGCCTGACGCACCTCTAGCTGCCTCCCCTTTGTCCGTATGTCTTATTGAACATAGATAGCTAGGAAAAGGATTGCCTCCTGTCCCCAGGCTTTCTAAATGCTGTGAACTCATAAACCAGGATTTAATGTTATGGAAGTGCCTCAGGGCTGGTAGGTGAGGGACAGAGCAACTCTACTTCAAGCATTTATTAAAATTAAATTTTAATTATAAAAGTAAAAAAAAAAAAGAAAAAGAAAATGGCTGTGAACTTTTTGGCCACCTCGCACCTCGGTGCCTCTCTTTCACGGGTTTAGTGAGGAAGGTAATCAAACATGTGACAGCCAACACTTGTTCTCCATTGCTCTCTGCCAGGCCTGTCTCATGGAGAGGAAGTCCACTTGGAAACATTGTTATCAAGTCTATACAGCATGGACTCTGTTATCAGAAAGCCATCTGAACTGCATATTAGGGTAATAATCTTTATATAGCACATAAAATTATTTGTATCACAGTTAATGGTAGTAGATTTGGTGGTGCTCAATTTTCCTACAAAATTAAGTGTAATGCTTCCCCTCCACCTATGTGGGTTATGATAGCATTAGGAAGATTGCATTGTAATAGAAGAAACTCTACTCCAGGGGATATGTTTATACACACGGTGGAATGCTTATTCTATCATTACCATAAACAGTAATTATTATTCTTACGTGATTTTATATTTTTCAAAACCTCAGATATCTTCTAGGGTAAAGTAAATTTTTCAAAGGTCACTCTGAATGGGAGTAGGACATTCTACCAGAGAGCCATGTGTCATTGAGCTGTTAAGGAGACAGCATTAAGACTGATTCAGTCTTTCAGCAAATGACAGCTCTGGCATGGTCCTTATGATGGAATACATATAAAATCTTTATTGCCTGGATAGTCACACTATACATCACTTTAAATATCTGCATCAATTATTGACTCTATAACTGAGCAGATGCCTGCTTTACCCTCAACTCACAATAGTGGTGATTTATTATTAAGGTTTTTATTTGTTTGTAATTGTTGCTATTGTTTCGTTGTAGATGAGTTAAATGAGCTCATAACTTGAATGCCCATGGCTTATTGTCTAGGACCCAAGCTCTTGCTTTGTTGACATTACCCAGCCTAACTATGAAACCAGACCTTCACAATTACACAATGATTGAGTTGTAAATGGCGAACAATAGGCTCTCTACTCCCTTACCAGTGCCTGGTGCTTGGTATTCTTACAGATTAAGAACCTAAGTCTGTCAAGTCTTTTGTGTTAGTAAAATCAACCTCAGAAATTGTTAAGAATGCCTGATGAAGAGTCTACTTAAGCAATGTTTCCGAGTTCGTATCTTTAAATATTGTGTCTTTAGGATGGATATGTGCTCATTTTATTACAAAGTCCAAGGCAGTGAATGATGACATTTTCCATTTAAGTATACTACGTTGTCATTAGTTGATTTTTCTGTAGGACTTTTCAGATAATTTTTTTTTTTTGTAAGAGAATGTATTCCAAACCTCATGGCAGCTATGTCCTTAAAATACACTCACATGCACAGAAAATTTTGCTAAATATTTTATGAAATCATAGACTTTTCATAACCCATCTGAGTTCTTTTTAGGGGGTCTATCATCACAGATTTTTTTTAAAAATCAGAGATAGAATATCTTAACCTATTCCCAGTGTGGTCTCACTTTCTCCCCTAGGTAAACTGTAAGAAATGTATGTTTGATAGAGTGCATACTAATAATCATATAAATGAATATATAAAGTATTTTAAATATGATTATAGGAAAGTGTCCTTTGTGGCTATAATATTTTAGCACTGCCTATACCCTGAACTAAATCACCTTGAGGTTATATGTGTGTGGTCTTTCCCCATTAAACGTTGCAAAAACACTGGTATTCAGCCAATTTTGCAGATAGTCTTAAAATTTTATTTTCTCTATATTCAGATAACAATGCTTAGATATTAATATTAGATTATAATGCATAGATATTAATATTAGCTCACTTTAAAAAATGATCTAATTATGGTTAGAAATAAAAACCAGGAACAGAGGTTGGATTGAATGAAGGGCAAAGTAAATGTATACATTTTAGAGATGATAAGCATTTTTGAAAACTCATTCTATCATTGGATCACACTTTCATTTTTAGTATGATTTTGCTTTCATTAATAGGGATTTAAGATAATTATTTAAAAGGTGTCAAAGGAACCATGTTGGGTACTGTAGATTTCAAAATACACAGAGTGAGAGGGCAAACGGACTATGATTTCCACATCTTGTGTGAAGTAAAACAGCAGTGTGACATAACAAATCAATAAGTCAGATAATTCCACATCAATACAGAATTTTGATTGAGTTGTTCAGGAAGAAGATGTCTTCAGTTTAACGTGGTCTTTCTTTAAACCTGTAGCAATTATTTTGTTTGTTTTCATTCTTCTTGTATATAGCTTAGGTTTTGGAATGAATTTATGATATAGATTTTTAAGATAAGGTAACTATGATGGTCACAGCATATTTGTTAAGTAATGTCCCCACTGGGCATGTATATTGTTAAAAATTGAGGTCAGATATGTCAGAGGATATTACCACAGGAAACAAAGACAGTATAGAACAGTAGATGCTAACTCTTAACCAAGAAGACCTCAACAAGAAGGTGACTTTAGATAAGTCTTTTATTCTTCAACAAATATTTGAGAATAATTTTGTCAGTTGAAATCCCCAGAGAAATGACATTTGAGTCATATTATTTCTGAATGATAGTATTGTTATAATTATATATATCATATTTATATATGGATATGATCTAGGACACAAGTAGAATAGCCCTCCCAAAAATAATTCTGTATTTTATTTTTGTCTATGTTTCACTGTTCAGAAAGAAATTCTTCCCAACATGTCTTTTGTAATTTTTACTTACATTAATAGATATCTCAGACCAATGGCTTTAAAACCTGACTAGGCATCAGAATTTTATAAGCCACCTAAAAAATGCAGCTATCAAAGCTCTACTGTTATCTATGAAATTAACCTTTAAAGACTGTAATTTTAATCAATTCAGAAATTTCTTCTATTTAATACGCATTTCTTCTCTGTTCAATTTGCACCTTCTGGAGGGTTTACAATATTTATATTTCATTTACTCAATACACTGGTATTATGTTTGCTGATCATATTTACACCTTACTTATTTTGTTTCTGAGTTCCTTAACAATTGTAGGATCACTTTTTTATTTTAATGACTTGATTTTCTTGAGTATCTAGTGTGCTGTTTACTGCCTTACTTGAATATTTTAATTCATTAAATTAACTTTGCAGTGAACAAAGACTTTTCTGATTTCAGACTGGGCCCATATGCAAATTCATATTCTTCTGAATCTGAAACGAGAAAATATATAGGTTTTTCTTAACATGTTTCTTTGATTGAGAATTGTACAAAGTTGTTTTGTGAATAAATTTAGCCCTGTACTTCTAGAGCACTCCCTGCCCCACTATACTATTCATAAGTGAGAACAACTTCTATGTAGGCCTATGTCCTGGTTATCCTTTTGTTGCCTCAAAGAACTTATCAATCATTGCTATACCACACTTGACTATTGACATGTATTACTTAGCAAACTAATATAAGTGCATCTTGGGTACTTGTCAAAGACATTTGATGAAAATAGCCAAAAGTTACAAGAAAAATTCACTTAAAATTTAATATACTAAATAATCTAAGTTTTCACACTTCTTAAGCCTAATCTTGAGAATGCTTCATTTGTGATGACATTTGTTGAACTTTATAGATTTACATGCATTGAATTGTCCTGAAGCATTCAGTCGTTGATTTCCATTGAGAACATGGTATGAGAAATAGTCTCATTATTGCATTTAGCATAATATCTTACAGGTTCATTCATGTTGTTACAATGGGCCAAATATACTCCTTTTTTAAGGTTGGATGGTGTTTTACTGTGTAAATATTTCTATGTATACACTGATATATATAATATTTATTATGTACTGTAATATAATATTTCTGTATTGATTCATCTGTTAATAAACACAGGTTGTTTCCATATCTTGGCTATTATAAATAATGCTGCAATAAACATAAGCATGCAGATATCTCTTCAACACATTGATTTTCAATTCCTTTGGATATATACCAGAAGTAGAATTACTGGATATTATAGTAGTTATATTTTCAGCTATTTTGGGAACCTCTATGCCATTTTCCATAATGGCTAGATTAAATTACATTTTTAGCCATTTTAAAACTTACTATATTTATTCTACATGTAAAAAAAAGAAGCGATCATTCACTATTAATTAATGTTTTTATTTTGATACTTATACTTTGCCTATTATATTGGTTTCAATTTTTTTTTAAACTGATTCTATTTCCCTCTTTACTTTGGCTACCATGGAGCCAAAGGCAAAATACACCTCACAGCAAATATTTTCACAGAAGTTTCGATTACCAATCTTACCTAGGGTTATTTTTTTTTCCTATTTTCATCTAAATTTTCTCTTGATTCCCTTTCTTTCAATGTTTTCTCTTCTTGCTCCTCATGTAGCTTTGGCATTCACTCAAATTAATTTATATTGAAGCAAGATACAGATACAAATAGAATACTTATCTCTCATTTTCTCACAGCTGGATTGTTCATTTCCTAAAAGGTACTATACTTTCCTCAGAGTCAAGGCCACCCTCCCATGTCACTACCAGCACAGAACAGATTGTTTTACTAATTAAATAATTGTTTTTAAAAGAAAGGCGTCATCAAAAATTACTTCTCTTAAAGATGTACAATGTGAGCCTCTAGTTTCTTTAACTAGAAATAGCTTAAGTTTTCGTGACGTACAGATTAATTTAATGGGCCAAAATGTTGGAGGAATATGTGACTTAACTGAATTACTGGGAAAAGTTAATGAGAAAGATAGGGAATACCTTCAAAATTAGTAAATAGCAGCTATCAGAATTGAGATTAAAGAAAGCTGTCTAACGTTTAATAGCTGTTTAAAAAGAGATAATTTTAGGCAATATATGCTTACTATTTTATCTTGAACTGATTCACTTATTAAATGATGGGAACATTTGATAAATATAATATCTGGGATAAATTAAATGTATTCAAGTATTTAATTTATTCCACCCCAATTTATCTCAGAATATTATGTTTATATGTGTATCATGATTATATACATGAACAAAATATTCTGGGCCTACCTGATGGGGAAGGTCAGAGGAGGAGGAGAGTTAAAAAACTACACGTAAGTTACTAGCCTCACTACCTGGGTGATGAAATTATCTATACAGTAAACACCAACGAGACACATTAATTGTTACTCATGTATCAAACCTGCACATGTACACCTTGAACCTAAAGGTTGAAAATAATTAAATAAATATACATTAAAAATAAATAAAATTTGAAGTTCCAAAATATAAATACATATAAGTTTTGCTATGACTATATTGCTATTATTTTCTGTATTTTTACATATGCTGTTTGATGATGTAATTTAGCATATTTAAATTTTATCCTTTTTCTCCTCTAAGAACTTAGAATCATAATTTTTTTATATTTTCAATATGTATTATATTTATATTTTAAATATAAGTATTTGTTATTTTTAAAGATTTTTTATATTAAATGTAATATGTTTATGTTTATATTATGGTTATATATAATACAATATAAATGTTTATATTACATTATATATAAATATGTTTATATTTATATCATATATAAATATGTTTATATTTGTATTATATATAAATATGTTTATATTTGTATTATATATAAATATGTTTATATTTATATTATATTATGTTTATACTTATGAGCATGATATTCTGGGATAAATTGGTATGGGAAGCAGAGAGATTGGTCTAGGGCTTCTAACAAATGACAGTAGAAGAATAATTCTCATTTAAGTAATACTAATTAAATGAATAATAACAATAACAATAATAATAATATTGAAAACTTATCATGTCCTAGACATTATTCTAAGCACTTTGACTGTGTTAAGTAACTTAATTCTTATAGAAACTCATTGAGGTAGGCATTACTACTATCGTCTCTATAAAAAAAGAAAAAAATGCATCACACAAAAATTGGTACTTAGTCAAGTAACATTTTTTTTTTATTTTTGAGACAGAGTCTCACTCTGTGGCCCAGGCTGGAGTGTAGTGGTGCAATCTCGGCTCACTAGAACCTCTGCCTCCCAGGTTCAAGTTATTCTCCTGCCTCAGCCTTCCTAGAAACTGGGGTTATAGGTGCGTTCCACCATTCCTGGCTAATTTTTGTATTTTTGGTAAAGACAGAGTTTCACCATGTTGGCCAGGTTGGTCTCGAACACCTGACCTCAGGTGATTCACCCGCCTCAGCCTCCCAAGTGCTGGAATTACAGGCGTGAGCTACTGCACCCGGCCTCAAGTAACGTATTTTTAAGTCATAGAGTCTGAACATCAATTTGCATAAGTGGAAGCCTAATTCTAGAATCCCTATCTTTTTTGATTTGTAAAATACCTAATAGTGAAGTGTACTGGAAAAGTAGCACAAAGATTGGTAAGGGAAATGAATTTGCAAGGTCTTACACACAGGAAGTGATATTTTAGTAGCTACAATAAAAGAAGTAAAGCAAAGATCTATGACTTCTAAATTATTATAGGAGATAAAGGATGGAATTCAAATATGTCAAGCTAAATAAACAACAGATGTAAAAAACACAGAAAATAATAGTAACATAGTAGTAGCAAATCTTGTCATATTTATTTATTTTTTGGACTTCAAATTTTATTTTTAAATTTTTGTTATTCATTTCCAACATTTAGGTTCAGGAAATACATATGCAGATTTGTTACATGAGTAAATTGTGTCTCGTTGGAGTTAGGTGTATAGATTTTTCCATCACCCAGCTAGTGAGAGTAGTATATCCTATGTATGGTTTTTCAACTCTCACTCTCCTTTCATCTTCCCCATTCAAGTAGGCCCAGTGGCTTTTGTTCTCCGATTTGTGTCCACATTCACTTAGTGTTTTTCTCCCACGTATATGTAAGAACATAAAGAATTTTGTTTACTGCTCCTGTATTAGTTCACTTAGGATAACGGCCTCCAGCTATATCCATGTTGTTGCAAAGGACATGATTTCATTGTTTTTATGGCTGCATAGTATTCTATAGTGTGTGTGTACCACATTTTCTTTATCCAGTCTACTGCTGATGCACATCTAGCTTGACTCTGTGTCTTTACTATTGTGAATAGTGTTGCGATGAGCATACTAGTACATGCGTCTTTTTGGTAGAACAATTTATATTCCTTTGGGTATATACCCAATAATGAGACTGCTCGGTCAAATGGTAGTTTTGTTTTAAGTTCTCTGGAAATTTCCAAACTGCTTTCTACAGTGGCTGAGCTAGTTTACATTCCCACAAGCAATGTTCTCTTTTCTCTACAACCTCACTGGCCACTGTTATTTTTTGACTTTTTAATAATGGCCATTCTGATTTGCGTGAGATGGTATCTCGTTGCGGTTTTGATTTACATTTCTCTAATGGTTATTGGTGTAGACCATATTTACATATGCTGTTGGCCACATGTATGTCTTCTTTTGATAAGTGTCTGTTCATGTTCTGTGATCATTTTTTAATGGGGTTGATTTTTGCTTGTTAATTTATTTAAGTTCCTTATAGATTCTGGGTATTAGACCTTTGTCAGATGCATAGTTTGCAAATATTTTCTCCTATTCTGTAGGTTGTCTGTTTATTCTGTTGATAGTAACTTTTGCTGTGCAGAAACTCTTTAGTTTAATTAGGCCCCATATGTCAATTTTTATTTTTATTGTAATTGCTTTGAAACACTTTGTTGTAAAATCTTTGCCCGTTCCTATGTCCAGGATGGTATTTTCTAGGTTTTCTTCTAGGGTTTTTGTAATTTTAGGACTTATATTTAACTCTTTAGTCCATGTTGAGGTGACTTTTGTATATGGTGAAAGGAAGGGGTCCAGTTTCTTTTTTTTTATTATTATACTTCAAGTTTTAGGGTACATGTGCACAATGTGCAGGTTTGTTACATATGTATACATGTGCCATGTTGGTGTGCTGCACCCATTAACTCGTCATTTAACATTAGGTATATCTCCTAATGCTATCCCTCCCCCCTCCCCTCACCCCACCACAGGCCCGGGTGTGTGATGTTCCCCTTCCTGTGTCCATGTGTTCTCATTGTTCAATTCCCACCTATGAGTGAGAACATGCGGTGTTTGGTTTTTTTGTCCTTGTGATAGTTTGCTGAGAATGATGGTTTCCAGCTTCATCCATGTCCCTACAAAGGACATGAACTCATCATTATTTTTTGGCTGTGTAGTATTCCATGGTGTATATGTGCCACATTTTCTTAATCCAGTCTATCATTGTTGGACATTTGGGTTGGTTCCAAGTCTTTGCTATTGTGAATAGCGCCACAATAAACATTTGTGTGCATGTGTCTTTATAGCCGCATGATTTATAATCCTCTGGGTATATACCCAGTAAATGGGATGGCTGGGTCAAATGGTATTTCTAGTTCCAAATCCCTGAGGAATCGCCACACAGACTTCCACAGTGGTTGAACCAGTTTACAGTGCCACCAACAGTGTAAAAGGGTTCCTATTTCTCCACATCCTCTCCAGCACCTGTTGTTTCTTGACTTTTTAATGATTGCCATTCTAAGTGGTGTGAGATGGTATCTGATTGTGGTTTTGATTTGTATTTCTCTGATGGCCAGTGATGATGAGCATTTTTTCATGTGTCTTTTGGCTGCATAAATGTCTTCTTTTGAGAAGTGTCTGTTCATATCCTTCACCCACTTTTTGATGGGGTTGTTTCTTTTTTTCTTGTAAATTTGTTTGAGTTTATTGTAGATTCTGGATATTAGCCCTTTGTCAGATGAGTAGATTGCAAAAGTTTTCTCCCATTCTGTAGGTTGCCTGTTCACTCTGATGGTAGTTTCTTTTGCTGTGCAGAAGCTCTTTAGTTTAATTAGATCCCATTTGTCAATTTTGGCTTTTGTTGCCATTGCTTTTAGTGTTTTAGACATGAAGTCCTTGACCATGCCTATGTCCTGAATGGTATTGCCTCGGTTTTCTTCCAGGGTTTTTATGGTTTTAGGTCTAACATTTAATTCTTTAATCCATCGTGAATTAATTTTTGTGTAAGGTGTCAGGAAGGGATCCAGTTTCATTTTTCTACATATGGCTAGCCAGTTTTCCCAACATCATTTATTAAATAGGCAATCCTTTCCCCATTTCTTGTTTTTATCAGGTTTGTCAAAGATCAGATAGTTGTAGGTATGTGGCATTATTTCTGAGGGCTCTGTTCTGTTCCATTGGTCTATATCTCTGTTTTGGTACCAGTACCATGCTGTTTTGGTTACTGTAGTCTTGTAGTATAGTTTGAAGTCAGGTAGCGAGATGCCTCCTGCTTTGTTCTTTTGGCTTAGGATTGACTTGGCAATGTGGGCTCTTTTTTGGTTCCATATGAATTTTAAAGTAGTTTTTTTTTCCAATTCTGTGAAGAAAGTCATTGGTAGCTTGATGGGGATGGCATTGAATCTATAAATTACCTTGGGCAGTATGGCCCTTTTCACCATATTGATTCTTCCTACCCATGAGCATGGAATGTTCTTCCATTTGTTTGTATCCTCTTTTATTTCATTGAGCAGTGATTTGTAGTTCTCCTTAAAGAGGTCCTTCACATCCCTTGTAAGTTAGATTCCTAAGTATTTTATTGTCTTTGAAGCAATTGTGAATGGGAGTTCACTCATGATTTGGTTCTCTGTTTGTCTGTTATTGGTGTATAAGAATGCTTGTGATTTTTGCACATTGATTTTGTATCCTGAGACTTTGCTGACGTTGCTTATCAGCTTAAGGAGATTGTGGGCTGAGATGATGGGGTTTTCTAGATATACAATGATGTCATCTGCAAACAAGGACAATTTGACTTCCTCTTTTCCTAATTGAATACCCTTTATTTCCTTCTCCTGCCTGATTGCCCTGGCCAGAACTTCCAACACTATGTTGAATAGGAGTTGTGAGAGAGGGCATCCCTGTCTTGTGCCAGTTTTCAAAGGGAATGCTTCCAGTTTCTGCCCATTCAGTATGATATTGGCTGTGGGTTTGTCATAGATAGCTCTTATTATTTTGAGATAAGTCCCATCAATACCTAATTTATTGAAAGTTTTTAGCATGAAGCATTGTTGAATTTTGTCAAAGGCCTTTTCTGCATCTATTGAGATAATCATGTGGTTTTTGTCTTTGGTTCTGTTTATATGCTGGATTACGTTTATTGATTTGCCTCTGTTGAACCAGCCTTGCATCCCAGGGATGAAGCCCAGTTGATCATGATGGATAAGTTTTTGATGTGCTGCTGGATTCGGTTTGCCAGTATTTTATTGAGGATTTTTGCATTGATGTTCATCAGGAGTATTGGTCTAAAATTCTCTTTTTTTTGTTGTGTCTCTGCCAGGCTTTGGTATCAGGGTGAAGCTGGCCTCATAAAATGAGTTAGGGTGGATTCCCTCTTTTTCTATTGATTGGAATAGTTTCAGAGACACAGGAAACCCTTCAAAAAATCAGTGAATCCAGGAGCTGGTTTTTTGAAAAGATCAACAAAATTGATAGACCTCTAGCCAGACTAATAAAGAAGAAAAGAGAGAAGAATCAAATGGATGCAATAAAGAATGATAAAGGGGATATCACCACGGATCCCACAGAAATACAAACTACCATTAGAGAATACTATAAACACCTCTGTGCACATAAACTAGAAAATCTAGAATAAATGGATAAATTCCTGGACATATACATCCTCCCAAGACTACACCAGGAAGAAGTTGAATCTCTGAATAGAGCAATAACAGGCTCTGAAATTGAGGCAATAATTAATAGCTTACGAACCAAAAAAAGTCCAGGACCAGATGGATTCACTGCTGAATTCTACCAGAGGTACAAGGAGGAGCTGTTACGTTTCCTTCTGAAGGAAGGGGTCCAGTTTCAATCTTCTGCATATGGTTAGCCAGTTATCTCAGCACCATTTGTTGAATAGGGATTCCTTCTCTCATTGCTTGTTATTGTCAACTTTGTTGAAGATCAGATAGTTGTAGCTTTGCGGCTGTATTTTGGAGTAGAACCCCTGCTCTTAATCAATATCTTTACTGCCTCCAAAAAGAAAATGAATAACAAAAAATCCACTAGAAATTACTAGTTAGAAGTAAAATTTAAAAGGCAGATTGGGCCAGGCGTGATGGCTCACAGCTGTAATTCCAACACTTTGGGAGGCCTGAGCAGGTAGATTACTTGAGGTCAGGAGTTTTAGACCAGCCTGACCAATAAGGTGAAACCCTGTCTCTACTAAAAATTCAAAAATTAGCCAGGCGTGTTGGCAAGTGCCTGTAATCCCAGCTGCTCCAGAGGCTGAGACAGGAGAATTGCTTGAACCTGGGAGGTGGAGGTTGCAGTGAGCTGAGATTGCGCCACTACACTCCAGTGTGGGTGATGGAGTGAGACTCTGTCTCAAAAATAAGTAAATAAATAAATAATAACAGTAAAAATAAAAAGCAGATTGGAGTTTTAGTAAAAAAATGTAAATATATTGCAGATCATTGAAAATGTTTTATATGAATATCTAGTTATGTGCAACTTAAATATCTTTAATTAGATCTCCTCATTTCACATTATTAACATTGAATAATTTACCACAACATTTGACCTTTTGTAAAATAAAAGTTAAACCAATTTTTAAACTACTAACAACAACTCTTGTCTTAAACTTTTCAGATTAACTTTTGTCATTACATACCCACATTTATTTGCAATAACTGTAGGAGCATTTAATTTGCAGAAAACAAAAACTCCGCCTGCTGGTGTGCTCATGAACATTGAGAGAGAGGAGAATGTCCCTTTCTGCTTTGGGAAAGAGGATCTCCTTAAATAGTAAGGACTTTGAGATATAAGATACTGTGAGGCCTGGCACGGTGTTCTCACACTTGTAATCCCAGCAGTTTGGGAGGCCGAGGTGGGCAGATCACTTGAGGTCAGGAGTTCGAGACCAGCCTGGCCAACATGGCGAAACCCCGTGTCTGCTAAAAATACAGAAATTAGCTGGGTGTGGTGCAGGGCCTGTAATCCCAGTTACTTGGGAGGCTGAGGCAGGGAGAATCGCTTGAACTTGGGAGGCAGAGGTTGCAGTGAGCCGAGATCGCACCATTGCACTGCAGCCTGGGTGACAGAGTGAGACTCCATCTCAAAAAAAATAAAAAGAAAGAAGAAAGAAAGAAAGAAAGAAAGAAAGAAAGAAAGAAAGAAAGAAAGAAAGAAAGAAGAAATAGATAACGTGAACAACAAGCATACAAATAATGGCTTTTCAGTCTCACAAATTTGCTCTTGCTTTTCATTTGCTTCTCATGCTCTTCCTCAGAGAAAGTAAGATTGAAAAAGTTACTCCTTCAATGTTGTAATTCAATCTTCAAAATTGATTTGTGACACTCATAATTTATTGGGAGGAAAGGAGAAACAAAGTATATAATACGTTATGCTTGGTTACAAATTCTTCAAGAATGTCTTTCAATGGGTTTTTCAAAATGTTTTAATCATCTCAACTTCCTATAGTATATTCAAGTACCTAACTCAGAGTGGTCCCCTGGTAAGTATATTTGAAGGAATAAAATACAAAATAATAAAATATGATTCTTATAATCTGACTTAGGTACTTAAATAATCTGATATTCGTTAATACATAAATGGCAAGAGTCAAATTTCTCTTTGAGTTTCTATCCCTGAGACTAACTGGTAGACCTGTAAGTACTTACTGAGCACTGAGTGGGTATTTCATATTCGAGTGACTTAAATGCAAAAAGGAATGTATAAAACACACTTTCTGCCTAACAAAACACATGATTAGCATAACTGGCAGTGAAACCAATAAGGACAGTACAAAGCAAAATGTAATTAAATACTAATTTTTGCTGGTGTTGAGGCAATGAACACTGTAAGACTTCAGGAAATTGATGAAGGAAAGAATAGCTTTCTTAGTCAGATTAACTATTACTGTAATAGAACTAAGTCATGTCATGTGAGCATTTTGCTCATGAGCAGTTGCAAATTCAAATACATGTTAGCTTTCAAATGTATACCACTAAAATTATAATATTACCTGCAATAATATGTGTATTACACATTATAAACTGGGTTTAAAAGAATGATAAGACACCATTTATATCCCTATTTTGGTTTTCTAACTTCACATAAGAGATGTTTCTTTTCTATTTACTAGAGTTACTCAGCCAAACACTAGCTCTCTTGGTAAACCAGGACTGCTGAAATAGCTAAGGTCATGAACAATAGTTAGCTGAGGAAACCTCTGTATGTATATTGTTAATGTAGAAACTCATTAAGTACAACATTAGTCTATGTGGAATACTGAAAAATCATCATGGAGTCAGGATACCCTGTATTTTTTTTGTGTGTGATTTTATAAATAACTGCTTATGTACCATGAATACGATTACTAATTATTTAGTTTTTTTTTAATTTTAAAAAAAGGGAGAGGGATGGATGATGTATAATTTTCAAATGTTTTAAGAATGTAGGAAATTAAATACAATATTGTGTAGATGTCCAAATTTTAACCAGATATTAACTGTAACATTTTGGCTCAAGAATTTTTGTTGTGGTTGTTGCGGGTGACAAAACCTACCCTGGCTTTTGTCAGCAGAAAAGAAAATTATTGAAAGCATATTATGTAGTCAAAAGAACAAATATGGTAAGAAACATTCCCCACTACACATTGAGGGATTTCAAACTTTCACAGAATTATACTTACCCTTTTCTATTATTCTGTAGTTCATTTATAAAATATTTGGTGCTACGTGCTAAGCTGATTTTCAAATAGCCAATGTACCACATAGACTCTGCAAAACTGAAATTTTCTATAATATCCTCTTTAATAAAACAATATTTGCCATTAACTTTGTTTCCAATGTAATTTAAAAAAAAATAAATGAGTAATTTTCTAACATCTTAAATAAAGATCACAAATGGACCTTCCCTGTTTCTATAGACACATTCCCCAAAATTTGAGGTAAAGTGGAGGAGAATTATAACCTAGCTATTTATAGAAAATGTATAGTTTTTTTTTTAGTAATAAAAAGACTTTCTTTGTAACATGAATAATAAGCACCATTATCTCATGTATTATCTGTTTTGAAAGCTCTTATTTTTCTAAGGTAAGACAGTCTGTTGTTTTCCCATTATATCAAGATAATGTAAGATGTTGACTAGTTTAAATAATCACAATTACAGTACATTTATCAAATCATAACTCTGCATGTAAAGCATAATATACTTCATGTAAAAAAGGGTAACTCTACCATAAAAGGAATTGTAATTGTTAGACAAGCTAAGCAGGGTAACAGCTGAAAAGTATTTTAAGAAATATATAAATTAATAAAAATATTCATATTAGTATGCAGTATAAGATACTACTATATTTCATGTTTTTAAAAATATGTAGAACATGTGATCTAATTTTGTGGGTTAGATTAAGCAAATTCCATCTTTATTCATAATTTGTATTCTACCAAAGTAGAGTTAAAGAGTATATTTCGTACAAGACTTTAATCATGATAGATTTTATGTGTTTTGAAATTAAGGCCAAGACCCTAGAATATCCTATAAGATGCAAGGTAAAGAATTAAAAGGACAGATTGAGGCTTTGAATTTGATCAGGAGTAAGACATAACCAAATAAGTCTGACAGTCTGCTGTGATATAAGAACCAAGGTAACCAGAAAGCATAAATGGAACTTTTTGATATACAGAGTGTGTTGGAATTCTTTTCAGAAGGAACAGGAAATTACTAATGCTTGAATAGGTGAAGGGTGTAGTAACTGAAGTGGCAAAAATAAATGGGAAAGACTAATCATGTGACAATATAAAAAGATAGGTTTGTAATAAAGGTGGGAACTCTTGTTTGAGTACGGGGCTAGAGTAGCACATACTTAGAAGTGAAACTATTATTCTAAAAATAAACAAATAAATCTTGAAAATTTGCCTTGAAATAATTTACTCACTCATTCACTATCAAAATTTACAAAATAAGTGTCTAGTAGGGGCTAGACATTCCAGACAGAAGAACAGACAATAAATAAATAAGTAAATAAAACAGGTTGAAGAGACTTGGAAAATAATGGTCAAATACAATGTTATGGCACTGTATCCTAGACTCAACTGGCTACTCTTTTTATTGTTGTTCTTCAGTTGTATTATTTGGCATTAGAAGTCCTCACAGAAAGTAGTGGTTTCTAACTGGGAGGTTAGGAGAGCATTTCTGAGAAAGCTGAAGGAAAGAATGACTGGAGATCTTTGGGGAGAAGGAATTAGTTGACTTGTTCAAATAGGAGGCAGCTCAAGTCAGAAGTCATTTCTACAGATTTAAGGGATCAAATAGTAGGGAAGAAAAATAGGCAAAGTGCCAGGGACAATAACATTCAAAAGTAAGAACGGTGATGGTCAGAATGAAGAAACAACCCTTGTACCACCATGAAAGAAAAGAAGAGGAAAAGGGAAATGATATTCATTTATTCATTCATTCCATAAATATTTGTTGAGTGTTCCAAGCGTAGTGCTAGGGGCTGCAAATATATCAGTAAATAGAGGAAACTAAAATTACTCATCATGGAGCTTTCCTTAGAGGAGTGAATAGAAAATAAATAGCAAGAATAATCAAATTCATAGACAGTAATGACAACTATGGAAAAAATAAACAGAGTATGGAAAAGGGAGGGTCAAGATGTAGAGAAAGGTGTTGTCAATATAAACCTCCGTGAGATTGCAAAGATTCAATAAGTGAGAGAATGAACCATGAAGATACCTGGGGAAAGGGTGCTTCTATCTCTTGGTATATTTAAGGAACATCAAAGAGTTCGTAATTCCACAAATGGGATGGAGAAACAGGGAGACCACTGAAAATGAGGTCATAGGGATAAGGGGTGTGTGTACACTAGGAAAAACCATGTAAGATCTGGTAAGTTATTAGGGCACATGATTCCTCTGAGCTCTGGGATGAGAGGCCATTGGAGGGCTTTGTGTTTGATAGAATCACTCTGGCTTCTTTGTAGATAACAGACTGTCAGTGGACAGGGTGGGAAGCAGAGAGAGATTGTAATATTCTAGGCAAGTGGTTATGGTGACTTGGACCAGGGAAGTAACAGTGACATGTCATGCCAAGCAACATACTGGGAATCCTCACAGATGCTTTATATAATATAATATAATATAATATATAAATCCTGAAGGAAAGGGTTAATTTCCTTCTGTAGATGAGGAATATGAAATAAGAAAATTTACAAAGTATATTTAAATACATCTAGTTAGTAGCGGGCAAGCCTGAGCATAAATGTAAGTCTGTTGGACTAGAAAAGTCATGCTCAATAATGAGAGAATTAATTACCTAACCAACAGGACAGCCCATAATTTTCCTTGAACACTTGTGGTTGTAGCCAAATGAAGATCTTGTATTAAACTTGTTTCTGTATATCTATATCTTAAGATGACAGAACTTGATCATTTTTATAACTAGAATTCTGATGTTTGCTTTGATTTTGCTATTTCAGTAATATATTAGTGGTCCCAAAGTCATAAAAAAAAAATTAGGACTGCCAGGCATGGTTGCTCATGCCTGCAATCCCAGCATTTTGGAAGGCTGAGGTGGGTGGATCACTTGAGGTCAGGAGTTTGAGACCGACCTGACCAACATGGTGTCTCTACTAAAAATACAAAAATTAGCTGGGTGTGGTGGTGGTCGCCTGTAATCCCAGCTACTCAGGAGGCTGAGGCAGGAGAATCACTTGAACCTGGGAGGCAGAGGTTGCAGTGAGCCAAGATCGCAGCCATTGCACTCCAGCCTGGGCAACAAGAGCAAAAACTCCGTCTCAAAAAAAAAAAAAAAAAAAAAAAAAAAAAGAGGGTTGTGGCAGTATCACAGTGGGAAGATATTCAGACAAATGCACATCTTTTCTTTGTTTAGTTTGCACTGGTTGAACACACGTTATGGGTAAAATTGTATGATACCATTACATTTCAGTGATAAACATATACATTGAGATTTCAATTTATGAAAAATAATAGATTGTATGAGGATGTAAATCATCCTCAATTTATGGAGTCTTCTAAAATGATCACTCAACTGTCAACATTAGTTGAATGACTCCAGTGTCCCAGCTAGTGGAGTCACAAAAAGTAGATAAATACACACAGGTTTTAGTAGACAAAGAGATTTATTTTTAATGATTCTTCATGAAATCTAAGCCTTCAAATAAAGGAGAAAAGAAGCATTGTGATAAAAAGTAATTTTTTTTATTTTCCTACTATAGATTTTTAATACTTGCTGCCTTTGGAATCACTGCTGATATGGCTATATGAGCCAATTACTTCCATATGGTTTAAGAGGACAATTCATATAATTTGATACTGTAAGACTTTCTCAATACTAAAAATCTGGAAAGATTTACAACAAAGCATCACTCTAAGTGAAATATGTTAATTCATTCCTTATCTATTTGTATAAGACTATCAGAAAAGTAAGAAGCCACACTTACAAATTTCATATTTATACTTGTTCTTTCATGCTGAGTACTCCTAATATGAACAAATGTTATGTCTAACACTTATTGTTTCCTATATAAATAAATATTTTTAACCTTATCCTTAAATATATAATGCTGTGGCACACCAAAATGATAAAATGAGGTAAACTTTAAAAAGTTGTCATTAGGGAGTAAATTTGGTTTTAACATATTATACTAATGCTATTTAATTGCATTAACTCTTTTGTTAATTAAATGCTACATAAGTTAAGGTAAAAAAAAAGGACTATAAAGGCAAAGATCTATATAGAGATTTTATATTACTTGAAAAATGTTTCAAATTTTTTGAATAACTGTTTAATGAATCCTCATAGTAAATACCATGTATGAAATGGTCATGGTTCCTTGCTGTCTGGCAAATATTTCACATAGGGGTAAACTATGTTTTAGTAATACCATCCATATAAATGGTTACAATATGAAGTCAGAAAAGTCGGAGAAATGAGAGGCAATATAAACTCGTGATTATGAGAATAGACTCTGGAGCTTTTATACTTGAGTAGAATTTCAGGTGAATGATTTTCAGGCATTTACATAAATTCTGTACTTTGTTCTTATTTTCTAACCTGTGAGATGGAGTCAACAACCATTCATGTGTCATGGACTTTTTGAATATAAAATGAATTTATTCTCTTAGAACATTTCTTATGATATGGTTTGACTGTATCCCCACCCAAAACTCATCTTCAATTCCCACATGTTGTGGGAGGGACTCAGTGGGAGGTAATCAAATCATGGGGGTAGGTCTTTCCCATGCTATTCTCACGATAGTGAATAAGTCTCATGAAATCTCATGGTTTTAAAAAGGGGGAGTTTCCCTGCACAAGCTCTCTTTGCCTGCTGCCATCCACGTAAGATGTGACTTGCTTCTCCTTGCCTTCTGCCTTGATTGTGAGGCCTCCCGAGCCATATGGAACTGTGAGTCCAGTAAACTTTTTTCTTTTATGAATTGTCCAGTCTCGGGTATGTCTTTATTAGCAGTGTGAAAATGGACTAATATAGCTGGACACATAGTTCTACATAAATGTTTGCTTTATTGTTATACATGAATATCTGTTACAGAAAGATTACAATTCATAAAATGAGTGGATAAATCAGTTTCAACAGGAAACACTGTAGCCAAGAGCATATGAAAGATTCATTCCATTAGGGGGATGTTGAGCCATCTGGGAGACTAAAAACATGTTTGTTACAAGAAAAAATAAAATGATATTTATTGAAAATTTACCATATACTAGACACTTTGCATTCATAATTTCATGTAATTCTCCCTATGGTACAGCAAGCTTGATGTAATTTTTGCCATTTCATAAAGAACAATACTAAAATAACATTAAATAAGTCACCAGCATTTTCCATGCCCATAAAATCAACCCAGGATATAAACTGATAAACATATCTGATTCTAAATTATGTATCGCTTTTATGTGTTTTTACCTAGTGGTATAATTTGTGTCTCCTTATATAAATGAATGTAGTGTCCTATTCAAATCCTGTAATTTGAATGGTTTTAACATTCCACATAGATTATGCCTGTCTCTGGGAGCAGACTGTTTATCATCTTTCTTTTCTTTTCTTTTTTTTTTTTTTTTGAGACAGAGTGTCGCTCGGTCGCCAAGCTGGAGTGTAGTGGTATGATCTCAGTGCTCACCACAACCTCTGCCTCCTGGGTTCAAGTGATTCTTCTGCCTCAGCCTCCCAAGTAGCTGGGACTACAGGCACGCACCACCATGCCCAGCTAATTTTTGTATTTTTAGTAGAGATGTGGTTTCACCATGTTGGCCAGGGTGGTCTCAATCTCTTGACCTCATGATCCACCCGCCTCGCCCTTCCAAAGTGCTGGGAGTACAGGCGTGAGCCACCACGCCCAGCCTGTTTATCATCTTTCTAAGTCACCTAATGCTACTCTGTCTTACAAAGGCAAGAATGATTGTATCCATTAATGCATAGAATAATTTAGAGGTAAAAATAAATATAACAAACAAATTATATAGGTGGCTCTGTGAAAAAGAAATTAAGTTTCTTCTTTTCCAACTCCTTCCTTATATGCCCCTTAATTTCAAACCGTTTCAGGTACAAGACTGTAAAGTTGTTCAGGGGCAAGCAACAGATAGAGAGTAGTCAAAGGAGAATCACCCTTAGATGAGAATGTCCTAATAGTAGAGGTAAAAACCTGATTCACAATCACGAGGTGATAAAACTTGAAACACAAGAATCCATTTCTCAGAAAAATCATATAAGTGGTTTCTGGGCAAGGTTTCTTTCTTCTTCCTTGAGGATTCATGAATGACTAGAGAAGACGATCAGATATTGCAAAACTAAGATTTCTTTGCATTTTAATATCCAAACATAACCTGATGATTGCTATTACTTTGTGTTAAATTAATCATTGAACATGTTTTGGGCTTTTTAGAATATTATAGTTTTATAACCAGACTGAATGCACCATGTTGCTACTCTTGGTGTAATAGCATGGAACAATTTTATGACACAGTTTCAAAGCTTTGTGTCAGAGTTTTTAGAGAGAAAAAAAATGATTCAGGCTTATACTAAATATTTCAGTGGGTTTCATGTGGATTAAATGATGGAAGAAGAAGTGTTTCCAACTTCTCATCTTTTTTTTCTTTTCTTAAAGAGAATGAGCTTCATTCTTAGCACTGACATATGTCAAGAGCCTCATCCTATCCCAGTGTGACCAAGACACTAGTTCTGCCTGACTAAAGTAAATTCCATAATAATATGTACACTTGGGTCCTAATATTCTGGGATCCTACTCTTCATCTAGCTTTGATTTTGGAACAACTCTGATGATACACTCAATAAGAATGAATTGTTATTTGCATAATGTATGAACTTCCAAAGAAGCTGCATGTTGATGGAATATTTATTCTTCACACAATGGAAAAAAAATGAAAATGATCTTGCAATATCTCCATGTTGGAGAAGAGCAAATATTTTGTATAGCTTGCTCTTTCTGTTCACTTTTTCAAGGCCCTTTTTAATATAACTATCTCTTTTTTTCTTATGCAAGTCCAAGTCTTCCTGCTAGTCCAGGACAACCTGGTATGTATCATATCATATTATTGAAATTTCTGTTATCCTTTCACTGACATGAAGTATAAACACACCTATGGTGTTTTGCCTTTACCTCTTGCCTAGTGCTGCAATAGCTAATTACCTTAGGTAAGGAGCCTTGCTAATTTTATGAACTCAAGAAACGTACATGTCCTTGTTCTAATGGTTTCTACAAAAAAAGCAAATGCTCTACAAAAAAGCAATACAAAATTCACTTAAATAAAAATATAATCGGAGAGCCAAAAATTTAAGTGGAATATTCAACCTGCTCTGATCCACAAATGTTGTCAAATGAAACATGTAATTTAGTGGAAATATGATAGCAAAAAACAACTGCCAAATTATTCTTAAGGGGAAAAATTCCTTGACATTTAGGAAAATGCAACCTTTGGAAATCACTTGTCAAATAGTCACATATTCATTTTCAAGGTAATCACTAGTAAATTACAGTGACCATGCATCCCAGACACTGTTCTTTTCTATAATTGATCACTTCTCCTCTCATACGTGGGGAGCAGCACACTTTTGCATGCATTCTCTGAAAGTATAACTCTAGAAGGGAATAGTCAAGATGTACAGATAGATTCCAAAATAAAACATCTTTAAAATACTTATTTAAGACTTAGCACATCAGTTCCAAAAGTATAAGGAAATAATACATTTTCCACCAGTTAGTTACAGTAGTTGTGTCTGTTTTCTTGGCTGTCAATAAGAGACATGATTGCTAAATCAAGTGGCACATGTTCTAATGCATTTGAAATATAGGAAGAATAATCTTTTGAAAAATAAAAATTAAATGACTAATTTTTAAAATTTTGTGTGTAACAGAGAAACAGTAAATAAGAGGAAAATAATGGGATTTATTAAAAAATAGTATTTGGAAGTGAGGATAAGCAAAGAAGATATGTTTGTGGTTGTATATATATACAAAAATACAAAATCATATAACCTCAGCTGAGAAATTTAAATTCCAATATAATTAATTTTTATTAAAATGTATACCCAACTTTTTTTTGCTCCTGATTTAGGACAGCACAAGTTCCTACTAAAAATAAAGGTATGTCAAGAAATTTATTGTTCAGAAATATTCAGCCCTTGTTTTCTCTGCTGACACGACCAAAATGAATAATGATAAGACCCGTGATGAAGGTGTTTTTGTGATGCAAATTTCTCCACGGGGAGATGACTGTAGTCATCACGAGTTTATTTCAAAATTCAGCTTCTTTCTGTAGCAAAGCAATATAATGAGATCAACTGTGTCCTTTATCTAGTCTGGAAAGTGAAATTCCAATGGATCACAGCAAGACCTTCAGCCATCATGGTAGTCATTGACTAAAAATACTTGATCCATGCAGAGATTTGTATCTCTTATTATGATGGTCAAAATGACTCCACTGTTGTTTAGTTCATTTTTTAGAACACAGAAAATCTGCTGGTTCGTGTCTGCTGAAGAAAATATGTCATATTTTAATATCAATGATACCTACTTTATAATAATCCATCTTTTACACTAACATAGTTATTTCATGTATCAAGTGAATTATCCTTTGGACCACTGTGCCTGGCTCCCTACTCATTCCCTTTTTAAGCACCCCATTAGAGATAATGTCTATCACATTATAATTATTGATAAACAATACTTTCTTCAACTAGGTTGTGATCTCTTTGAGGCCCAGGGCATCAAAGAGCTTCAAGACTGGCAAAAATTACAGGACTGGGATGAATCTATCCCTCACAAAAAGTAATAAAGTACCAAATGTATCATGATTATTAAGTAAAATTTGAGAGGCTGTAGTTTTGAACTGAGATTCTACACTAGAATCCAACAGACCACCAGAATGAAGTCACTCATGTTAATAATATGAAACTCATATATTCAAATTGAACTTAAGAGCTGTCCAGTTTTTCAAAAAACAAGAGATTTACAACAACCAATGAAAAAATGGCTAAGTCGGCCAGGCGTGGTGGCTCATGCCTGTAATCTCAGCAGTTTGGGAGGCCGAGGCAGGTGGATCACCTGAGGTCAGGAGTTCGAGACCAGCCTGACTAATATGGTGAAACCCCGTCTGTACTAAAAAATTCAAAAATTACCCAGGTGTGGTGGCATGTGCCAGTAGTCCCAGCTACTCGGGAGGCTGAGACAGGAGAATTGCTTGAACCAGGGAGGAGGAGTTTGCAGTGAGCCGAGATCGCAGCACTGCACTCCAGCCTGGGTGACAGAGCAAGACTCCATCTCAAAAAAAAAAAAAAAATAGGTTAAGTCAACCCAAGCCAGCATGGTAAGGAAGTCTCCTCTGCTTTAACCTATATAAGGAAAGTAACCTGAAGTATCTGTTGCTAGCCAATTCTCTTTTTGCACTAGGCTGTTTCCTACTGGTACTGCCTGATAAAACCTGATCATTCTGCCATGCCTGGTGTAGCTCCTTCTATTTTGTAGATGGACTACTGCGTAATTCATGAATCACTAATAAAAGCCAATTAGATCTTTAAAATTCAATTTGTTGAAATTTGTTGTTTAATACAATGCAATTCTTACAAATGATTTTTCTGTATAAAAAATACAGAAAAATGACTAAGAAAGATCAGAAGAATCCAGTCTTGTTATCTTTGCCAATGTCCATGCCCACCATGTGAAAGTGAAACTTAAAGTAAATAACTAGCCAGTTAACTCCTAAGTACAATCAATCACAGGACATTTTTTTGTGACACATTTATAAGACAAGAATTCTAAAGCATATACTTCCAGAAATTATCATTTGAACATTTATCAGTAATACTCGTTTGGATCATGTTATACAAATAATGAATTATATGTAAGTATTAATTTAACAATGTTGAGTCATTATAGGAAGTAAATGCTTAGATTTTCTTCTCTATATGTTACGCACACACACACATACAGACATATTCACACAGAAAGAAAGAAATGAAAAAAATGATTGACTTTATTGAGAACATCATGCATGGTTTACACATGGCAATTTTGTGTGGAATTTTGGAACTTATCTGATTACTGTGATTATTTCTTAGAGAACTATAATATTTGCAAATATAATATTTGCACAATTTATTTCATTTCCCAGATGTGTCTATTGGCCATTCCCTATCTTGTTTTGCTATCTTTTCTCCTACACTTTTCTTTTTAAAAAATCTCATGTTAAAAAAAAAAAGAGAAGAAAAGGCTATTGCCAAATATTCTCTTCCTTTTTTCTTAATTAAAGGACATTCGGCTTTATTTGAAGGCTTTCTTCCCATCTCCACCTTTTCTTCTTTCTCTTTTCTCTTTCTCTTTCTCTCATGCCTTTTTAAAATTTAGTCCTTCAACAATATCTCCAGTAATAACTCTATTCTCAGAAACAAGACTATATCATCAGAGTTACTAGTGACAAACAGAAAGCAAATGAACATAACCTTAAACTAGATTAGATCCTCAAGGAAAAATCAATGACATGGCAAAGAACAAGGTTTCAGAGGAATGGGATTTAATTTTCCAACTTACACAAAAGGATTAAAACAACCCAAAAACAAAATGATTAATTAGAAGGTCAAACTGATTTAAACACATGAAAAGTAAAGGGCAAAATGAGGGCAATTACCTGGATAGTTGGAGCAAAAGCAAACAATTTTGCCTCAATTTAATCACTGCTTCACTTGAAAGTAATTTTGGACTTGAATTACCCTGAATAGTCTGATAAAATTATTTATTAATCCGTCATAGAGGTAGGAGGATTTACTTTATTGTCTCTAAGGACTTCCCCTGGATATGAAAGGACAGATTTTTTTTCAAATATGATAGGTAACTGATGAGAAATCTTATGTATTATTGATGATATAGTTGTCATTATTACATTATCCTGGGCCTGGCTATTTCTCACATCTCTGTCAATGTATATAGCACCTCTAACTGTTTATCCTCTCTCCCTCCTACATTAACCAGTTGGAAAATACAGAAGTCTGGGTATTCTCAACAGAGGTATACAAACTTAAGTTCATGGTTTATTGCTATATCCCTTCTTGCTGTCCAACAAATCTAGCCATAAGTAATAATGAAGAACAACATTGTGGATTTTCTGCTCTGGATTGAATGCAATGAGCATAGCTCTGATCCATACAGAAACAATCAAGATGATAATTATTATTCTAATTTGGCAGACAATGGAATATAGACTCTAATAACCCACATACCTTACTTAATGTCACAGACTGCTACATAGACCTTAGGCAGAGACCAAGTTGGAATTCATTTCTAGGTTTGTCTGACTCTAAAGCTTATGGTATTTCTATTAAACAATATTATTTCTTTTATTAATTTTATAATATCATTAAAAAATCTTTGTTCTGTTTTAAGAGTAGAAGTAGAAAATTGTAATATTTATGTTAAGGATCAATGGCCTTCAAACATTTTTTAATGTGTTTGCATTTTTTATAAAGTAGGGAAGTACCTCTACTGATGCATTTTTATTTTTTTCTAGGCGGGAGTCAGGTAAATCATTTAAAAGGTAAATCAGATTGTGCCATTACCTCACCTGCTCAAAAGTCTCCAGTGGCCTATCACACTTTGACTAATATCCAAATTGCTGGGGCAGAAAAGTTCTTGATGATCTGGCTTTTCTCCTTCCCATTTCCTCCTCATAAATCACTCTCCCATGCACTATTTCTATGTCTTGGCATTTTTCTTTCATGATATTTATGTCATAGAGCCTTTTCTCATAGGTCACTCCTTTACTTTCTTTTGATCTCTGTTAAAACAGTACATTTGGTCCACCCTAAATAAGATAGTATTGGCTGGACATGGTGGCTCAAGCCTGTAATCCCAACACTTTGGGGGCCAAGGTGGGTTGATCATCTGAGGTCAAGAGTAAGAGACTAGGCTGGCCAACATGTGAAACCCTGTCTCTACTAAAAATACAAAAAAATTAGCTGGGCATGGTGGCAGGTTTCTGTAATCCCAGCTGCTCGGGAGGCTGAAGAAGGAGAATCTCTTGAACCCAGGAGGCCGATGTTGCAGTGAGGCAAGATCGTACCACTGCACTCCAGCCCGAGCAACAAAGTCTCAAAAAGAAAAAAGAGAAAAAAAAAAGATAGTGTTATCTCAACATGTCTATATCATGTTCTGCAGGCATCTGACTCTGTGTTAGAATTTCTCATTATTCTTATCACTATCTTAAGTTACATGTTTATTTGTTTGAGTGCTTGTTTTATAAACATCGACATAAACAGATCTATTATATGTTGTGTCTTTGCCTCTTTCTATCATCACTGGCTCTCTAGAATCTGTATTGTGCCTGGCCTATGTAGTTGCTCATTAAATATTTCTTGTATACAAAAATGTAAAATTGCCCTTGCATGTATTAATTACTAATACAATAATGTTTATCATACTTTAGATAAAATAATATAAATTTTAATATTATTTTGTACTCCACATTAGATTATCTTGAACTCTTATGGGAAGGGAGTACTTTCTTTCAAGGAATATTAAATTAAAATGTTGAAACATTATAAGCTTGTAATTATGTTAGTATGATCTCTCTATAATCCTCTTCCTCATTCAAGTTAGAAACAACTGACAGTTAACTCAAGTCAGCAGATGATAATTCAGTGATGGCCTTTTTGCCCCAGCAAAGATATACAGACATGCCTGACTTGGATGACACATAATATGGTTTGCTAATATTGCATCCCAGAAAGAGGCGTATCTAGCCTGTCATAGGCTGAGCTGGACAATAGAGGTTATCTTATCAGGTTATGTAAAAAAAAAAAAAAAAACTGAGAATATCTGTAAGACAGAAGAATAGATGCTTACTCTATGCAGGAAAGCTATTATAATATCAAAGGTAAAGGAAAAAGGGAAGACTTAAGCCAGGTACATCTAGAAATTACTCTAAGACTTTGCTGTTAGGTCACCCACTTTTCCCCGAAGTCAGCAGGCAGGCGAAAACAGTCTAATTTTATAATTAATGATGAAATTCCTTCCATGTGGAATCCTGAGGCAAAGGAAAGGAAGTTCCTCTCCCATAATATTACACTGGATTATGTTCTCTTAATTAACTGGACTCAAGTACCAGGCCTCATCTTAACAAAAGATGTGGATGCTGCTTTTAGGGAAGGAGCTAAGTTTTCTTTTAGGCCAATTCTTCCTTCCATGAGGAAGCACACCTGCTACCAAAAGTTGTCCCTATTTCCCTGTGTTGATTCTTCTAAACATACTGTTAAGCAGTGTACATTTGTGCTCCCCACAAGCCCCTACAAGGTGGTCAGAGAAACTTTAAAAATATAATACACAAATTAAATTACTTTACAAGTAGAAATACCAAAACTTTTAATTAAATTATAGTCTAAAAGGTTAAAAAAAACCCTCAACTTTATAAATTCTATCAGTGCGGAAGAGATTGTGGAGTTCTGGATTAAATGAAAAATCTTTCAGGGATTACCAGCTGAGTTGTATCTCACTGAAAATTGTGACTTTCTTCATGATTTCAGATGATGCATTGGTTCAGTGCCAGGATTTGAAGAACTAAAAACTAATAGAAAAAAATAACATTGCCCCAAATCTGGCCCTAAATTCACCAAATTTTGAAACGAAGTCAAATATCACCCTGTAAAGAAGTGACCTAAGGCAAAATGTTGTACCAGCACATAGATTGCAGTGTTGCCAAAGAAAGTAAATGGAAACTGAGAAGGTACATAGGTAGAAAAATTGTTAATTTTATCTTCTTTAAGGTGTCATGAAAAAAATTAATGCAAAAATTTTCAGTCTCCAGTTTGTGAATTTCAACTCAACTAGCAGAAATTTACCAAAGGACATTACAATTATACATTTACTCTGTGGATAAAAAGTGGTTTTTTCGGTAGCTGGGGCAGGCAGAAGAGAAGTTTGTGCCATTCTTCTCTCTATTTCATATGGAATTTGCTCTAAAGGTTTTCTGAGACACAGGTAAAGCACATGTGGAAACTACTTCTTCATTGGTGCTTTACTTTTGGTTGCAACATATTAAGAAGTACATGTGAGCTTGCCCCACCATCGCTAACACCAGGCTTCATCATTGAGTTCTAGTGATGAAGCCTAGTATCTGTCTTTAATAGTAAGTTTTCCTTTAAAATTGGGAATCAAATATTCATTCAGAACTGTATTTCATTCTCCCCCCACCAGTCTTATTATAATGTTCTTTTTAAAAATTTATCTCCTTTAATTATAATCCCCTTGACATTTCATACTATGTATATTTTTAAAATTTATTTTCACTCTTTAAAAAGTTTCTATTACCTCAATAGTGTATTAATTATATATTGTATGTTAACTATAAAACAAAACTTGGTGGCTTAAAACAGCAAACATTTATCACTTTAAAATTTTTCTGATCAGAAATCACTTAAGCATGGGAGCTTCTGACAGAAACGTGTCCCATGAGGTTGCAATGAGGGTACTGCAAAGGTTTATGATCTTAGCAAAAGGCTTGACTACAGAAGATACAATTCTAAGCTCATTGTATGGCTGTTGGCAGGATTCAGTTTTTCCCTGGGTGGTGGCTGGAGATTTCCCTGTTTGTTGTCATGTGGACTTCTCCATAGGACAGCTTACAACATGACAGCTGGCTTCCTTCAGAGCAAGAGATCCAAGAGAGCATGAGAGAGTGTTCCCAAAATGCAAGCCACCATAATGCTCAAACTTAACTCCCAAAGTCATATCTTGTCACCTCTGCTACATTCATTAGAAGTGAGTCACTAAATCTAGCCCACACTGAAGAGACAGAAATTTATAAAAGGGTATGAGTGTCAGCAGCTGGAGATGATGGGGACACATTTTAGAAGATGCTTACTGGAAGTGGTTTGCCAATTTTTTTCTTCAAGCATTGCTTATTTATTTATCTGTTTTTACATAGTTATGTTTTGTAATGCATAAATTTATTCTAATTATTTATTGCTTTTTCTTTTGTACTTGCTTTATTTTTCCAACTTTTTCAGCTAGATATTTAATTCACTTTCCTTCATCTTTTATTTTTATGGATATAAATATTTATTTATATAACAATTTTCCTCTTCACTTTATCCCACATACATTGAACTTTTATTCATGGTACTATCATCATTTGATTAAAAATCTGCCTCCAATAAGCCTGCCTTCTGCATGGCCTCCACCTTCTGCTTTATTGTAGGCTCAGAAAGCCTGATTTCTAGTTTCTGGCCTAGCATATTTATTTCTTAGGTACATATAAACAGAAAATTGTAGAATTATCTATCTTCTTTTTAAGAGATAGTTGTGAGTATGGTAGAGTGATCACATATCCCATTTTGTGCTAAAGAAGTCTTTGTTCAGGATTGCTGTCCCAGAATAATTATTACTATCACTCCCTTGACTCTACGAAATTATTTGCTTTGTGTTTTAAAGCATACAATTACACAAATAATGGGGATTAATTGCTGCCTTTCGGTGTATGTGTGCTTGTGTGTGAGTGTGTAGAGATTCTAACTTAACCAAATACCATTTTGTTATAGGAATATGGAACTCTAAAAATCTTTGGAATGTTTTAAAATGAGAAAACTTGCAAGAAATCAATTTCTGGATAACATCTGATACTATTTATAAAGGTGTCAGCTAAAATTAATTGAGACCTATCTCTTGATTAAATGTTTTTTTCCGCTAATGAGTTTTAACATGAGTGACTCAGCGTAAGAGATGATTAAGGTCATCAATTGAGTTTCTGAAAACACTTGGATTTGAAAAGAACTGTTTCTGCCATTATCCATATCCCCTGGACAAGTTACTTCAACTCTCTGAGGTTTAGTTTCCTATGGCATAAAAGAATAATAATATCGTAGGATTTCGGTGAGAGTTAAGTTCCTGATAAATAATGGATGACTAGTAATTTATTGTTATCATTAGTTTTAACTGCTAATGTCGTGGAGTTCAAACTCTTTTTCAGACTCTTTCTGATCTGGGAATTTTTAAATTTTATTGAAAGTAAACAGTTTCAAATTGTTTTTGTTCTGTTTATCATGGGAGTGTTTCCTCTATTTGTTCTGAAGCAATAAGAAACAAGTCCTTAGTCATTTTCTGATATTTCCATATTTTATTCCCGTAATCTATTATAAGAGAAAAGAAGATGCAATTTTCGAGTGTATTTCTGAAACACTCAATAGTACAACTTTTAAAACATGTATGCATTTTCACAACCAAGTTAATTTTCAATTGCATCCTTGCTTCATATCTACATGAAAAGTTACTGCAAGCAAACCAAAGCTTTCACTAGCAATGACTCAGGCACACTCTATGTTCCCATCACTACAACAAGTGTTATTCTGATGGCTGAGCTCATAAAGGAATAATTTAATGGCTCTTAGTAATGAAATTAAAAAATATAGAAACCAGTGAAGAGTACTCATTTAACTCACTGTAAGAATAGTAACATGAACATTTGCTTGCAAAAATAATGTATTTACAGAAAAGTCACTAAAGAGTATACATTTATGGTAAAATAGTTGAGAAAAAGTAAAGCAAAAACCTTTCTTCAGACCATATAACAAAATGTGATTTTGATGAAGTTGAATTTAAAATATAAAGAAAAGTAATAAAACAATACTTATCTGAAAGGCTTTCTAAGAAAAACACAAATAGAGTAATCTAAAGGGAGAGACAAAATACAAAAATGTAAACGTTTATACATAAGAAGCCACAATAAAATTGACTACTGACAGAGAAGGGATCAGTTAATGGATAGTTTAAAGACAATGAGTTAATATATTAATATAGTCAAATCTAAAAATTTAATCGAGTAGTGATCCAATAGTGAAAAAAATGAGGAAGGTTTTTGTTTTCACAGAATCAAATGTTACACAAGAAAATTATTATATGAAATCACAAATAAATATAAAAATTCAAATCGTAATTAAGACATGTAAATAGAAAAAAAATTACTATTTTGAACCTGGTATCCCCAAGATTTACAGTTAAATCACAATAATATGTATTGTTTTTAGGATATAGAAAAAAATGAAGTTACTTATATAATAGCGAAGGTAAAAACAACTACAACTAGTTTGAGAAATATAAATCTATCAAAAACGAACTTATATAATAGCGAAGGTAAAAATAACTATAACTAGTTTGAGAAATATAAATCTATCAAAAGCTTAAATTTTTACTACTCTTGATTTCATAATTTAGTTCTAGGATTTTAATATAAAATGATAACCAGAAAGTGGAACTGTGATGTATGTGTAAATATTGATGTTTATTACAAAGTTAGTTAAAAATAAAATCTTAAAAACCCAAATGACCAAAACCAAGAAAATTTTAATGTACTATTTTAGGAGAGCAATGCAATAGACTATAATTGTGTAGCCATTAAAAATTTACTATTGTTGTAAAAGAGCTCACAATATGATTGTAAGTAAAATAGCATTATGCATCACTGTGTGTAGAATGTAGTCTAAATTTTTAGCAAATTATATGCCAACATTCATATAATTTTACACCTATAGCCAAAATAATTATAATTATAATAAAAACTAAGGGAAATATAATGGTAATAAATGTTATTCTCATTTGGGCTTCTGACAGTGGTTTTTCCTTTATGGTTTTCTATGTTTCCTATTTTTCTAAGTTAACTCATGTTACTTCCATAAGTAGCAAAAATTAACAAATAAATGTATGATGTTGGAAAATAGAAACTATTCTATATGGAATTATCCTTTTTAACTATGCATTTGAATCATTTTGAATTGTAGCATTGATTAGGTGTGGGCCTATGACTCCAAGTACATGCTTTCAAAACTAATTTCAAGGACCTAATTCCAAACCAGAACCTCTTGTGAATTTCTATTGCCCTTTGTTTTTGTCCTCACTTGTGTTTCTTAGACGTGATCTCCCTCTGTTACCTAGGCTGAAGTGCGGTGGCGCGATCTTGACTCACTGCGGCCCCTGCCTCCTGGGTTCAAGCAATTCTCCCACCTCAGCCTCCCCAGTAGCCAGGATTGCAGGGGCGCGTCACCACGCCCGGCTAATTTGCATTTTTAGTAGAGACAGGGTTTCGCCATGTTGGCAAGCAAGGCTGGCCCCGAACTCCTAACCTCAAGTGATCCACCTGCTTCAGCCTCCTTAAGTGCTGGGATTATAGGTGTGAACCACTGCACCTGGCTGAGAGTGGTTCTAATTTACTGTGCTTTTTTGTTGGGTTGTTTATGCACATGTACTTCGTAATCCTACTTTTGGGTCATAGTGTGGTTTCGATGGCCTGATAGTCCCTGTCCCTCAATTCTCTTCTTGGAACTGAAAGTATTCAATGGTAATGGCCATATCCCTACATCCAAAGCACATTTTGATGTTTTTCTCTGTTGCATTTGGCTCTGTTGTTCATTCTCTTTTTAAACCTCTCTCAAATATTTCCCCATGATTCTACTGTCCTATTTCTCCTCAGGTGATTTCTTTAGTTGCTTTTTGTGGATATTTTCTCTTTTTCCTTCCTCTTCTGGCTCCCCTTTTACTTATAGATGTGAGCTGCTTGTTGGCAGCATAATCTAAGGAAACATATCCAGGCTGTAAAATGCTAAATGGTTGCAACCAAAGCTAATGCGTAAAAGCTTTCAGTAGGTAACTTTTTCATCCCCAGTTTGTAGGTTTTCTTCCATGGAACAATGGAATTGGAAGATGTAGGTGAGGAAATTCAGATTTATAAATATTTACTTTCTTAACACTGACTATGAACAAGCCAGAGATAATATATAATGAATCAGTAGAACCTGAGGATTTGCAAGCTTGCAGACTCTTTGCATTACCACATCAGTGCAAATCTTCGTGATCTCATTTAATGATTACTGCAGACTGAGCACCAGAAGATTCCATAAGGTGTTGCTTTCTCAGAAATTAATGCTTTATTCATTCGCATGTAGCATGTTCTCATTACAACATCTACAAAGTAAAGTGGAGATCTTCCAAATCAGGCAGCTGGGAGTTGTGGTTGTCAGTTCATTCTTAATTCTACTAAAAATATATTACTGATTTACTTCATTCTTGTTGTGAAACAAATATAAAAACTCTGCTATATCTTTCTCATACTATTTTTGTTCCTTTCCTGAATTAACTGTCTTAATACATTTAATTAATTCTAGCAAAAATAGAGAAGATTTAATACTCACCTAACTTTTACTTCTTTTTAAAACTAATTTTCTTTCTGACCAAAATTACCCCAAGCTTTCTCCCACTTCTTATTTTTGTCTTTCTGATTACCTTTTAAAATATTCTACAATGAAGAATACAGCCTTTGTTTTTCTACAGATTCCTTTCCTGATCAGTGGTTTCCATCAGTTCCTTAAATATTGGTTTTTCACATACATTACTTCTCATCTTAATTTTCTTGTCATTGTATAATCTATTTTAGATAATATTGTGCACTCGGCATTTTAAGTAACATCAACATACTAATGGCTCCAGTGCTATTATTATTATTATTATTATTATTATTATTATTATTTCTCAGAGATGGAGTCTTGGTCTGTTGCCCAGGCTGGAGTGTAGTGGTGTGATCTCATCTCACTGCAACCTCCACCTCCCGGGTTCCAGCGATTCTCCCGCCTCAGCATCCTGAGTAGCTGGGACTACAGGCATGTGCCACTATATCTGGCTAATTTTTGTATTTTTAGTAGAGACAGGGTTTCACCATGTTAGCCAGGCTGGTCTCGAACTCCTGACCTCAGTCAATCTACCCACCTCAGGCTCCCAAAGTGCTGGGATTACAGGTGTGAGCCACCGCGCCTGGCCTCCAGTGCTATTATTTTTACATTCTTCTGTCTCATGTACATATCTAACTGAACATGTTACAACATTGGGTGTGAATCAATCATGTATTCATTCTGTGGGATTATCTGAGAATTATAGTTCTTGATTTTAGGAATTAAAATAATAGGATGAAGTAATTGGCAGGATAATATACAAGAGTTCTACTTGACCTCCACATCAACCCCTCATACTAAATTAAGCTAGAAGATGCATTTACCATGGAAATTCCATACTCAGTGAGTTCAGCTACATGTAAAATCTAACTTCCATGGGCTCTTCTGCCACCTGTTGAGTATTATAGATGTTCTTGTACCGCTTTTCCTTTGATCATGTATATTCACATTTTATGTCATTTTAGATACATAGTTTAGAACTCACTAAATAAGAAATCATAGATTTCCCCATTTCTTTAATGTAATATCTGTGCCATGTTTAGGAAGAGGAAGGTGTAGTGAAATTCCACTCTCCTGGGGGAAGAAAGAACAGCTGGCTTGGGTTCTAAACACAGCTTCTCCACTAACTGCCTGTATGTGCTTAACTACTTTGACTACAATTCCTTTATTAATATTTGATGATCCCTGTGACAGTTAATTTTACATGTCAACTTGGTTGGGCCATGATACATAGCTATTTGGCCAAACATTATTCTGGATAATTCTGTGAAGGAGTTTTGGGGATGAGGTTGATATTTATATTGATGGACTTTTAGTAAAGCAGTTTTGGTACTCTCTTCTGTGAGTGAGCCTCATCTAATCAGTTGAAGTTCCTAATAGTACAAAGACTGACTTCCCTGAACAAGAAGGAATTCTCCCAGTAGATTTCCTTTGGCTGCAAACTGGAACTTTTCTCTGAGTCTCCAGCTTCCTTACCTGATCTGCAGATTTTGAACTTACCAAGTCACCATAATCATGTAAGCCAATTCCTAAAAATCTCTTTCTCTCTTCACCTCTCTCTTTTACTCTTTCCCTCTCTTTCTACCTCTCTTAATCCTAATTAATACACTAATACATATTTTGGTACTGATAATGGACTTCCCACCTATTTCACTTTTAGGAAAACCATGATAAATTACCAAGACTAAATTTGTGCTAAATTTCTAAAGAGGATTGGTAATCCATTACTCATTGTTTAAATCTTCTTTATATTTTTAAAATGATTTATTACATTAATATATAAATGATTATAAAAGGCATGGTAAAATGTTCGGGAAGAAAACTATTATCTGGAAATATACATAGAGCACTTTTGGGTGGGGATTGGGTTATAAATGTGTAATAGATTGTTTTACAAACAAACCTATTTTCTAAAGGAATTAACTAGTACCTAAATCTCTTTGCTTCATTTAATCATTTTGCAACATAATTATGGTGTTCTCAATTTTCCTAAGAAAGGAGTTTTATTCAAAGTTGCACTATATTTTCTAAATGAAAATGCCATACCTGGCTTTAATTTCTTTTGTGTATTGTCAATAGATTTCAAAGATTTAACATTATTAAATAATGAATTGTTTAATTATTTAAGTAATTATGTTTCATTAAAAAACACACACATAATTTGTTCCATTTCATAAATGCAAAATAGTTAATATAATTATTAACTATTTGGAGAAATCAATGAAATGATTGAGTTATATTCTACAGACTAATTAGCAAAGCTGTTTTAAGAAGATAACTATCATCTTTTTGGTAAATAGTCTTATTTCTCATTGTATCAATTGTCTAAAATTTCTTGTTGGTTGCTAAAAGACACATTTTTCTGTTTCTTAAACATTGGTTTTAGTGTAAAAATCTCAACATTGCTTTTTGAAAAAGTAAACACAATCTTAATCCATGTGAAGAAAAAAATAGAAAGTGTTTTAATTCTAATACATGACATCATAAAGCAACAGGAAGAATAGATGTTTATTACACCTTATTATGTGCCAGAAACTTTTCCGCACTTGAGATACCAAGCAATTAAACAAACAAGCCATTTTCTCTCAATAGGAAATACAGGACATAAACAAATACATATAAAATAAATTATATAACATGTAAACGGTATATATTTTTTGAAAATTAGAAATATAGAATTGAGTTCAAGATGCTGTTAATATGAAATGAAAAAGAATATTTCTGATAAGATGGAAATTGATCAGATACCAGAATAAAGTGAGGGAGTAACCCATGTAGATATTTTGGGAGAGAAGAAGTTAAAGAAAAAAACAAATACAAACACTACATCAGAAAAAAATAATAAAGTTACTAATATTCAGCTTCTGATATTAAAAATCAGATCAGGCAACAAGATTATAGATTGGAAAAACAGCCATTCTTAAGAGAGGAAAATCTATTTCCTAAATTACTTTAACTTTTGTTTAAACACATTAAAGGTCATGATGATTGACTATCAGAGTATAATTCTGTAATGACCCTCAGTTACCATTGTATCTTGAGTGTGGTTATGAACTATATATAATGGCATAGTCAGCCCTTTGATTAGGTTATTTTAACACAGTTGACTTAAGGAAAGAATATTCTCTTGAGTGGACCTGACCTAATCAGATGCGTCCTTCAAACTGACTGAGCTCTGCTTAGCAGAGATTTGAAGCATGAAAGAAGATCAACATGAAGGGTATTTTCCTAGGCTGGTTCTGAAGATGAAGAAGGTCATATGATAAGGAACATAGGCAACTTCAAGAAGATCAGAACATCCTCCGACTGACAGTTGAAAACTGTCTTACAGCTGCAGAAACTTCAATCTTACAATTGCAAAGAACTGAAACCTACCAAACTATGTGAACTGGGAAGCAGACCTTGAGCTGCAGATGAGAACACAGGCCCTCTGCCACTTTGATTCTAGCCTTTTGAAACTCTAATGAAAGAAATGAACCATGCCATGCCTGGACCTACAGTACTGTGAGATAATAGATGGGTATTATGTTATGGTTCTAAGTTGCAGTAATTTGTTACAGAACATTAGAAAATGAGTACAACTGTAATAATAGAATTTTCTCCCTAGTGTAGACTATGACTACTGTTGCTTTATGTGATGAGGCATTACATTATGGGGACAGTGCTAAAAGTTTCACACATTACATTATCTGGAAAGTTTAATGTACATTCCATTACATATTTAATAATTAGAAAGAGAGAGGGGTATTATGAAACTTTAAAATAGTACAACAAATTCTAAATTTAATCATTAAAATTATTAAATTATTAAATCAGAGTAAAATGATAATTTATGGCAGTAAAAATTTATGCAAAAACATAATTTTTTAATTATTTATTATTATTATTATTTTTTTGAGACAGTATCACTCTGTCGCCCAGGCTGGAGTGCAGTGCAGCGATCTCGGCTCACTGCAAGCTCCGCCTCTCGGGTTCACGCCATTCTCCTGCCTCAGCCTCCGGAGTAGCTGGGACTACAGGCGCCCGCCACCAGGCCTGGCTAATTTTTTTGTATTTTTAGTAGAGATGGGGTTTCACCGTGTTAGCCAGGATGGTCTTAATCTGCTGACCTCGGCCTTCCAAAGTGCGGGGATTACAGGCGAGAATTTATCTCGATAAAAATATGCAGCTGTGGAATGTGTTATAACTGGGATGAACGTTTCTCTGGATGGGCCAGTATGAGGTCATTCCAAATAAGCTGGAAAGTTCAGCATGGTCACAGAGATATTCAGTTTTCCTGAGCAACCTTCTGCACCAATGTGAGTCACTAGCAGATATAATAGAGTCCCTGAAGCCAACTACCTCGTAAATGAGAGTGGGTGAATTAGAAACCATGGGCTCTGACAAATCTAAACAAGACATGATCATATCACCTCCTAACTAAATCATCAAATGCTAGAAAAACATAGTGAGCTGCTGAATAAGGAATGTTACCTTAAAGATTAGCGAAACAAGAAAACGCCACAGAGGATCTAAGCACTCTTCTCAAACACCACCAAGTTACAGAGCCTCACCCAAACACCAGATGCAAAGGAACTATCTTAGATAGGTGCAGGATATGAGGAGAACTTTTAAGGATCAAGCATTTTTAGTTAGAGAGGCTGAACATTACTTAAAGTCACTATTTATGTTATTATTGTCAGCCTAATGTTAGTTGATGAGATTGTGAGATTATTCTTTCTATATATGGAAGGTAAGGACATCTACAATAGTTATAGACAAAATGAAAAAGCTACATTGTTGCAGGGTATCCAAGTCATAGTGTGAATAAATGTGTGATATCAATACATAAACACATTTATATACATACATACAGACATATATAGACATATACGTTTATCTCAAAATCAATAATTATTGTATTCAGCTGTTCGGGCTGCTATGTGTGACTTCACAAAGATTTATTTCTCACAGCATTGGGAGCTGGGAAGTTCAAGATCAAAGTGTTGGCAGATTCAGTGTCAGGTGAGGGCTCTGTTCTTTCTCCGCAGATACTCATTGTATCTTCACAGGATGGAGAGAAGAAATCAGAAACAAGTATTCCCTTACTTGTTCTAATAGTATTTTTTATAAGGGCACTAATCTCATTGTAAAGGCTCCACCCTCATGACCTAGTTACCTCCCAAAAGATCTCCGTCCTAATTCCATTCTACTGGGGGTTAGGATTTCAACATATTAAATGTGGAAGAACACATACCTGCAATCTGTAACAATTCTCTCTATTCACATGTAAGTAATCTATATTCAATTTATGTTTTCACATACATGTTTTTCACATAAAAAGTGTAGTGAATGAGCAGTGTGCTAGTTCTTCAAGTTCTAACAGTTTATTATCTTTAAGTTTAGAAACCTTTTGTATGTTGTTTACTTTGATAATTTATATGGCAATGAAAATTTATCCAAAAATGTAAATAATATAATCAATTCAGTAAATGCTAACATGAGCAAGCCATATCTCAAAATCATTATTGTATTACCTAGTTATGCATAATTGATACTTTTTCTATTTATTACAGAGAAGGTTGAAAGTTAAGCATATTTAGTTGCAGGCAGTCTTCAGTTATTTATTTTTTTTAAACAGAGGTAAGCAATATCTAGTTTCTAATTCTGGTGGCACCTGAAGTCAGCATGGAGTTCTGCAGCTCATTAGAGTACTATACCAGTACTAGAGTTTTTTATTTTTATTTTTACTTTTTCCTTGTTGCTAAGTCCAAGTGTTCTTATTTTCTACCTTGTCAGTACTGGACATGGTAAGTGGTCCCAAATTTGGGGTTTTGGAAGGCAACCAGGGTAGCATTCCATTTCCTTAGCAATAAAACACTCACATATTATCACTGAATAAGATGCCATTCCATCTATTTGTTAACCTGAAACAAAAACTTAACATTTTTTAAATATATGCGTGAGAAGATCAAGAATTTGAAGTTGGGAGGCAAAGCTCATATTTGTTCCCTACCTAATCATTCTTTATGAAGAATAAGATTTAAATATGAATTTAGAGTACAATATAAAATCAGACACTAATGTTCTAAGATTAATTAAATTTGAAAACAAACAACTTTTGTTACAAATACAAATCAACATTTGTTGATTCATAATAAATAACCATTCACCACTGTATTTTCATATCTTAGTCCCACTTGGAATTTATTTCATCCTTGGAGAACAGAATTTGGGAGAGTGATATTCCAGTTTCAGGAAGATTTTTATACTGAGAAAAATGTTTTATAAATCTATTAAAAATTATTTTTCCTCTATGTGTTTCTGTTTCTGCTTCTTTTGTATCCCTATAGTGGCATCCCAAAATGCAATTATTTAAATAGATAGAAGGCATCTTTTAAATTTTAACTTATATTTGTAGAACAAGATAAGGTCCTCCTTATTTCAATATCAGTAGGTCTCAATATTTGATTCCAAATAACAGTTTCATACCCAAATCAATAAATGACTATTTTGTATATTCAGAATTCACCCCAACAATATAAATTTATTCTGAAATGTATATATTGAAGATGATTGAGAACAGTAGGAGATTTTTCTATCACATAAAATGTCCTGGTTCATTAATATGGTCAGTATGTTGTCTCACTGGATATTTTTTCCTATTACAAAATACAGTGAAAATAGCCTATAATATTAATATATCAAAATATATTCAAAGGTTGATTAGATATAATTGTGGCCTAGAGGTGCATGTTGGAGGGCAGACTTACATGTAAAATAAATAATTAGTGGAATGCATTTATACATCCATGTCAAATAAAAACTAGAGAATAAATAGACTACTGGGCGATAGGAAACAGAGAGAGTTAAAGGGACAAGAATCTTGACCATGAAAAGTGTAACAAGTTGGTTGTTCTAGGTTGTTTTCCCACTCTCACAGCCTATGTCAGATTAAACAATCGATTTGTATTGATTTTTCTTCCTAAACATTTTGAAATCAGTCTCTACCTTTCCCATATACCATTTGCCAATTATAAGTTTTCCTGAACTTACCACCTCTTATCATGATAAAGTGTCAGGGACCAAGTTTACTCTTCCACCTTAAAGAATTAAAAAAAAAATACATAAAATACATGACGTAAATATTCTCGTATTTTGGATCACACACAAGGCATGGCATTGAGAACTGAGAGAAAAATAACACGCAAGTGGAACCATATGATTGCTCCATCTTACCGACCAAAGGCAATTTCTAGGAAAAAAACACAAGGAAACTTAAATAGATGCTGGCCGTATTTCTTAGTTGAGGGACTTCAGAGCTCAGGGAAATCAAGAGGGCTAGAATTCACAGGCCAGAGACCAAACAGTGGGAGGCAAAGAGAGAACTGTGGAGACATGCAGTGTTTCCCTCAAATCTACAGCTGAGTACTGAGTTCATGGACCTCAGTACCAGACATAGAACAATCCCTGGAATTTATATATCAAGTAGAATAATCCCTGTAAATTATACAGGATCAAAGATCATTCACATTCCCACCAGCCCAAAATGAAAAGAGCTCTTAATACACAAGGTTTCAACTCGAGTCTACAAAATATTAATGATTCTCTAATGGTGTCATGTGAGCTCTAGATAAAAAGCTATCCTGAACTCCCCTAAAAAGGTTAAAAATGTGTCTTGACTGGTACAAGATGGTATCTTACTGTGGTTTTGATTTGCATTTCTCTGATGATTAGTGATAATGAGCATTGTTTTCATATATTTGTTGGCTGCTTGTATGCCTTCTTTTGAGAAGTGTCTGTTCATGTCCTTTGCAAATTCTTGTCCTCCATAGCAACATGGATGCAGCTGGAGGCCATAATTTTAAATGGATTAATGCAGCAACAGAAAACCAAATACTCCATGTTCTCACTTATAAGTGAGAACTAAATATTGAGTACACATGAACATAAATATAGATAGGAACAGTAGGTACTATGGACTACTAGAGCGGGGAGGAAAGGAGGAGGACATGGGCTGAAAAACTGTCTATTGGGCACTATGCTCACTACCTATGTGACTAGATCCATGCCCCAAACCTCAGCATCACACAATATACCCATGTAACAAACCTGCACATGTACCCACTGAAACTATAATAAAAGTTGAAATTATTTTAAAAATATGCCTTGAAAGGTTCGAATTGCTTTTAAGTAACTCAACTACATTCCAGAACAAAGCCCAGAAATATTTGAAGGAATGCAAATAATTTAAATACAAGACACAGATAAGTTAAAAGATTAGGCAAAATATTCCATGCAAAAATTAATAATAAGAAAGCTGGGGTTAGCAGATGAGTATTAAGTTTATTTCTTTTTTCTGAATCTTTGGAAGTATATTGTAATTAAGCTCAAATCCTCTTGTTTTGTACAACTAAAATTCTTCTTGCAGAAACATTTTTTTCTAAAGTAAATTTATTATTAGATTCCCTGGATATATGGGTAACATATATATTATACCTGCAGAAATTCTGAGTAAATTGATATTTTTAATACTTTCCTGGCAATGCCAATCAACAACTACCAGCAGTGTGAGCATGTCATTATTTTGGTTAAAAACATTTGATAGCTTTCCACCTCTTACAGAACAAAATATAACCAATTTTTATGCTATACATAATTCTTTAAGGCACAATCCATGCTTATCTCTGTGGTAGTCTCTTCTTACAAATATTTCTCTTAACACCATCAATATCAAAATATATATAACTTCTGATTCGTAGGACTAACTAACAACAGGGTAGATTAGATAGTTATTTTTTAAATTGTTTATTAAAATTAAATAAAATAAGTTGATGTTATGATTAGATATAAGGCAGAAAGTTGAAAATGTGCTCAATTAATAGTTATATCATGTCCACTATTTACCGATATTACTCTAGGGACTGAGTGTACAGTGGTGATAAAACAATCCAATTCCCTTAACTTACAAAACTTATATGTTAGAAGGACCAGATTAAAAATGGCAAACTAGAAGGCTCCAAGCCTTTTCCCCTCAACAGAGAAGTCAAACAGCAAGCAAAAGCTGGCTAATATATGAGCCAGCTGGCTTGTAGGAGTTCCCTTATGGGAACTCTGGAAGACAGTACAAGATCCATAGCATGATAGACTGGATTAACAAAATGTGGCACATATACACCATGGAATACTATGCAGCCACAAAAAAGGATGAGTTCATGTCCTTTGTAGGGACATGGATGAAGCTGGAAACCATCATTCTGAGCAAACTATTGCAAGGACAGAAAACCAAACACTGCATGTTCTCACTCATAGGTGGGAACTGAACAATGAGAACACTTGGACACAGGGTGGGAAACATCACACACCGGGGCCTGTCGTGGCGTGGTGGGAGGGGGAGGGATAGCATTAGGAGATATACCTAATGTATATGAACAGTTAATGGGTGCAGCACACCAACATGGCACATGTATACACATGTAACAAACCTGCACGTTGTGCACATGTACCCTAGAACTTAAAGTATAATAGTAATAATAAAAAAAAATGATGCATAGCAAAGCCACCTAGTGGGAGCTCTGGAAAACAGTCAGAGATACACAGCAACCAAGGGAATGGCCAATCAAGAGAAAGCCACACTCAAAATAGAAGGGAAATTTATGGTATTTTCGCTTACTTTTGCCCTACCCCTTCCACTATACAGCATGGTCTTTGTCTGGAAGACACAGAAGCCTAGTTCCCAGTTCCCATCCTTGAACTGGAGGCAGCACAGGGGACATTATTGGCAAAGTTCTCATCTGTCTTGGATGCTTAAAGGACTGGTCTATGTTTTGCTTCTCTCAGAGGTCAGGTAGCAGAAAGTGGTTGAATGCAATGGGATTTGTTCATAAAAGCTATAGGGAAAAGAAGATCCACAGACATGTAGGAAAAGGTATCATTGGTGGAGATATACATTAGACCATGTGAAGCCACAAGGAGTGGCACAGATGAGGCTCTTTGGGAGTTTCAGAACATGTCCTATTACTTAGTAAAGAAGTTCCCTAGCATGGGACACGTCTGCAAAGAGTGAGAAAGGTGGCATTTTTTTTTCCTTTAAAAAAACAATGTTCAACCTTTCCGTGTTTCTAGGTTTTTATATCTGTCTTGAAATAGTATATATATGGTTTATTCATTAACTCTGATGATCCTTTTTACCTTTAACTTATATGTATATTATCATTTATTTTGATAACTGATAAATTTTGACCATCTTATTTCTGTTCTAAGTAGTTTTGTGATTGTTTTGCTTCATTTCATGATGATGATGATGACTTAGTATTTTCCCCTTTACTTTAGTGTCCTCTTTTGTGTTGTTTAGATTTTTCCTCTTTTTGTTTGATTTATCTTTATTAACTATGGTTTATAGGTGGGAGAGCCTCAAGATGACTGACTAGCTGTATCTGGTACTTGCTTCTTCTACAAAGAACCAAAATAATGAGTAGATAATTGTATTTTGAATAGACCATTTATCATAGAACATTAGAATTTAACATAGAAATGACAGGAAACACCAAAAGCAGAGAAGGAGAGGGAAGCAAGGCACCCTGCAAGGCTGGGATTGGCTGAGAGCCTGGAGAGTTTAGGTTCACCAGGTTCAGAGGTTCTCTGAATTAGAGAATGCCGAAAAATGGTAAGGGAGAGGCCCCGGTGGTCCAAATTCTCACTGTGGACTCCTGCAATTCTAGCAATGAGAGAGGCTCTGGACCCTCAAGAGACCTGAGATTAACATAGGGAGTTGCCTGGAGACCATAAATGACATTGCCCCAGAGAGAGCTCACAACAGGTCCAACAAACCCCTGAGCCTTAAGAAGCTACAGCATGAGCTGGGCATGGTGGCTCACGCCTGTAATCCCAGAACTTTGGGAGGCCAAGGCAGGCAGATCATGAGGTCAGAAGTTCGAGACCTGGCCAGCATGGTGAAACACCGTCTCTACTAAAAAAAATACAAAAAGTTAGCTGGGCATGGTGGTGTGTCCCTGTAATCCCAGCTACTCGGGAGGCTGAGACAAGATAATTGCTTAAACCTGGGAGGCAGAGGTTGTAGTGAGTCAAGATCTTGCCACTGTACTCCAGTTTGGGTGACAGAGCAAGACTCTGTCTCAAAAAAAAAAAAAAAAAAAAAAAAAAAAAAAAAAAAAAAAAAAAAAGAAGCTACATGATGCTGCCATCTTGAGAGCTCAGCCATCATCAGACTGCATCCTACCTTGGGGCTCAACAGTCCCTGCACTTCCACATTTCTGGAGCCTCACTGACATTCCCTGCCCACAGCCGCAACAGCAAGGGGTGAGATGGGAACCACTGGCAGTGACCCTGCCTCTCCTAACAGAGAGGCAGCCAAAGATTTTCATATGCCCTAGGAGAAATTCTACTGCCTACAGCTGCTGCCACCACTGTGGGCTACTGAGAGCTCAAGTATAAGCAAAGAATGTGCCCTCCCCCTACACTAAACCACTGCCTGTAGCTTAAAGCAACCCTGCATTCCCCAGTGGCAGAGCTTCAGTGTTGCTACTGCTCATTCTGCCAAAGGACCTGGATATTTCTCTGCCCCTGCCTACTACAGCCAGCTTCTGCATACACCACTAGGAAGTGGGGAGGGAGGGGTGAGGAGAGATCCACTCAATCTAGCTGTCTAGCTCCTCCCTCACAATACATGAGCAAGACATCTGGGGGCCTAGAGACCACCAGCCTAGTCCACTCTTGGCACCTGAATACTCCTTCCAGTGACTGGAGTTGGGTTTACCCAAACAGTTGCTACCACCACATCTGGTACTCACCTGCATGGACCACCAGTAGGTCTAAGGACTGGCCTTCCCAGCCTGTCACAACCATCACCAACACCAGCATGGACAATTTGGGTCCCAGAGGGTTGTCCCAACACTGGTACTGCCATTGTCCACACCACACCTGCTTCCCAGGGACCCAAGAACTCTTTTGGGTGCTTGGCCCACCACTGTTATTCCTGGCAATTGAGCAAGCCACTTTGTTGCCCTAGAATTGGCCTATCTGGACCTGCTAACGCAAGTGCCAGCATACACCACCCTGACACTCAAAGACAGGCATGCACATGGCTGCCACCACTGGGGTCCCAAAACTGGCCCACCTGGCATCCTAGTTCCCAGCAACTTCACCACAGCCTCTACTAACAAACAACCAACCCTAAGCCACCAAGTAACTCACAGACATCATCTGATGCTGTTTACAGCCAAAGAAATCATACAGAGACTGCACTACAAAGTACACCCAGAATCAAAGCCAACATGCTCTACCCAACCAACACCATAGACTCATCTTCAGGAAAAAGTCCTCCCATACAAAAGCAAATTCAGAAAAAAATATTGGAACAAAACACTGATAAACCAGATGCAGAGATATCAATGTGAGTATACAGGAAACACAAAAAAACAAGGAAGTATGTCATTTCTAGAGGAACACAATAATTCTTCACCAACAGATCCCAATCAAAGAGAAATTTATAAAATCCTGGAAAAAGAATCAGGAATATTGGTGTTAATGAAGCAGAGTGAGATAAAAAAGAATGCTGAAAAACAATACAAATAAACTAAAAAAAAATCAGGATATGAATAAGAGATTTACCAAAGAGATAATATCTTTTAAAAATATGGAATTGGAGAATTCATTAAACAAAATACAAAATGCATTCAAAAGCATCAACAATAGACTAAGCAGAAAAAAACATCATAGAGAATGTGAAAACAGTTCTTTTGAAACAACCCACTGAAGTGAAAGTAAAGACAAAAGAATAAAAGAGAATGAGCAAAGAGTATTTACATGTAGGACACCATAAAGCAGGAAAATATGCAAATATTCAGAGTCCCAGAAGGTGAAGAGTAAACAAAAGGGTTAGAAAACCAATTTAATGAAATAAGAGATAAAAACTTCCCAAGTCTAGCAAGATAATTAGATATTCAGATATAGGAGGCTAAATGATAGCCAAATAGATAAAATTCATAAAAGTCTTCCATTGCACATTATAGTCAAACTGTCAAATATTAAAGACAGAGAAAATTCTACAAACAGCAGGAGAAAGCATCTAGTCACTTATGAAGAAACCCCCCATCAGACCACAGCAGATTTCTCACCATAAATTTTACAGGATGGGAGAGAATGAGATGATATAAGAGATGTAAGAAACAAAACAAAACTGTCAGCCAAGGATGTTATACCTAGCAAAGTTATCCTTCATAAATGAAGGAGAAATAAAGTCATTCCTGGAAAAGCAAAAGTGCTGAGAATTCATCACCATTACACCAGCACTACAATAAGTGCTTAAGGGAGTCCTATACCTGGAAGCAAAAGATTGACACCTATCATCATGAAAACACACACAAATGTAAAATCAACTGGTACAGAAAACAGACAAACAAATAAAAGACTCAAATATTGCCACTACAGAAAACCACTAAACCACAATGATAAACAATAAGAGAGAAAGAGAAGAAAAAATATATACAAAACAACCAGAAATTAATTAATACAATGACAGAAATACACTATCCTAGCACCCAATGCCAATCACATGTTAATAACAATCTTGAATATAAATGAATGAAACTTCTGATTAACAGATAAAGACTGGCTGAATGGATAAAAAATGACTGTATTTTTCCATTTTCACCCTGCTGTATAGAACTTCACGGAGACTGTAATTTATAAAGGAAATAATTCTGCATGGCTGGAAAAGCCTCAGGAAACTTACAATCATAGTGGAAGGGGAAGCAGGCACCTTCTTCACAAGGCAGCAGGAGAGAGCGAGCATGTGAAGGAGGAACTGCCCAACACTTATAAAACCATCAGATCTTGTGAGAACTCACTCACTATCATGAGAACAGTATGCAGAAAACTGCCTCCATCATTCAATCACCTCCCACCAGCCTCCTCCCTTGACATGTGGGGATTAAAATTCAAGATGAATTTTAGGTGGGGACACAGAGCCATACCATATCAATGACAGGATTATATGCTGCCTATAAGAAACTCATATCACTTTTAAAGATACAGATAGACTGAAAATAAAGGGATATTTAAAAAATTCTATGTTAATGGAAACTCAAAGTGAGCCGGAGTAGTTATATCAAATAAAACAGACTTGACATCAAAAACAGTAAAATGAGACAAAGAAGATGATATTACGCGATGCTAAAAGGATCAGTTCAGCAAGAGAATATGACCATTCTGAAAATCTATGCACACAGCAAAGGAGCACCCAGATAAATAAAGGAAATATTATTAGATCTAAAGAGAGACATAGACTCCAATACAATAATAGTTGGGGACTTCAGCACTCCATTTTCAGCATTAGACAGACCATCTAGAGAGAAAATTAACAAAGAAATGTTAGAATTAAACTACACACTAAACCAAATGGACCTAAAATACTTTTACAGAACATTTTATTCAATAGCTACAGAATACACATTCTCATAATCAGCACATGGAACACTCTCCAAGATAGATAATATGTTAGGACACAAAATAGTTCTTAAAATATTTTTAAAAATTGAAATCATATCAAGTGTCTTCTCAAACTACAATGGAATAAAACTATAAATCAATAAAAAGAACTTGGGAAGTTGTACAAATGCATGGAAATTAGACAACATGCTCCTGAATGGCAATTAGGTCAAGGAAGAAATTAAGAATATGAAAATCAAATTCATATTCTTGAAACAAATGAAAATCAAAACACAACATACAAAACCTATAAAATGCAGCAAAAACAAAATGATGGTATAGTATTTTTTGCATGTGCTATTGTATTCTGTTTGCTAGTATTTTGTTGAACATTTTTACACCTAACTTTATCAGGATATTTTCTTGCCTGTAGGTTTGTTTTTTGTTTTGTTTTGTTTTGTTTTTTTCATTGTTTTTATTGTGTCCTTGTCTGGTTTTAGTACTGGGGCAATGTTTGCTTCACAGAGTGAAATACTAGGAAACAGAATACAATAGCACATGAAAAAAATACTATACCATCATAATGTGGGATTTATCCCAGGGAGGCAAAGATGATTCAACTTACCTCAATCAATAAATGTGATATGTCACATCAGCAGAATGAAGAACAAAAGACATATAATAATCTCAATAGATGCAGAGAAAGCACTTGATAAAATTCAACATCCTTTTATGATAAAAACCCTCAACAAACTAGGTATTAAAGATACATACCTCAATCCAATAAAGACCAAGTATGACAAAACCACAGCTGACATCAAACTGAGTAGGGAAAAGCTGAAAGTCTTTTCTCTGAGAGATGAAATAAGACAAGAATGCCTGCTTTAGTCACTCCTATTCAACATAGTACTGTAAGTCCTAGCCAGAGCAGAGCAACCAGGCAGGAGGAAAAATTATACATATATATATATACACACACACACATATATCCACACACACACACACACATATATACACACACATACACACATACATATATACACACACATATATATACACACACACATATATATACACACACACATATATATACACACACACACATACATATATATACACACACATATATATATACACACACATATACATATATGTGTATGTGTGTGTGTATATATATTTATATGTATATATATATATGGCATCCAAATTAGAAAAGACAAAGTCAAATTGTCCCTCTTTGCTGATGATATGATCTTCCATCTAGGAAAACCTAAAGACTCCACCAAAAAACTATTAGATCTGATTAATAAATTTATTAAAATTACAGGATATAAAATCAACTTACAAAAATTAGTAGCATTTCTATGAACCCATAATAAACTGGCTGAGAAATAAATACAAAATGCAAGAGTAGAGAATGGGTGATTAGATAGGGCATGTGGAGAAGGAGCACACACGCCCTGCACCTGGGCTTCTGCACTGACTGAGGAAGTTAACAGGTTTGTGACGGGAGAACGACTATAGCCCAACCCTCACATTCCTCTACCTGACCTAACAGAGACCCCCACACCCACTAAAAAACAAATGCTGTTGGTTTCAAAGGAAGACCTAGCGCAGTTTGGTATCCTGGAAAAACTGATCCCTCAGTACCTCCTGTCAGAGGAGAATGTAGCTGAGGTGCATTCATCTTGATGAATCTATGAACTCAGAAAGGTGGATCCAAGATCCATCTTCAGACTTGAGGCGGCTCTTGGCCTCCTTCTGCTGCCTGCTGGTGCTGGCCTGTGCAGGAAGCAGACCTTATTTGCACCTCCTGTCCAAAGAACTAGTCAACTATATCAACAAACAAAACACCACGCAACAGGCCGGGCACAACTTCTGCAAAATGGAATGAGCTACCTGATGAGGCCATGTGGTACCTTCCTCGGCAGATCCAAGCTACTCCAGAGAGTTAAGTTTGCTAGGACATAAATCTGCCTGAAAGCTTTGATCCACAGGAACAGTGGCCAGACTGACCTCAGAGAGATCAGGGACCAGGGCTCCTATGGCTTTTGCTGGGTTTTGGGGGCTTTGGAAGCCATCTCTGACTGGATCTGCATCCACCCCAATGTCTCAGGGAGGAAATCATGTGGCGGTGTCCGTGGAGGACAAGCTCACCTGTTTGTGTGGGGACGGCTGCAATGGTGGTGATCCCAATGAAGGTTGGAACTTTTGGACAAGAAAAGGCCTGGTTTCTGGTGGCCTCTATGACTCTCATGTAGGTTGAAGACTTTTTCCATCCCTCCTTCCCTGTGAGCACCACATCCATGGCTCCATACGTGCGGAAGGGAGACCCCCCAAGTGCAGCATGACCTGCGAGCCTGGCCAGACCTACAAATAGGACAAGCACTATGGATGCAGTTCTTACAGTGTCTCCGAAGCACAAAGGACATCATGGCCACGATCTACAAAAATGACCCAGTGGAGGAAGCCTTCTCTGTGTATTTGGACTTCCTGCTGTACAAGCTCAAAGAATAGCAAGGCGTCACTGGAGAGATGATGGAGGCCATGCCATCTGCATCCTGGGCTGCAAAGTGGAGAACAGCACGTCCTACTGGCTGGTTGCAAATCCTGGAATAGGTACTGGCGTGATAATGGCTTCCTTAGTTTTTATTTTAAGTTCAGGGGTACATGTGCAGGTTTGTTACATAGGTACGCTTGTGTCATGGGGGTTTGTCGTGCCGATTATTTCATCACTCAGATATTAAGCCTAGTACCTGTTAGTTATTTTTCCTGATTTCCTCCCTCCTCCCACTCTCCTCCCTGCAACAGGCCCCAGTGTGTGTTTTTCCCTTCTATGTGTCCATGTGTTCTCATCATTTAACTTCCACTTACATGTCTATCAATGATAGACTGGATAAAGAAAATGTGGTACATATACACATATACACATGTATGGAATACCATACAGCCATAAAAGTGAACAAGATAATGTTCTTTGCAGGGACATAGATGGAGCTGAAGGCCATTATCTGTGACAATAACTTCTTTAAAATCCTCAGAGGACAAGATCACTATGGAATTGAATCTGAAGTGGTGGCTGAAATTCCACACACTGAGCAGTACTGGGAAAAGATCTAATCTGCTGTAGGCCTGGCTGGACAGTCCTGGGGGAGTTTTTCCCTGCATATAGTCAGGGATGGGGATGAGATGGAGGTAGAAGTGTGTTTTATTTTTTGAGTTCACGTAAGATACAAGTTGTAGATGTGGCCTGAATTGGATTGGGTCTAACCTATTCATGACCCATCAGAGCTATCTTCCAATAACACACACCAAATTCTGGATACCTCCCAGCCCATTCAGTGGACTGACAGCCGTAGTGCAGACAGTTAGACCACATAAGCCACTGCTGCAAGCACCGTGTGTTTTTTTCCCCAAAGACTAGTGCTGTATGTAGTGCCTGCTGCCTGGCTCTGGCTGCTTTCCCCCACTCCCCCTCCACCTCCCCTACCTATACATCTTCAGAGAGCAAGACAGAGACTCAGTGATGGAAAGTGGAGTTTGTAACGAGATGAAAATTCTCCCCTGTGAGCAGTACCTCTAAGCAAGCAGCTTTCCACATTTGTGACAAGTTCAGAGGAGGTATGATGGTATGGTAGCCCTTTGGAGAAAGTCACATTCTCCTAGGGCCCCTGCAACTATCGAGCTTTGCAATATCAGAAACTATCTCTGGTCTTGTCCCTGGCATGATTCTTTTTTAATAGGAGTTTTATTTTTGTGCACCTCAGCCAATCATGTGAATGAATAAGTGTAATAGTTGAAGAAACTATACTAGTTTTACAGATTGCCTCCTAATGTCGTGGCTTAAAGCGAAACTGAGTGGTTATAATCTGCTTCTGACCTGCTGACTTGCTGACCACATTGAAACTAGTTTCAGAGGAACCAGCTTTTACTTTTTTAAAAAAAATTACTGCTTAACTCTGTCAAGTTAATAATACATGTCTGTGCCAATAAAATCTTTCTCCTTCAGAAAAAAAAGAATACAAACTCATTTTCAGTAGCGAAAAAAAAATACCCATGAATAAATTTTACTAAGGAGGTGAAGACATCTATAAGAAAAACTACACAACCCTACAGAAAGATGTTGAAGATGACACAAACAAATGGAAATACATCCCATGTTCATGGATCAGAATAATTAATATTATTAAAGTGACCATACTGCTCAATGCAATCTGCAGATTCAGTGCAATCCCTATCAAACTACCATGCTATTTTTCACAGAAATATAAAAAAAAACCCAAAATTTGTTTGAAACCATAAAGGAGCCCAAATAGACAAAGAAATTCTGAGAAAAAAAAGAAGAATGTTGGAGGCTTCACACTACCTACTTCAAAATGAATTACAAAGCTATAGTAACCAAAACAGCATGATATTAGTATAAAAGAAGACAAATACACTAGTGGAACAGAATTGAGAACCCAAAAGTAAAGCCACATACTTACACCCAGCTAATTTTTGACAAATGTACCAAAGACACGCACTGGGGAACAATGTTCTTTTCAATAAATGGTGCTGGGAAAATTGAAAACCCATATGCAGAAGAATGAAACTAGACCCCTATATCTCACCATATACAACATTCAATCCAAGTTTCATTAAAGACTTAAATGTAAGACCTGAAACTATAAAACTACTAGAAGGAAACCTAGGCAAGGTGCTTCAGGGCATTGGTCTAGGCAAATATTTTATGACTAAGACCTCAAAAATACAGATAACAAAAACAAAAATAGATAAATGAGATTATATTAAATTTAAAGCTTTCTGCACAGCAAAAAAATATAAAAAAGGAACAATCAGCAGAGTGAAGAGATAAACTGTTCAATGGGAGAAAATATTTGAAAACTAGACATTCAACAAGGGACTAATATGCAGAATATATAAGAAACTCAAACAACTCAATAGTAAAATACCAAATAATTCCATTACAAAGTGGACAAAGGACATGAATAGACATTTCTCAAAAGAAGACATACAAATGTTTAATAGGTATATGAAAAAATACTCAACTTCACTAATTATCAGGGAAATGCAAGTCAGAACTATAATTAGATATCATCTTATGTCAGTTAGAATAGATATTATTAAAAAGATAAGAAATAACAGATGCTGGCAAGGATACAGAGAAAGAGGACTCTTATACGCTGCTGGAGAAAATGTAAACTTGTACTAGCAATATGGAAAGCAGCATAGAAATTTTTCACAAAGAAAAAGAAAAACCTAAAAATATAACTACCATATGATCCAGCAATCCCAAGGCTGGGTAATTATCAACAGAAAAAGAAATCAATATATCAAAGAGACACCTTGCACTTCCATGCTTATTGCAGCTCTATTCCCAATAGCCAAGATATGGAATCAGTGTAAGTGTCCGTTAATAAATGAATGAATAAAAATGTGTTATATATACCTAATAAACAAAATTCAGCCATAAAAATGAATGAAATCATGTTATTTGCAGCAATATGCATGGAACTAGAGGTCATTATGCTAAGTAAAATAAGTTAGTCACACAAATACAAATATTACATGTTCTCACTCTTACGTGAGACCTAAAAACATTGATTTCATGGAAGTAGAGAGTGGAATTATAGATACCAGAGGCTAGTCAGGGCATGGGAGAGGCAGAGGTAGATGAAGAAAGGTGAGTTAATGGGTACGAACATACAGTTGGATACAAGGTATAAGTTCTAATATTTGCTGGCATAGTAGAGGGACTAAAATTAGCTGTAATACATTGTATATTTCAACGTAGGAAGAAGAAATGATTTGAACTGTTTCCAACACATACAAATGAGAAATACTCAAGGTAATGAATATCCCAAATACCCTGACTTGATGATTACATACTCTATGCATGTAACAAAATATAAGATGTACCCCATGAATAAGTAAAAAGCTATGTGTCAATTAAATAACTATGTTTCAAAAATCATATGCATAAATAGTTTAAATCAGTTAAACCAATCCAAACTTGGCTGTGTACAGTGTATTTCTTAGGTAACACATCTTTTTTTAAAAAAGATGACTCTCAAGAAGGACTCAATCCAATGAGCAAGCATATAAACATTTAAACAATGGTATTAGGCAATATAAAGCTACTGTGAATTTATAGTAGTAATCAATGGTAGAGTTGGGGTACGTTAAAAAAAACTTGGGGAAATAATCATAACACTTTTCTTAAAATGATAATTTGATATGATATTGATGCCACATAGATAGTTGTCTGGAGGTGGATGAGTAGGAGTTTAAAATATAGAACCTATGAAAAAAACTGCAGGGAACCTTGAGTAACCTGTTTTGGTTGAAGTGTGTGTGTGTGTGTGTGTGTGTGTGTGTGTGTGTGTGTGTGTGTGTTTGCAGTAGTCCTACTCAGAATAGTAGATAGTGGTAATAGTTATAGTAGTAGCACTGTTTAATACTTCTATTACTAGTAGATTTTAAAGTTGATGGGAAAAGAAAAAGGATTATATTTTTTGGCATATTGATAAATATTTGCTTTTATATTTAACGGGTAACCTATAAAATATTTGAACCTGGGAGTTCAAATTATAGTAGAGTCATTCATGACTCTACTATGTGGGAAAAATTAGAAGAGCTAAAATTAAATGGGAGAAAACTAATTTAAGAGATCTTGGAAACAGTCCAGGACAGAAAGAGTCTCTATCAGTTTGGGACACAGATATGTGGACTCGAAAACTGGGACAAAAATTTTTCAAGACATATGATGAAGGTAGAAATCTATGGAAATTGTCATCTGTTTTGATACTGACAGAGTTTTGTCTTGAGGATAGAAGAAATGAAAACTGACTAGCCTGAGATATGGAACTCATGATAGATTAACTACATCGCCAACTTACCAGACTTTAGAGACACAGAAAACACACACAGATACGTGCGTACACAGGCTCTGTCCTTGCGCATTTCATTGGTAGAATGTCAAATAGGCATCCAAACAAATATATAAACTGTATTTTAACTCTATGGTTTCTTAAATGGAATCCTTTTATTAAACATTACCAATTCTCAAACTCTTTTAGGAGAAGAGCTTGGTTTATGAAAAAAAAAGGTGTTGAGTTGGGATAGTGATAGAGAATTAAATATTACATAAGTAAATAAGTACATTTGTTTATTTTAGGTGTAAGGAAAGGTGATGAGGTAGTCTTGAGCAGCTTGAGTTTGAAATGCCTATAAACATGGGATTTCTACAATCAGTTTTCTCTTTTGGTAGATCATAATTTGTCAAGAAATGTCAAGAAAGAGACAGGAATATAAATTTTTATTTTTCTATTTGAGGAGTAGCTGAAGCTAGAGGATGGGAGGGAGTTTGAAATGGTCACACAGGCAGTGCCTATTCCATTTAATATTTATCAAATTGCCTTCTCTGACTAAAGATTGAGTTATGTCATCACCTATTCCAGTGAAACCAAAGCCATAATCAATAATTACATGAATCAGAGCTTCCTCTTTCTCTGCTAATTTACACTACTGTTACACAAGCCTATGGCTAAAGATAGAGGGATCCAAATTTCGAAACGCAAACTTTATCAGAAGAGGTGAATCACCACTTTTAATTTCTCCTACTTTGCACTTCGGGTTTGTACAACTTTTTTAGTCAGAAATATATAAATAATTCACAGATTTGGCCAATCAGTGCAGTTTCTTAAAATTCAATTATATTAAAAAAAAAAAACCTATAGGACAAGCGGAGGGTTGTGAAATATCTTCTGTTTTACATTTAGATTTAATGTATGGGTATTTTATAGAAATTTTAACTTTTAGCACTCCTTTGTAACTATTATTACATTTGGTTATAAATAAATATCATCTATGTACTATATGAATTAAAAAGTCAAAATTTAAGTTAAAACTCAAGTTTTATCACAAAATCTTTGCAACCACAATGTAGAAAATGTTTAGATTGTTGCTTCCTTAAGGAAACAACAAAAATATCTTAAACTAATAGCTGATTTTGGCTTAAAATTTAGTATAAAATGAACCTTAGTCTTTTAATGCTTTATTAGATTTTTATATACATAGGCTGTTTTGTTCATGAATTTCACATCTGGCTTTCCAGGATAGTCTTTTAATTCTATGGTACAGAAATAATCTTTATTCCCAATTGGTATGTGCATTTCTTTATTAATAATAAAGAAATTATTAATTAAATTAGAGAAATTATTAATTAAATTAAAGAAATTATTAATAATGAAGGAATTTACATACACATTAATTCACATTAATAATAATAAGTAATTTTTATTCCCAATTGTTATGTGCATTTCTATTTTGAGATATGTTGTGATCTTTTTCCAGTTTATACATGTTCTTGACAAGGTCATATGATTTCTGACACAAGTTGGTTAAGAAAACTGAAGCTTAAGAATGACTGAACGTATCCATTGTATCTCAGAAAACAGAAATGCATAAATTACTTTCTTGTCTCTTTAAATTAAATTATATGCAGCAAAGAATTCTCTGTTGAGATTCAGGCAGTCCACAGGATCTCATTTCTCTAATTAGTTACCTTGTTCCTGGTACTGCAGCCATGGCATCCATCCATAAGCAATCATAGCAATCCAAAAATGAGTTTCTTTTTGAATGGCAGGCATATTAGCCAAGACGTTTCACTAACAGTATAGAAGAAATATTGGAAAAATAGAGGAAATGTAAAATTTATATAAGCAAAATATCTGATACAGAATTATTTTAGGCAATTTACTCTTCTCAAATATCTTCTAAGGCATTTTAAGGTGACCTCAATAATTGACATTTAAATTAAGAAAGTGTCTATATATGAAAAAGAAAGAGAGAAAATGTTTGCCTTTATTTAAATTTTGGTATCATTGCCAAATTAAATTTTTTCCCCTTACGGCTTATGTCTATCTATATTTACATATCTGTATCTATATATCTTTATCATGCCTATAAAATTATCTATTTACTTCTATGTTTACATATAGTTTTGTGGGGGTAAGCATTCACAAATTGTTACGAGTGTTAATTAAGATTTTAATTTGCATGTCGCATTCAGCTAAAAATCTTCTCTGTTGCAAGAGTCACTATACGATTTCCCTCAATATTTATATTCTTAATAATATAATCACTGGTGTTTAGCTAAATACTTTACTTGCAGAAAATAAGAATAGTTTTTTTGGCCCTTGGTCCAGGTGTGTCAAGAGCTATGAAGTTTGAGAAGTAGGAGCAGACTTCTTGCCAATTATATTAAAAGAGAAATGGTAGAAAAACTTTAAAAAAATCTTTGTGTACTGGTTTCTTCTTATGACCTTTAGCTGAGTTCTATAGAAAGATATTCTTGGTCTTAGGCCAGCCTATATTTAAGCAAATATGGAAAAGTATGGACTCTGGCTAAGTTAGAAGCTGTCTGCCCATGTCCTGTAATCAGAGTTGACAGTGCATCACCATATGAAGCACTTTAATATATCCACTAATTTCATACCCCAAATTGAAGCAATTAAAAGTATTGTTATGAAGCTGCAAATTTAGCAGGATGTTACTTGTGTTCCACTTAATAAAGGCTGCGAGCCTCCTATTCCAAATAGGATTAAGGAGCTTGCTATCTTAGCTAGACTCTTTGTTTAAGATGGCCCCAAAGTAGCTGCTATTAAATTGGGATGCAGTGTTCAAGACCAAGAGAGAAGCAGGGGCCAATAACTTAAAATAAGTAAATAAATAAATAGAAATACAAATAAAAATCTACAGGATTAAAGAGAGTATCTAGGTAAGTTTACTTGTGATAACACACATGTGAGATACTATGTCTTTGTTGTCTAAAGAGTTTGAGTTTGGAGTCATTTGTTATCCTTCCATAGATAACTAAGATACCATGTGAGTTTAATAAGATACCCAACTGGTACCCTGATTTGTTTAATTCCAGCACAAAAGTATAGTCCATTATTCTCTATATTCACATTTGCAAAGAAAGACCAGAAAATCTTTTTGTCTCATAATATGGGCAGTTTAAATTACAGGCTATATAATGAGAGAGAGCAAAGTTCTGCTACTTATGAACTAGTTCATTTCTGCAAGGCTGTTTATAAATCTTTCTCATTTTTTTCAATCCGAAGATACTATTGAGCACTATTTTTGCCATCTGTTTTCCATTGGTTATAGGTTTGCTTTTGTACCTGAAGGGTTTTGCACACTAAGAGCTTATCATTAAAGGAATTTCTCTATCAATTTTCTAGTGTACTGATGATAAACTGGATTTCTATATTCTAAATCTCCTTCAAATTTTAAAAATCCTAATGAATCATACAGTTTATGTGGATGTCAGATGTAACGTAGTATTTTCGAAATGCTAGTATTGAGGAAAAGTAGTAAGTGATTTACTTCAGTTAGAAATTAGATTATTTAGTTACTTTTTCCTACTGCTATACCCTAAGTAAAAATTCAGGCAAAAAGAAAGGAAGAATTGATTGTGAGACTAAAATTGCAAAAGGATAAGAAGCATACTTAAGGAGTATAAGTAAAATAAACCTCAAAGCAAAAGTGTGCTTTGCATGTGGATGTAAAAATACATTTATTATTAATTTTCATAATGATGGTAACTGATAATGACCAACTAAGTTAGAATATCAGGTTGAAAATGTAGCAGAGATAAAATTAACAGTAAAATAATATTTAAATATAATTAAGAATTAAATTATAGAAGTACTTTAATGTGAAAACATTTAATTAAACAGTTTAAAATAACATTAGGGGCAAATACTTGTAAATAGGTTGGCTAAGAAAGACTACAAAACTGCAAGATGGGGCATGAAGGTTGGGTAATTAATCAACTGTGTCCAAAGACATTTTACTTAATGTGTTTTAATCTCTGATTTTCTTGTATAAAGTCATAGTATTGGTCTCTTGAATTTAAATGTGAAAGAAGGATGGAAGATTATTTTTCTCTACAACTATTTGCAAATAAAGTATCTGTATTAGTGAGACTGAAAGCAAAATGAAATACATTGTTAACAGATCATAGATGAATCTTAAACTAACTTGCAAATCAAAATAAGATTATCAAATAAAAGAAGACAGATAAGATATATATCAGCTAATTCCATTAAGCTTTATTGTTAGGTGCAGTGTGTAAAATACCTAGAATAAAAACGTCATTTTGTTCTTGAATTTATAGTCCAGTTGGAGATATAGATAGCAAACAAGTATTTACAAAAGTGGGATGATAAATACTAGCCATCTCCTAGGTTCTCTTAGGAGAAGAGTTTTGGCTTGAAAATTGAATAGGAACTATATTTGGAAAGGGTGGGAGATGAGAATGGTCATGGGAAAGAAGAGGTGGAGAAAGGTATTCTCGGTATAGTTAAGAATAAAAACCAACATTGGAAGATAATGGAGAAATAGCATTTTACAAGAAAATTCAGTGATGCTGCAGGGCAGAAACATGTAGTCCTTGGTGGGAACTGGTGAGACATGAGGCAAGAGAGAAAAGCAATGGCAGATTATAAACAATCAATGTAATATTTAGAGGAAATTTAAAGCAAGTAAGTGAATAACAAAACTTAAGTTCACACAGGAAGCATTTTAGAGTAGAATGTACAGGCATGGAATTGAATTATTATTGATAATAATGATCAAGATAATGGATTTGTGTTAAATTTTGTAGATTTCATCTTAACAAAAACCCCATTATTAATTCAAATATCTTACTTATACAGTGTTTACTTCCAGAGACAAAAATTTATTCCAGATATTTAGGCTCATAGCATCTATCGTTATGTCTTAGGTTCAGTACAAGAAAACCAAGTGAGCAAGCACTGTTGGACTTCACCAAAGACCAGAGACTAGAAAGCCATCTGAAACCTAGGCAGATTATCTTTCTCTGTCTCTCTCTGTCTCACCAGTAAACCGTTTCTGACTCCAGCACACATACAGATACATAGACACACACACACATGGTTTCTATTCAGCTTTGTCCTGGATACCTTCTCCCTTCTACTACCAGTCTTTGGCAATAGACTTTTACAATACATAGACCAAGATAGCAGATTTAGCCCTAGAGTCAGAATTTCAATATTAAAGAGGCAGTGTTCTCATCAGGATGTGAAATCTGCTATTGAGTCTGCATAGCATTTTATGTAAGATTGAGAGAATGTGCATGGGAGGATCTGATGACTAGAACTCAGGATAAATTGCTAATCACCACCACCAATTACTCCCAAACAGTTAATCACTCCCTACCAATTAATCACATCACTATGAATCCATATCTGTGTGCAATGTCCTCCTTCACTGAGTCAGGCAGGACTTACGGCTTATTGAAATGGATACAATGTAGTGGAACTGATATTTTGCACAGTCCATGCTTGGACCTTAAGGGGTTTTGCATTTTCTGCTTTTACTCTTTGAACCCTGAGTCACCAAGTAAAGATATCCTAAATATCCTGTTACTGTAGATAGATGGAGAGAAAGGGTCTGGAGGTATAAACATTACAAGCCAAGAGGTCCTGGAGAATGAAAGACCATGAAAAGAAAGGCCCTAATTTCCCAGCCATTGCAACTAGGGAGGGGGGACTAATTGCATATGGGTGATGCCATCTTGGATTTTCAAATTAAATCTTAGCCCAATGAGCAAATTCAGTCTATACCAAATATATCAGAAATGTGCCAATCCAGCTGAGCTCTGCTCAGCCAAACTACAAAGTTTTGAGCAAATACAATGGTTGTTTTTGTAAGCCAATATGTTTCAGAGTATTTTTTTACAAGGCACTATAATTTATATAGCATTCTATGGCTAACCTCAAATAGTTACCTAATTCTCTCTACATGCCAATTTCACATTTCCAGGGGAGACTTTAGTTGGGTCAGCCTACATTGGACCCTTAGTCTAAAGATCTGTGATTACAAAATTGGCTAGACACTCAACGGATACAGATAAAAGCATCAGTATTGGGCTAATATATTTTACATATGCTAGATAAAGTTTATTTATGGAATCGAGGAGTGCAGTCTCCGGAGGTAGGACTACAAAAATAAATGCAGCTTGATTCTTGCTCTTCAAGAGCTCAGTCTTTCAGGAGAGGTGAAGAAATAAATTCAGGGAACCAATAAATAAGTGTTATCATGAACATGAATGTATTAAACTACTGTGTACATTACTACATGTGTAAATACTGGAACTGACTATGGTGAAAAAAAGATTAAAATAATGAAGAAGGTAATGTGAATGTATGTTGAGAAAATAAAATACAATAAATGTGAGATATGTTTCTACCTCTTGTTTATGAAACTGGCTAATCGTTTACACAAGATGAAAGACTTAGAATGAAAATTCCAGGAAAAATCAGGTGACTGTCAGTAACTATTTCATTATTCCAAGAAACACAAATGAAAAAAATGCAATTAGAGCACCCAACCAATCTTCATAAGATTGGAAGGAGATCTCTGCACCATTGAGAAAAATCTCTATGTGAAGTCTCCTCATTCTCTCCCCTATACTTTCTCACATTACAGATCAATAAATGACAGCCAGAGAATCAGGAATTTGTTTCAGAGGATATCATTTTCAGGTTCATATGTCAACCAGCTAATTAAATGGGTAATATATGGCCACATTGGTAATTTTTGTTTTTGTTTTTAGACAGGGTCTGGCTCCATTGCCCAGGCTGGAGTGCAGTGGCGTGATCTTGGCTCACTGAAACCTCTACCTCCCAGGTTCAAATGATCCTCCTACCTCATCCTCCTGAGTAAATGAGACTACAGGTGAATGCCACCATGACCGGATAACTTGTATTTTTGGTAGAGATGGAGTTTCACCCTGATGCCCAGGCTGGTCTCAAACTCCTAAGCTCAAGTGATCCTCCTACCTCAGCCTCCCAAAGTGGCAAGATTACAGGCATGTGCCACCATGCCGGGTCTGCATGGTAATAATTCAATGATAGTATAAATCTATGACCCTAATACTAGCATAATATATCATATTTTTATATTAACAAGAAAATTTGATGTATGACATGAAAACATTTTGCAAAAAATTATGAGATACATATGAATTAATAATGTTATTATTAATAACTGATGTTGATTGAAGAAGCATTATGGTAGGCACTGTGAAAAGCATATTATCATTATATTCTTACAACAGTGTTGTGTAGATGAGAAAATTAAGAGAGGTTGTTAAACTGTCCAAGTAACTCAGCTGCTAGATAACAAAGCTAGGATTACATCCTTGGTCTGTTTGGTTCCAGAGTCCATATTCTTAAACATTATGAAATATATCATTATTTAAGTGTGCATTGACATAGATATTGTAAAGTTATTTCAATATGGCAAAAAATCATTATATTTTTATGGATAAAGTCCTAGGAAAAAATATGGAACAATTAAATCTTTGGGAATGCGGCTTAAGAAAGGTTTCAAAAAGGCATTTTTTAAAGTTGGAACTGATGCAAGTTCCAACTTTGTCTGATAACAAAGGAGGGGAAGTTAGTTGAGAACTATAATTCAGTCATGAATTCATTTTGGCTGGGGCATTATAATTGTGGGTGTAATGGAAAAAGTCAAGCTAGATCCAGGTTGAAAAAGTCACCTGAGGCTCATTGCTTACTACCAGTGTTTATTTCTAACCTCTCAGCTTTTCTCACCCAAATATCCTACCCACTCAACAAGATAAATGGGTTCATCTGATTATTCATACTGCCTTCAGCTGTCCCAGAGCTGAGCATACTTTCTCTTCTAGCCTAACACATCTAACTGAACAAATCAAAGCCTTAGAATGAATACTATGTCAGGTTCTTTCAGAGAAATATCCATATAAAATAATCTACATTCTTGAACATATATAACAGTTGATTATTTCTAAAGTAATCATATGAAACGAGATTAGTTGAATAATAAATTCAAATAATAAATTTTATTTTGAGATAGTGGGATATTGTTTAATAACTTGAGTATGTTTAAAAATATAAGGCAGGTTGCCTGCTCATAACAGTTAACAAGTATCTACAACACAATTATTCATTCAAGCAGTGTAAGCCACATTTTTCAAGGAACTTGAATTTCTACTAATATATGACCAAAGAAAGCCAACTGTTAGTAAGATGTTATGAATTTAATATTGGGATATAAGGAGGACTTAGATATGATACTGAATACCTGAAACAAATAACAGTTTGTTCAGCTATAGCAAACTAAAAAGACTTGCTAACTAGAGACTAGGATTGATATTATGTTGTAAAGGTAGTCAGTCCCCCAAGGAGCAAAACTTGGACTGCTTCAATAATCATCAACTTAGCGTAACGCAGCATACTCATTAGAAACTATGACTTTCTAATGTGTCAACTTCACTAGGATAAATTACCTTTCCAGAATTCCCTTGTTAGGCTGTGCTACAAGAGACAGTTTTGCATGTGATTTGTGAAGCAGTGGCATAATTGCTTTTTGTGCTCTAAAGATTGGGGCCAGGTCAACAGAAGATTTGTAGCTCACTTATGTTATTTGTGTGCTGAATCACCTTGTTTATGTGAGCAGAAGCTGGGTCCACAACTTTGCCACCTTCCCTTCCTTTAGTTTTTTCAACTTCCCGGCCAAATGTGGAATTAGCTCCCTAAAATGGGCAACTGCTTTTCATGAAAGGCACTACATCAGCAAGGTTGGAGGTAGTAAGAACTGGCATGTTGTGGGTGGGTAGAATATTGCCCCCCACTAAGGTATCCACGTCCTAATCCTCAAACCTATGCAAATATTACCTTAAATATTAAAGAAACTTTGCAGATATAATTAAGTTAAAGATCTTAAAATGGAAAATTTATCTTGGGTTATCAGGATGGGCTCAATGTAATCACATGAGAACTTAGAAGAGAGAGAGACAGGACAGTCAGAATCCAACAAAGTAATGTGGCAATAAAAGCAGTAAAAGCAAATATCATCGTGAAGCTACTATGCTGCTGGCTTTTAAAGTGGAGGAAGGAACCATGAGCCCAGGAATGTAGGCAGCCTCTAGGTGTTGGAAAAAGCAAGGAAACAGATTTTCCTCTAGAGCCTCCAAAAGGAGCAAATCCCTGTAAACAACTCAATATTGTTTCATTAAGACCTATTTCAGACTGCTGACTCCAGAACTGTATGATAATACATTTGGGTTTTTCAGGCAATACATTTGTGGTAGTGTGTTAGAGCAGCAATAGAAGATTAATATTCATAGGTTCCAGTTCATTTTTGTGTGTATGAGCCCACGATTATGGACTCCACTTTGTTTTTGATCTTTCTCACTTTACACACATCTTCCCTTCCCAACTATCTACCTTGAGGACTTAAAGCTCCGGTAACCGGCATGAAGAAATTTGCCTTACAGAGAGTTTTTGGCCAGCTCTCACAATTACATAAGCTAGAGTCTCTATAACAAATTGTATATAACATTTATAGTGCTTTTGCATCTCTGCATCCTGATTACACCAAAGTTTTTGTCCTTATCTGGACATTGTTCTTCAAAGTGCATAGAACTTTGTAGTTAAAGGATAGCATCTTAAAATACGTTTCCCATTTTTGTAATGATAACTTCATGTTCAGAAATGTCTCAGCCACCATTAGGAATAGATTTGGGGTGACTAAAATACTCTTCTACCAACTTTTTCTTCTTAATTGACCATGGGAAACATCGCCCCGGAGTTAACTTGACACAGAGAACCTCAACTAAACAATGATAACATTATTTAGGGATGAAACCAAATATTAGCTGCATATGCACAGAATGAATTTCAACCATTCAAGAGATGGTACTTTTGTACAATTTTTGCATTAGAATTATGTCTAGAATATGACATTTTAGGTATATAGTGTTTAGGGGATGTTGGATTTTTTTGATATTCCAGATAAACATGACTTTTGAAGTGCTGTTTTAAAAATTTGAAATCCTTAGGGAACCCTCTATATGGAATTTCATAAAGTTCCATTTAATGTCTTTTTCTTTTCATAGGGTTTTCAAAGTATACTATTTTCTATTTATTTTAATCGAGTTCATCCAAGGTGTATGGCTTTCTTATAAGAAAGTAAGTTGTCTATTTATAATGAAAAAGGAGCCATATAACACTTTCAAAATACCTGCAAGGAATCTGTCTTTGTATAGAAGTAGTATTTCTTTGCTCCCTAGTTTATAAAGAGAAATTTGTCTATTAGATTCTGAAGTAAGGTAAAGTGGAATTGTGTCTCTTCCTGTAATTTCCTCCTACATAAATGATATAGCTTCATTTTATCTCCTGGAGGCAGTGAGCCTTTTTCCTTGAAACAGTTTTGCAATAAGCTCTGAAAAATCCTCTCAGCTGCCCCAACCCAAGACAAAGGAAATTCATACTACACAAGTTCTGGGGCATTGAAAATGTTTAGGCTGTTGGTAAATATCATCTCATCCATGTATTTCTTTCATGTATATTCCTATATATATATTTAGATATAAAATTATATATAATTATATCTATCTATCTATCTATCTATCTATCATCTATCTATCTATCTATCTATCTATCGATCTATCTTTATTTTTAGGCAGAGTCTCGCTCTGTCACCCAGGCTGGAGTGCAGTGACACAATCTTGGCTCACTGCAACCTCCACCTCTGGGGTTTGAGTGATTCTCCTGCCTCAGTCTCCCGAGTAGTTGGGACAACAGGTACGCACCACCACCAAGCCTGGCTCATTTTTTTGTATTTTTAGTAGAAAAGGGGTTTCACCACGTTGGCCAAGCTGGTCTCGAATGCCTGACCTCAAGTGATCTGCCTACTTCAGCCTTCCAAAGTGCTGGGAGTATAGGCATGAGCCACCGTGCTGGGCCTGTTCCAGAATATTTGACATCAATAAATAGCATTCTTATGAAGTGATTGAGGCAGCTATGGAGGACTCCAATTATAACAAGAAATATCAATTTAAAAAAACGTTAGTTTATAAATGGTGCTTGAAGGTGAAGATGTAACCTTAAGACACCCCTCTTCTTTTCATGAAAAGAAAATCAAGAATAAAATCTAACATTTAAATGGTGTATACAAAAGCGCTGCAAAAGAATGAAAAACATTTTCAAAATGTAAAGATGAAAAGTAGAAATCATAGAAAATGGTGTCCTTTAGGCCAAAGGAAAAGAAAGACCTAATGTAAGAATCAAATGGTTTTGGAGATTTCATTCACCACTTTAGAGCAGGGTCAACCTCAAATGATCAGACTCCTTTTTCTCTTAACTTGTAAAAAGTTAAAATTAAATTAAATTAAAAACAATTAAAACATTAGTTGTTTTAGTTATATAAATAATATACTCTCTTTCTAACAAGGAGAGATAATCATCATTCATATTTCTTGGATTTATGATAATGTCATAAACATAAACACACAGAAACACACACATTTCTCTGTATCTATAATTTGTCCATTCCTCTATCCACTTAACTACTCATGTATTTAAATTTTTGTTTTATATCAAAGCATCACATTGTACTGCATAAGCATGCTATGATTTAGCTACTTCTCTATTAAACATTTGTAGCTTTTTTCCCAAATTACTGTCTATTCTCCTATCTCATAGGTCTCACAGTGATAATTTAGAAAGTTAATATGAGATTTTTAAATTGATATTTATTTTAGACGTATTACATGAAATGTCTGTGCAATTCAGATGGAAAACACTTAAAATGATAAAAAATGTTTGAAATATTTTCAAAATTTAAAGTTTTTATAATTTGAAGGGCATCAAAATCAATGTTAACATATGAGTAAAACTGGAAGAAATACTTGGAAAACTATAGCACAAGAATAGAAGGAAGAATACATAAAAATGAATATAAATCAAGGATTAAAATACAATCACGTCTGATAATGGTAAAATGTTTATAATTTGTAATTCAAGGGAAAAATCTACAGATGGTATTGAATACAAATATCGTTAGTCTCACTATTGAGGAAAAGTCAAACGGTCCCATGGATTGAAGTGTCTATACAGATGTTTTCTTGGGCCCAGAGTCATTCTACCCTCCAAAGTGTTCTGGCCACGTGGGTTAATAACAGATTCCATAATCCCAGAGACTTCACCACACTGTAGAATGGCAATTCTGTTGCGGTCACTTATTCCAAGAGTCACGAGTAGGGGCACAAGGTTTAACCTGACTGGTTGCTTTAAGTGCTGTTTTCCTAAGTAAACAACTTTTTGTTTGATCTAGAACCCACTTATGCTTTTATTATCCACCACCTATGGGCATGGGGTTCCCACATTGATCACATTTTGAAGCACATTTAGCCTAAATTTTCTCACTTTGGATTGTTTAGAGATTAGACCCATCTTCTACTCCATCAAGAATTCCTGTTGTAAATATTTGGTTAGTAATACAGCTTACCCTATATCTTTTTAATAATTTCCATGACTAAGGGAGAAGACGGCAGTGCATATATCCAATGGGCTATCTTGAATTGAAAGTTTTTCAATATTTATCAAATTTTCACCCTTAGCAAGTCTTTTAAAGATAATACCATGCTAGAAAGTACTGTTGAGTTTTCCTGTGCTATGAGATATTCTCCCAATTTTCCATTCCCTGAAATTTTCCCTCACCTTCACATCTCTATATTCCTCACCTGTCTTAAATATCCTATTTCTCCCACAGAACACTAAATTTCTTGTCAATTGTCTTATATTTTCCTAAATTTTAAGGAAAGCTGATGACTTTACCTGCTACCATTTTCTTCTTTGTAACAATCTCTGAAATTAAAGAGCTGGGCTCCATTCTAATTATGAAGGGAAAAAATATGGAAAAATTATGATGAGTACATGTACCTGTTATAAAAAAATGAGAAGTTAATCTAGTGTCTGTAAAGGAAATGGAAAAACAAGATAATATTACAATGGTTTTACTGACCACTTAACAATCTTTAGGCATCAAGAGAAATTAAAATTTTTTTTAAGTATAGAAAAATCCAAGTGATTAAAGATGATACATAAAATTTGAGATTAATATATTTTTATAAAAATCAATCAATTATTTTCAAATGGCAATTAGTCTAGGTAGTGTTATTTACTTTTAAGTAAGAAAATGATTAAATTTAGGTTATCTGAAGATAATCGCATAATTATCATCAAACAAAAAATAAAGTACAATGTATAGCAAATCATTTAATCATAATTGCAAAGCAGTATAAAAAATTTCCCTAGAAATCTATGTAGATGTTACACAAAAAGAAAGAATATAAAATTTGATGAAGTTATGGTTTAAGGAAACAGAGATAACCAATTTAGGATATGTAATTTTTATATCAAAGATGATAGCTACTTTAACAAAATTTCTATTGCAATAAAATTTACATTAAAAGAATTTCAATAAAGAAATGACGGTCCTTAAAAAGCTAAGATTAGATCACATTAGGCCAAAAGAATCAGTACCCATTTTATAAATCTATTCATGAATAGTTGGCTTGCTAGAAAGTCTGGAAATTCTCCTTATAAATTATGGCCGTTAACTTTTGGTATGTCCATTTCTTCCTATGTTTTGCATTAAACATCTACTGCCTACTTATGCCCACTGGAGAGATGCCAAAGCTCTTAGTCTAAACCACTGTTAGGTATCACCTATGCTTCAGAAGGTGCTGCTTTTTCTCTGAACTTTATCAGGACTGCACAATATGGAGCTATAATTGTGATGTCCTCATTTTGAATAGAGATTAAATAAAACAGTGTCTTAGTCTTATCAGAAGCTGTCTCTTGCTGATCTGAAGGGGTCAAATTTTGACAAGTGTGTGTAATGGTTAAATAAAAAAATCAGGTAAACAATCCAATACTTGCGCAAACCTTCTTTTTATCTCCTGCCTCTTACTACTAAAGACACAGGACACCCTACAGAAAGGAATTCATTGGCTCATAAGATTTGTGATGCAAATAAAAGATATTGCATAAAATACAATTTGCATTTGATCTCTAAGTAATAGAGATTTTAGTTTCCATGTTGCTGCTTGGCTGGGCTGCCATAGAACTTTTTCCAAGATAGTCAGTAAAATGCAAAGTCAAATCTAAGTTGAAGCCATTGAGACCAGATCAGAGAATATTAAGCTCAGCAGTTCTATGGACTCTACTAGAGATATGTTTTTCATATACTTGGACTTAAAAATTCTTCTTTTCCTCTTCCTCTTTTTTCTTTGTCTCGCACTTATTCATTCCCGTTTTTTTTGTATATACTCATACCAATTTCCTATTAATACTTTCAAGTTTACTATTACTATTATGTAGGATATGTATAATTATAATTTTAGGCAAACAAAGCCACATATTAGATTTTTCTTATTAAAGTTTTCACTCCTTAAAAGTCTTTCTTCCTTTCTGCTTTTCTGGTGATCCAAGATTGATAATGGTTTTGTTTGAACACCATACATTTCCAGTGTGTGGTGAAATTGTATGTTTTAGAAGGATCAAGTCAGTAATAATAAATTCTAGAATTGCTGGAGGTAAGATAATTTATTGTTCTAGTCTAAAACATGCTGAGAATAGACCTTTGTTATTTGATGAATTAAGGTCCAGTAAGCTTTTGGTCAGAGTTCTTTCTAGGAAAATGTAGTTATCTATAAGCTTTTACACATATCTGTTTTACTTTACTGTTCTTGCTAAAAAAATACAATACAAATACAAATATTATCAAGTACTTTGAGAAAAAATAACAAGGAATAATAAAATAATAAATGAAAAAGGTAGTACACATGTATTACATGCTTTAAGAAAATTTCAAAAATCAAAGATGGTCCCGTCACAGTACAAGACTAATTCTTGGTTGTCTGCTTTACCCTTGAGAGTTGATTTATCCTCATGTACTTTTTACAAATGTCTACTAACCACTTTTTATTTAATTTAGAGGCTTTATAAATAATCATAATCATGAAAAACAGTAACTCATATATGGAAAAGAAGAGAGTTTTGAAATATCTTTCAAAGTTCTTGCTTACTTATTGGTTCAGCCCTTGAACAAAATATTCACTGTCTGAGCTGAGCATGGTGGTGCATGCCTGCAGTCACAGCCACTTGAGAGGCTGAGGTGGAAAAGTGGCTTGTGTCCAGGAGTTTGTCCAGCCTGAGAAACATTTTAAAAAAGGAAAACACTCACTCTCTCATATAAATAAAATTACCAGACAATGCTGATCACTATCACATGCAATTTATGAAATTAATCATAACATGGATTTGAAAAGGTATCTGTTTTCTTATGTTTGGAAAGAGTTTCATCAGATCCCTAAATTTCTTTAAAGAGTCATTAATCTCCTCAATGGTCATATTGAATAAAACATATATATAATGATTCTTACAACGTTAAATACTAAAAATAGTATTTAAGTTTTAAAATTTTTAGTTTCAAAATGTAAATTAATTTAAAATTTATATTTACTGTCAATATTTCAGCAGCTCTCATTGTTTTAAAAGAGATCTCTATTTGAAAAATAGCTTAGGCAAGTGAATAGCAATTAATATATTCTCAAAATTATTTAGAATTAAGTTGGAATATTCTGAAATTCAAGTTTTGCTAAAATACATATGAGAAAATTATAGGAAAATAATTTTCAAATGTTACTTAGCATTCTGCTACAGTCTTAAATGGAAATAAACACATACACATCAAAGAGCATTCAAACAATGATATGAAGCAGCCTCTAATAGATTTAGAGATCAAAATTAGATCAAAATTACAAATACTGAGGAATCTTATCTGTGATTATCTTGTGAGAGCCAGTTAAAGCACAGATCACAGTATAATTTGTAGATAAGATTTTTCTATTTCCATGTTTTTTAAAAAGCAGAGTCAGGGTTTGCCAGAGGAATAGAACCAATAGTAGAACAAATAGGATGTGTGTGTGTGTTCATATATATAAGAGAGACTACAATGTTATAAGGTAGTGGCTTACATAATTATGGAGGCTGAGGAGACCCATAATCTGCCATCTATGAGCAGAAGACCCAGGAAAGTCATTGGTATGGGTTAAGACCCAAGAGCCAGAGAACTGATGGTGTAAATTTCAGTCTGAGCATTAAGTCCTGAAAACTGGGAGTGACTAGGGCAAAAGATGAATCTTCCAGATTCCATTGTCAGGAGGAGATCAAATTTGACCTTCCTTTGCCTTTTTGTTTTATTCAGGTTCTCAACAGATTGAATGATTCCTACCCACATTGGTGAGAGCATGTCTTTTCTACTCAGTCTACCAATTGGAATTCCAATGTCTGCCAGAAACACCCCTGCAGATACATCCTGAAATAATGTTGTTCCAGCTATTTGGGCATCCTGTGGTTCAGTCAAGTTGACACATAAAATTAGCCACCACAGGGAGTCACAAAGGTATCCAGTGAACACAAAGATTTTTCTAATGTACAGAAAGATTTACCTTTAATCTTCACTGAGTATTTCTCAGGCCCTCAGAGGAATTCTAGAATACGACTCTAGAATCCAGTTACTTGTGGTTTCCTCTCCAAGTTGAATATAACTGACAACCCTGGTACCGAATCTGAACACTGTGTTAAGAGGCTCATGCAAACCATTCAATTTTTTGTTGTACTGACAGCAACAATAATATTCCATTTGCTTTCATTTCTATATACTGTAAAAATACATTCTTTTTTTTTGTCTGAAACCTAGACAAAGTAGTACGTATGAGAAATACTAATCTCAGAAAATGGTACTCTGCCTAACTGTATGAAGTTCAACATGCAGTAACCCTATGTCATTCACTTTCTTCTTTATTCTAACCTTAGGTTGTCATTTTCAGTTTGGTAAAAATGGAGCTTCATTGGGCCTAGTGCCATCTGTACGTAAATAACTGCATGGACTCACTTGATCCCTTGTACTATGTTTTGAGTCATACACAAGAAAGATGAATATAAAAAGATAAAATTCACATTTCTCACACCCAGTAAATTTTCCAGTTGTCAGAATAGATTGAGACTGCATTCATAGAAATTGCCTCTTTGAGAGCTCACTCTCTAAGATTTTTAATGGCGTTGTGAATTTTTTCTCCCAGACACTTTTTTCCTCTGTCAAAAGGTGCAAATGTTTACTCTTTTTCATCATTTTAAAACATTTCTTTCATTCATCTTAAAAAATTAACATATGCTTTTGTAAGCCATATTCTTGAAAACAAAATCCAATCAGAAAGTGGTTGGTGCATTTGTACAATATAGCCATGAGGGCATTTAATATTTTTGGAACAGAAAAGATTCAGAGGTTTAAAAGAAAGCTGGAAGACTTCATAAACAAACATATATAGCTTTTAAATGTGATTAACAAAATCCCTCAGAGTTGAATGGTCTTCATGAGCCTCCTAACACAGTGTTCAGATTCGGTACCAGTGTTGTCAATTATATTCAACTTGGAGAGGAAACCACAAGGAACTGGAGAAATACTCAGTGAAGATTAAAGGTATATCTTTCTGCACAGTAGAAAAATCCTTGTGTTCCCTGGGTACCTTTGTGACTCCCTGTGGTGGCTAATTTTATGTGTCAACTTGACTGAACTACAGGATGCCCAAATAGCTGGCACAACATTATTTCAGGATGTATCTGCAGGGGTGTTTCTGGCAGACATTGGAATTCCAATTGGCAGACTGAGTAGAAAAGACCTGCTCTCACCAATATGCTTAGGAATCATTCAATCTGTCGAGAACCTGAATAAAACAAAAAGGCAAAGGAAGGTCATATTTGATCTCCTCCTGACAATGGAAACTGGAAGATTCATCTTTTGCCCTAGTCACTCCCAGTTTTCAGGACTTAATACTCTGACTGAAATTTACACCATCAGTTCTCTGGCTCTCGGGTCTTAACCCATACAAATGACTTTCCTGGGTCTTCTACTCTTAGATGGCAGATTATGGGTCTCCTCAGCCTCCATAATTATGTAAGCCACTACCTTATAACAACATTGTAGTCTCTTTCATATATATGTATAATGAACACACACACACACACACACACACAGACACACACAGACACACACATCCTATTGGTTCAGATCTGAGGCCAGCACAATGCTGGGCCTTGCCTTAAGGGCGACAAGTTCTCCCAGGCCCGGTGCATGTCCAGAAATGTCTGGGAGCTGGGGATTAGAGTGAAAAACATTAGCAATTTACCATATGTTCTATATTCTACTACAGGTAAGCTGGCACTCAAGTCATAATACAAAGTCCTTCCCACTCTTTCCTCCCCTTTTTAAAGGCAGAGGAGCCTCTCCCTGTGGCTGCCACCACCACTAACCCACAGCAGTGGTTGTACGTTCTGCCCGGCCACCTCTGATATTCACCTAAAGCACAGGGGCTCCTCTGTCAACTTGTGGTGGATGCTGCCAGACCTGGGACTCATCCTTCAGGGAAGTAGGCTCCCATTTAGCCCATGGCAGGTTCAGACATGCTGCCCATGAGCCTAGGCCTGGACTCAAGGACTCCAAGGACCCACTTGTTGCTCTACATCCTGTGGCTTAGCTGGTATCTAGGGTGAAAAACAAGCCCCCTTTATTTTTTCTCTATTTTTGTCACACAGAAATAATCTCTCATCACAGCCACCACAGCTGGGATCATGATGGGTCACTCCTGAAGCCAGCACATCTCAGAGCTCTAGGCCCAAGGTGTACTCCCTAGGTACTGTTGATGGTTATTCAGGGTCAAAGGGCTCTTCAGACACCAGGTGATGAATCCTGCCAGGACTGTGTCCTTTGCTTTAAGTCAGTGGGCTTTCTTTCAGCCCAAGGTGTATCTAGAGATGTCTGGGAGCTAGGGCCTGCAATGGGGGCCTCACAACTCTGCTGGGTGATGCCCTATCCTACTGTGGTGGAACTGTTATCCAAGCTGCAAAACAAAGTCCTGTTTACCCTTCCTTCTCCTCTCCTTAAACAGAAGAAAGGAGTCACTTTCATTTTTATGAGCTACACTGCCTAGTGCTGGGGGAGGGATGGCACAAGCAGTTCCTTAGCTGCACCAGGTGGTGTCTGCCTAGATCACGTGCCGCCATAGTTCACTGGCTCTATGCCCAGCCTAGCACTAGGAATTGCCTAGGAATTGTATTCTTTGTGTCCTATTCTGCCTATCAAATTTACCTAGAAACTCAGAGCACTTAAGTTCACGGTAAGGAGTCATGCTGAGAAACTCAAGTCCTAATTGCTGGGATGAGTGATTCCCCTCTGGCTAGGACTGGTCCAAATGCTCCCTCCATGAGTACAGGAGAACTGGTTGAGCCCAGTATGGCTTTATTCTCCATCATGACAAAGCAGCAATGAGTTCAATGTAAAGTTCTGCAGTCACTTCACTCCAAAGATTTCCTGTCCGTGCCTCACAGCCACTGCCAGGGGTGGTGTTGGCGATTTAAGACTGTCTCTCCTGCCCTCCTCAATTCCTCTTACCATGATATAAAGTTAAAACGAGGTACTGTGATGGCTCAACTGATTTTTGGTTCTTGTGACAGTGCTTTTCTGTGTGTGGATAGTGGTTAAAATTTGGTGTTTCAGTGGAAGGGGAACAAATGGCATAGGTTTCTATTCTGACATCTTGCTCTGTCCCTGGAAGACTTTTTGTCTGGCACATTTTGCCTTTAGTGAGTCACAAACTGAAGTTGTCTCTTTTTAATGTATAAATTAATGAATATATGTTATTCCATGTCCAAAGTCCTAAAATTCAAATATTTTATGTTAAATAATAAGAAAATACTCTTGGTTATATGACTAACTTAGAATTAAAAATATTTAGTTTGACCTATAGCTAGATTTTTAATATAATGTATTTTGTGTATAAAGAGAGAGAAAAAGAGAGTTAGGTTTAAGGCCTGTGATAGGAGGGTTTTTACATGCATTAAATACTATTGAAATGTATTATCTAAATACCAACAAACCTGGATTGACTTGAAAATGTTTTCTCATATTAATGTGAAATAAACCGTAATAAGAAACTTGCAGAATCATCCAGACTTCACTTAAAATAAGACAATATTAAATAAAGCTTTCCTGTATAAGCAAGCTTGCTCCTATCAATATTATTTCAAAAGAGAAAGCAACAAAGGTAATAAATAAATAAAACTATTTAAAGAAATGTTTCTTAAATGATTGTTTCCATTTACAGTAAACTGGCTTTAAACATTGATGAAGCCAACAAATGTAGTATTGTAAACAACAAACACATTTGCTTGAGGGCACCACAGACTAACAGTTCACCATTTCTAACACCGAAGATTTTCACATTTCAAATTGGCCTTCTTCTCATTTTCCTGCTCTGTCATTCATTCTCCTTGCATTTCCCTCCAACCACCTAATTCTTATCCCATCATATTTCATTTCTGGCTGTTCTTTCACATAGTTCTTCAAAAAATTAATATCCCCAAACTTTATTACCCACAATGTTCTCATTTATCCACGTTGTTGTTTGTATTGAAAATCATCAATTAAGTGAACTGAGAGTGGTTTAGTGTGAAATAGCATCTTAAAGAATGTTTCTAAAAAGAAGACTGGACACTACTCTTTTGAAAAAAGTGCTTCTTTTTAAAATCAGTTCTGCTTAGGACAGTCCAATGGTCCCTTGACTTGCTTTGTCAGGATTTTAGCTGCTGCATCACTTAGCTCTGGGTAGTTGGAAGCAGGTCAACCTGTGACTTATGCCTTAATAAAATGTTCTTGTTATTAGCTTACCTTGGCCTTGTGTGTTCACTGCTGACTCAATGGTAGTTCTAATTAAAATTCTTAATTCTTGGCTATTTCAGTGCCTGAATATTGTATTGCAGGTGCTGTTGTAACAGAATGAATCAATAGAAAACAAATTATAGAAACATTAGTTCACTTATTGTCATGCTTATATTCTGGAGGGTTGGGTAGATTTTTTTTCCCTTCTTTATCTGGTCACCAAATTTTGTTAGATTGTCATGTTCTCTTAGATAACAAATCCTGAAAATCGCTCTCAAAGCATGGCTCTTTATTATTCCTAAATGAGAACATCTTCTTCTCGTGGCGTAATAGGCAATTCAGACATCCCTGGGCATTCTAAGTAAGATATAAGACAGGTCATCCTCTGAGTTTGAAGGAGATGAATGTGGTAAAACACCATCCTGATGATGCTTTAGATTGCTGACCTTGGTGTAGGAATGAAAAGTGATTTTAAATTCAAAGCAAAGTTAGTAGAGCTTCACTGCAACCTATTAAGCTGATATCCTAGGCTTGCATTTTTTCCAGTTTTTGTGCCTGACCCCATCAGCCTCTGGAATTCATCACCACAGTCTAAATGCCCTCTTTCTTTGTCAGTATCTAAACACTTCCCCAAGCTTTTAGCAAACTAGCACAGCAGATTCTCAAATAACCTGTACAATCAGTCTACTTCCCCTTAGAATGGTATCTCGTGCATATCCACTCTTGTTTTAGGAATAGTGCATGCTTTTTTTTAATGAAGCATTTTCTGAAAGTTTTAGACACCTGCCCAACACTCCTCCTCGAAGTGTTTTTAATATAATAGCGTGTTTCACACTATATTGTATTCCTTGCTAACATGCATACTTTCCTTGTCAGACTGAAACATTGATAAAGAAGACTCTGTGCCCTATCAAAATTTGTACTTTTTGCATCTGGTATAATGTTTCAAATATACTAGGTCTTCAATAAATGTTTGTAGAATGAATGAATGAATGACTGTTCTATGTCATCAACTGGACTGTCAAAGCATGGTGGGTAAGTGTAGCAACTCTTACCACCCCCGCAACAAAATTAAGTTGATGTCTTGGCTCTGCCTCTGACTAGCACCGCAAGTTTATTCATATCACTTCTTTCACTCTCAATGTGTGCTTATTTGTAAAACATGATGATAGCAGGACAAGATTCATAAACTTGTTATAAGGAGTAATGAGTACAAAGTTTATCAAAATGCCCTGCCTAATGACTGTGGGTGTGTTCATGCCTTTTTATGTAATATATTTTAAATTATTCATAAATATTGAATAATATACAAGGTATCCTGTATAAGTTGGTTCTATATAACATAATAAGGAGAAATATAAAGACATACAAATGTATATTCGTCTATATCATTGGTATTGGAGAATACAGAAGTTACTCCCCTTCACTCAAATAGGTGAATTTTTATTTTTCTCATTTTGTTTTGTTTTCTCTCATAAACAGAGTAATAAACAAATGAGCTCCTCTGATGTCTTCTCTTTTTCCAGGAAAAATCAAGATTTTCTCTTTTCTACTGTAACCTGTTTTATGATTATGTGCAAACAACATCTCCTTCAATGAATCATAGTAATGCAAACTCTTTTTCCCTCTTTCAACACTATCATATTTTTCTTAAAAATAATTAAGAATTCTGGGTCTCGTATCTCTCAATTGTAAAATCTATGTGTTGAAATAGATGATTTCTAATTATTACTCATATCAAGGAATCAGCTAATTTTTTCTGAGTGAGTGTTTATATCCAGGGCACGATGGCAAATGTCCAACAAATGTATAACAATAATTTAATCCAGGAAACAAATGAAAACTTGAAGAGGAGTTTAGGGTATATAATGAGCAAAGTCAGAATTGATCATTCAATAATTCATATGTGCTTTATTCAATAAATATATTGTTGACATTTTACTATGGACCAAAGGACTAGTATGTGCTGAGTGCCTACAATTTTCTAAATATTCTTTACATAAATTGTATTGTTGAAATATTTTCAATTTCCCAATGCATTTTATTGTTATTTCCTTTGTTCTACAGATAAGGGAACTGAGGTACAAAGCTATTAAAGAACTTGCTTAATAACTCTGTATCTCAGTTCACTTATCTGGAGAACAAAGAAACAGAAACAGAGAACAAAGCTGTTAAGATCACATAGTAGGTACGTGGGAAATCTGAGAATCAAACTCATGTCTTTCGCAGTTTGAGTCTCTTCACTAGCCTTGGTTGAGAGGATAGCATTTTCTCTGACTGGAGAGATTGATGTGTACTCTAAAGAGAGAGAAGTGATGCTCCAGGCTCTAAGAAGGAAGGCTATGTTACATAATGATGAATTCCAAAGTGTAATGAGGTTCAAGGGCATCTAACTAAGTCCAAAGCTCTCATTCTTTCATGATTATCAGCATTACATCTAAAGAGAAATTTATCTTGCGGCCCTTAAAATAAAGGATGTTTAATACAAAAACCAGAGCATCCATTCATTGCAGTATTTATTTATTTAGCCTTGAAGATATTGATTGAGTTTTTACTCTGTGTAAACACAGTGCAGAACACTGCAGACGTAATCATGAATGAAACTTTGGCTCTGCTCTCAATAACTAAAGAATGTACTGATATTTATTTGCCTGTTTTCCTACTCCTCAAGGGTCTTCCTTGATCCTCTCCTATTCTTCATAGTCCTCCTCATTGTATTGCCAGGTCTTTCTTGATCTGATACAATTTTAAAAATACTTTTCCCCCTGACTTTTATTTCATTAAAATCTACTTGTCTATCTTTACCATTGCTGGTGTCTTTTTCTCGGCTTCTTTGCCTCCTCTGCACTCATTTACTAATTCATTTGTTCTTCTTAGCACTTTTCATTGCCTCCTAAGAATGACATGTAATTTTTGGAATGTGCTGTGCTAAAGCTGGCTTATCCTATTTGGTAATGGGGTATCAATAATTAATTGTGCTCATCTCTTCTCAATTCTATGTTTAGTAACTTTATGGTGATATCTTAAAATCGGTTTTGGTGGAAGTTTGTACACCAAGAAAATTGGAAAATATTACAAATCAGGGCTTTAAAAATTATCCATCGTGCTACTTTTGGTAAGTATATCTCCTCAACTAGCCTAAGAGGGCATTTTTATTTAGTGCTCTAAGTCAGAGGGCTAGAAAAGTACCTGAAACAGTGGGCAATGCTAAATTATTATTACATGAATAATATTGAATAATCCTTTATAAAACCCTTAAATAAATTATAACTTGAAAATTTACTAAGCAAACATTTTTAAATAGTGTGTTATATCTTTAAGTAGTGTGTTATACCTTGGAAATAATTAAACACATATTTTCTTAGAAATATAATAAGCGAAGTGAGTGAATAAAGCTCCCTTGTGCATTTACTGAAGATAACTTGAATAAAATGATTTCTGTAATTATGCCAAATTATTCTTCGAGGAAAAAAATACTGAAAACATACCTTGGGGAGCACAGTCCAAACTCTGCCAGGCAATTAGTTTCTTAGAATATAATTGAGTAGCCCTTTTACCTGCTGGGAAATCATTGCAAAACAAACATTGTACAAAAATGAGTACAAGATGAAAGCAGACTCAACTTTTGGTCACTTGTAAAATTAAACTATAAGGAATTTAAATTTTACTCACAACTCCATTTGTATCTATGTAGTTTCTCTTCCTTCCAAAAGAAACACTTGTTTTTAGAAGAGCAATACTGAAAACTAAAACTTGTATTTTTCCACCTTCGTTTGCAAGCCTTAAGTTGGAATAGGGAGCAGGATAGAAACACGGTTTAAAAGCACTGATTCTAGATTCTAAAGTCTAATGGCTTGCATTTTTTTCCAGCTTCCACTAATTAGTAGCTATCTCATTAGAAGAAAATAATTAACTTCTCTGTATCTGTGTTTCATCAGAAGCAAAGATGTTCATAATAATAGCATTACTTTTACTCAGAGTGTGATTGTAAAGAATAAATATGGTAAAATCTGTATAACACTTAGAACAATGCCCAGAATACTTAGTAAGTCACAGCTGTTTAAACACCACATTTGCTGTATGATCAATGCTTTATTCATATATGCAAATTCCACAGTATTTATTTTCAGTTTAGAAAGTTAATTTATTTGAAACTAGCAACTGTGTTGTGAGCTATGAGTTTTGGAAGACCAGGAAAACACATTCATTCAGAAATTCAGCATTTTCTGAGTACTCACAATGTTCTAGCACTATAGCTGTGAACAAAATGGGTTAAAATAATCCTTACTTTTGTGGTGCTTAGACTTTATTGTTCCTTTCTTTTGAAATGTCATGATAAGTAGAGAAAGTATATAAACAACATATAACAAATATCTTAATAAAGTTAATAAACCCTAGATAGTAGATTAATTCCCAACTGGAGAAATAATGGCAAACCTGTTGAACTGCATCTTTTTCCAAAGGAAGTTTATCTGGCTGTACAAGGAGCATAGCATCAGGATCTGCTGCTGGTGAGGACCTCAGGAAATTTCCAAACATGGCAGAAGGCAAAGGGGAGCCCCTGCATCTCATTGGGAGAGAGGGAGCAAGAGAGAGAGAAGGGTGTCTGGTGTCCGGCTCATTTAAACATCTTGTTCCTGTGTGAATTAATAGAGTAAGAACTCACTCATTACCCAGAGGACAGTACCAAGCCATTCATGAGGGATCCACCCCCATGACCTCCCACCAGGCCTCACCTCCAACACTGGGAATCAAATTCAACACAAGCTTTGAAGGGCACAAATTTCCAAACCATATCAAACTGCAACTTTAAACATGAATGACATTGTACCCAAAAGCAAAAAAAAAAAAGAAGGAAAAAAGAGAAAGAGAAATAATTCACATTCAGTATGCTTTACTCAGCGTGCTTTACTAGATATAATCTAGTATTAGTTTATAATTGAATGGTTATTTTACAACAGAAAGAAACTATTTTTCTAACTTGTTGACATCCATCAAGGGTTTCTTGTTTGTGTATTATTTCCATATGTTAGAGGTTGAAATTGTGTAATGCTAACATGAATATGCTGAATCCCTACCCCCAACTACCCCAGATGACTGTATTTGGAGATAGAGTATTTAAAGAGGTCATGAATATTAAATAAGGTCATTGCGTTATGCCCTAATCTGGTATGACTGGTGTCCTTATAAAAAGAAGAGATTAGGACACAGACAAAAGAGACAGATGAAAGACCACACGAGAACATGGCAAAAAGGTGGTTACCTGCAAACCAAAGAGAAAGGCCATTTGAAAAAAACAAACCTGCTGACACCTTGGTCTTGAATTTCTACCTTCGAGAACTATGAGGAAATTAATTTCTCTTGATGAAAACATCCAATCTGTGGTGTTTCTATGGAGGACCTAGAAAATGAATACACTATACTCTTAATTTTCTTAACAGAAATTCTCTGGAAGAAAGCAGTGGTCTAATATTGATGAGATGCAGACATGAATAATTCACAATTCGATTTCAATATTATAATGGAAATGGCAATAGTCAAAATCCAAATATCTATTTGTTTAGATTGGATGTTAATTTTTCTGATAAGAGAAATCCAAAAGCATTGGAGCAGGGTTCTGTAAAGACAGAGATGGGTTATCAATCAGTTTTACAAATATATTGATTAGTTAATGCTTCTTGCTGTAGGTGGAGTTAAACTAGATCTTGAAAGATGTGAAGATGTTAAGAGACCTGTTGTCCAAGGAAAAGGAACTGCATGGACAAAACAATGAGGCAGTATCTGTTTGTTTATTTTCTCCAGAAAAACATTTGTCCCTTTTGTGTTGTAGATTCAGATGTATTTAGGAAGGCCTATTGATGACTATATTTTCAGATACTGGACATAGCAGTTTCAGCACCAAAGCATGTATCTATCTTGGGAAAACAATTAATTTCTGAGGCTTGATTTCTTCAGCAGACAAATGGTAATAATAATAGCAACTACTTTCTAAGACTATTGAGAATGTTAAAAAATAAAGTGTATAAAATAGTATAACAATAGTGACTAGCAGAGTGTAATCACTCAAAAATGTTAGCTGCTTTTGTTATTTGGAAAAAGTTGAATGCGTAGCATTTATTTAAAAGGAAATGTGTTGATAAACTTGAAAACATATGTCAATGTCAAAATAAGGATGAAAATGAAATAATTTTCTTTAATGAAGGACACACATAACTGGAAGCTGTTGAATAGAAGACGAACATGATGAGGAGTTGGAATTTATTGTGTTAATGCTATGATTACTTAGTAAGGCATCATAGCCTTAAGTGTTTCTGTGATAAAAGTTTACAGATTTCAGAGGATAAAATGATAAAATAACAAAAATTATCTGAAAGGACAAGTTGCTCCAAGATTACTTTGTGACGAAGTACTTATTTTTGGTTCTCAGTTTTCAAATTTCTTGTATGTCCTTTTGCTTTCTTCATCTTTTCCAGTTGATGACCTCCTTTTAAACCTTCTAAACTCTGAGGTTTAGAAGATGTGAACTACTCACTGACAATGAGTTATCAGACAGGTGTGTCTCATTCTTGTTTGGGTGGTACATCTAATTTTCAACTTTATAGGGTATGAGACATTAAAACAAAAGGTAATTTTTGTGATGGAACGCAAACAGTTTGTTGGTAGAGCAAATTTTGGGGGATTAAAGAAATTTTTGTTATCATTAGAAGAAATTTACATCAAAAGCTTTTTTATTAAAATTATAGTTTGTGTCTCTCCACTAAAGTTTCACAGTATACAATTGGTACTTAACTTATTTGTTTGCATATTTTCTTGGTAAATGTAAAAAAAAGGTTGTGATACCAACCATTGTTTTCCAATATATAATAATTATAAATAATTACAGTTGCTATTTATTTTTAAAAACCACTTTTTATTAATTATATCATGTAGTTATGAGCTTAATAAGATTTATCTCAGGAAGTTATTATTCTTATTAATATTTTATTCCTAATCTTTTTTATGTAGAAAAATATTAGTTAATTGGAGAAATTTCTGGACTGATTACTATTTGTACAACACAATTATAAATGACTCAATTGCTGAAATCTTAACTCTTTTTAGTAATGATTACAACAACATGCTTTCTCTCCCATTCTAAATTCATGTAAAAACAACTTAACCCATGCGTTATTTCGTGGTTATGTAAATAATCATATAAAATTCTTAAAACTATGGTATGTAAAGAGAAAAATGTCATATGGAAAAAAAATCACAATGTATTATCACCAAAATAATGTGAATAAACTCACCAAGTGATACAGCTGATACTTGAAAATCCTGGCTCTGTCTAAAATATACTAAATCTTAATACATACTAAACTTATGCAAATTCTCCAAAAAGCTATGTTTACTAAGCACTTTGTTTACTATAATTAAACTAAAAAATTACTTTAATTAAGTGTATAGCAGATTCACAAAAGATCAATAAAAGCCTGGCATGTTTAGTGTATATATTTAATCCTTCTTATTCCCAAAAAACCAGAACAATACGAAACAAAATATTTCCCTTCTCTCACGTCCCTGTACTGTCATGAAACATGACATGGAATGGAAATTTTTATCCTACTAAGTCAACCTTTATAATTTTAAATAGGCACATTTATAGAATATAATTAATATAAAATTTATATATAGCAACAGAAATGTTTTTGTAAATATCTAGAACTTTTTTTAGATAATGCTTTGTGTTTTCGTTAATGTGATATATCAACACATAAATAGAAGATGAAATATTATGCAAATTTTTAAATATATTCATTTTATTCTCACCCTTTCCTATAGTCAAAACAGCAAGTTGATGACTTCAAATAATAATGATTTATATGTCTGTTTATTATTACATAAAAATAATTGTATATAACCTTTTTTCCCGAAATATTTTTAAAGAATTATATTGCAGAGCCTGCAAAAGTTGGCAGTAAGTCTAATTTTTTTTAATTTCAGCATTGATAAACCTTTAGTGTGAAGTCTTTCATGGATAATCAAATTCCTATTTTCATAATACTGTAATTTATCAAATTATTTGTCTTTACACTCTACAGCCAAATCAGTTGTAATTAACAATACTTTCTTAGCCAAAGAGGATGCCATTGGAAACATCAGATTATACTTTTTGGAGATGAAGACACAGTGTAAGAAAGGCGGAAAAAAAGTAACAAAAACATTAAAAGACCACCACAATTACTCATACACATACAATGATAAACTTGTTTAAAACATTAAGTTTTTGTAATCTTACTATCTTCAGGTATATGTTAAAATGCTCCCCTCTATTCCAATATTTAAATTCTAATGAAATACAGTATTGACATATGTGCACCTTTTAAAAACTATTATACAATTGGAATGTGAAATATAAAGATTTAAAATATCTGTTTACTGACCTGAAATTCAATATAAGCCACATCATGTCATAGGCAACATTAAGAACAGTAGTCATACCATTTGACCCAGCCATCCCATTACTGGGTATATACCCAAATGACTATAAATCATGCTACTATAAAGACACACGCACACGTATGTTTATTGCGGCATTATTCACAATAGCAAAGACTTGGAACCAACCCAAATGTCCAACAATGATAGACTGGATTAAGAAAATGTGGCACATATACACCATAGAATACTATGCAGCCATAAAAAATGATGAGTTCATGTCCTTTGTAGGGACATGGATGAAATTGGAAATCATCATTCTCAGTAAACTATCGCAAGAACAAAAAACCAAACACCGCATATTCTCACTCATAGGTGGGAATTGAACAATGAGATCACATGGACACAGGAAGGGGAATATCACACTCTGGGGACTGTGGTGGGGTGGGGAGAGGGGGGAGGGATAGCATTGGGAGATATACCTAATGCTAGATGACGAGTTAGTGGGTGCAGCGCACCAGCATGGCACATGTATACATATGTAACTAACCTGCACAATGTGCACATGTACCCTAAAACTTAAAGTATAATAAAAAAAAAAGATTAAATTGACATTTAAATTTCTCAAATCTTAAAAAAAAAAAAAAAGAACAGTAGTCATTATGGAATCATTAAATGAGTAATCTTAATTTTAAAAATGCAGGCAGAGACTTTAATAATCTTTCAAATTAAACTCTTCCCCTAACAAAGAACTAGCAGAGGTGGAAAAAACATCTTGCAGTCTTATACTTGGAATTACAAAAATAGGTGGAGCGGTGTGATTTTGATTATATGACAAGTTATGTAGTAGGCAAATGTTCTTGCTTTGAAGTCATGATATTTGCTTCTCTTTTGTATATTCTAGAGAGATACATGCAAAAACAAAGAAAAGTAAAGTAAGAAAATCTGGTGTTCATGAAAGTCATCTTCCTTGATCTCAAACTTTTTCACAGATGAAGTATACATTACGGCCACAGGAAAAAATATATATTTGGTAATTTGTCTAGATGTGCCAAGAGAAGAAAAACTGCCAAAATGGAACCTGCTTTTTTTTTTTTCTGAATGAATAATTATACAACAGGAAATAAAAGAGGACATATCTTTAACACATTGAAACATTCACATAGCAATGAAGATAGGAATTTTAATGATAGAGTTAGTGTATGAGTTCTTCAGGTAAAAATAAATGTTAAAACATTTATAAATTGACGATAGCCATGTTTATACCTATTATTTTCTCCATATGTTTTTGTCAGCCCTGTGGTACTGGATTATGAATTGCCGAAGCTATTTTTATTGGGTTAGGTGGACTGTTCTAATAATTTTCTTGGAAAGGCAGACTATAAAATGATGTCTGAAGATATACTTTTCTGCTTGCTCCTAATTATTTTCAATGTTTTGTGTTTTGTTTTTCCTTCACAGACTAACATATTAGCTCCTCATGGACAGCATTTAAAGTCCTCTATGATGTGATCCCAGCTCATTTTTACTGTTGGTCATCATACATAAGTGCTGCAGCCAAACAGAAATATTAGCAGCTTACACATATGTTTCATATTTTCACATTATTTAGTATATGCTAAACCTGCACTTCAGTCGCAATGACGTATTTCCCCATGATTCAATCTTTTTAAAAGTTTGTTACTACAATTTAAGGCCTCTGTCCTGGAAATCCCCAGAGCACTTTGTCTGTATGACACATAGTAGAACTTAAATAAATATTTTAGTCACCTCAACTGTGAGCATCCTTGACAATGGCACTGCGTGCTATTCATCTTTGAATTTTTTTTTCTTGCTATCCAGGGTATAACATATACCTTAAAAGTTAAATATTGTTTCTTGAAGAAAATACGGATGGCCCCCCTTTAAATAATATCCTGGAGGAGAAAACATAAATATATTTTAGTAGGTGCTGTTGCAAAGTCAGTGTTGTGTTTTGCTAGAAGGTTAGAATTTTATAAAATTATTTTCAATATACAATCATGAGACTTACTGGTTATGAGTTGTTTCTATTCCTTATTAAAAAAATTAATTGAGGTATTTCTCTTAAGAAAATACATTTATTAGAAATGATTTATGTGAACTCATTTTCTTAGTATATATCTAATATATATTACATATATTCATTATATTAATTAATCATACACACACACAGAGAGGAGAGGGGGAGAGAGAGAGAGAGAGAGACAATTTCTACTGAACCCTGCTTTTTCCTAGGGAAAAGTATTATTCATTTATGAAAACAAAATCAACAATAAAATACTTAAATAGTTAAAGCTGCCACTGAATTAGAATTAAAATGTATATGCATTTTTTTGGTTACAGAAACAAATGACAGTGTAAGAAAAAGAGACTTTCATATATAAAACTTTAAAAAATTATATTTAAGTCTATTGTCTAACACATTTTCTACTTATCTTTTTGTTTTGGCTTTCAGTACTCCACAGTAAACTTCAGCTCCAAATTATAACATATTTTAGCCTATAATTTTGTTTCAATTTATTTTTTATTCTAATTTTTATTTATAAATAAGTTATGAATATAAATTATAAATAATTTTTATTTATGTTATGTTTATCTTTTATTAAAATAACAAAAACAACAAAACGTAAAGACAAGAAGCCACATTAGGGTTTATAATAAAATCCAGCAGTCCTTTAATTAAGTTCCTAAATTAGTTAATTTTGATTCGTGAGGTGAGCTGTTTGTTTTTTTGTTGCTGTTGTTAATTAATTAATTAATTTATTTATTTAGTGGCAGGGTCTTACTGTGTCGCCCAGGCCGGAGTGCAGTAGCATAATCATAGCTCACTGCAGTGTCCATCTCAAGTGCTCAAGTGATCCTCCTGCCTCAGCCTCCCAAATAGCTGGGACCACCGGCATGCAACACTATGCCTGGCTAATTTGTTTATTGCTTTGGTAGAGACAAGGTCTCACTATGTTGTCCAGGGTGGTCTCCAACTCCTGGGCTCAAGGGATCTACTCACCTCGGCCTCCCAAAGTGCTGATTATAGGCTTGAACCACTTCACCTGGCCCAAAATGAGCTCCTTATGAAGAGAGTTTGGAGGTCAGAGAGAGAGAGGCTTTTCTGCTAGCCTTGAAGAAATGTTTCCATGCTGTGAGAGAGGCTACAAGAATGTCAAGAAACTGCAGTGGCCTCTAGAGGACAAAAGCAGACCAGGGTTGACAACCAGCAAGAAAACGGATGTTTAGTCATACCTCAAATTAATTCTGCCAACAACCTGATTAAGCTTAGAAAAGCAGAATCTTTCCCAGAGTCTCCAGATGAGATATCCTTAATTTGTCCTTGTGAGACCCTGAGTAGAGAGCCCTACCTGGACCTATGACCTTCAGAAACTGTGAGATAATAAATGGGTGTTGTTTTCAGCTGCTCAATTTGCAGTAATTTGTTATGCAGTAATACCAAACTAATACAGGGTGAATAGGAGTAAATGTTGAGACCTTGGATTAAGACATGAAAATGTTTTAGTCTCACACACTTAAAATGGTTAATATTCTTGTCTGCTAGTTTCTTTATGTTATTTCTGATGTGTTTCTATTGATTATTATAGGTTGAAAATAAAATCCTTCACAATTTACAAAACATTGTTTGAATTCAACACTGTTCTTGAAGTCAATGCCATTCAGCTTCTAGTCTATGTATTTGGCTTGACTTTATTGTTTTGCGGTTACTATATGGTTTAGAGTATACATCTTATTTTATCTCAATCCACAAAAATAATTATAATACACCACACATAGTGTATTTTACTTCCATATTCTTCCATTTCTCCTTTTCTGCACATTGTGCTATTGGTGTCATACAGTCTAGGTCTAAATATATTACAAAACCCACAATATACTATTACTGGTTTTGACTTATATAATCATATTTTAAAGGGTTCAAAAATTGATTTTAAAGTCTCATACTCACTTGCGTGTTTTGCATTTCAGGGTTCTTAATTCCTTTGTGCAGATCCAAATTGCTACCTGGTATTGTTTTCCTCTGCTTGAAAATTTTATTTAAAATGTATTGTGCTGCAGGTGTGTTGGCAATAAATTATCTCAGCTTTTGTTTGTATGGAAAATACACTATTTTGCTCTCCTTTCCAGAATACATTAACCTAGGTAAAAAATGTAGGGTTGAGAGTTTTTCCTTCAATATTTTAAGGATGTCATTCCATTATCTTTTAGGTTGCATTGCTTCTCGTAATAAGTTGGCTATCATCCTTAACATTGTTTCCTTCTGCATACTGTACTCTTTATAAATATTTTAATGATTTGTTTATTGCTTGTTTAAAAATATTGATTATGATAGGCCTTATGTTGGTTCTGCTGGGGGTTTGTTGATAGTGGAACTGTGGGTTTAATGCTTTCATTCAATTAGGGTATGTTTTGGAAATCTTTCCTTCAAATATTCTTTTTCCACTTTCCATTATCTTTTGTAAGCATTTGGAACTACAATTACACATATGTCACATTACCGAATTATATCAAATAACACCTTGATACTATAATTTCTTTCAATCTTTTATTCTCTGTGTATGTTTTTTGCTAGGGTTTTTGCTCTGTCTTTAACTTCACTTCTATTTTGTTATGCAGTGTCTAATCAGTGGTTAATTCCAATCAATGTACTATATTTCAAAGAATATATTTTTTCTAGAAGTTTTTTATAAGAATTTTTTCTCTCTTCCAGTACTTTTCTTATTATTTCCTCTACCTTCATTAACACATGAAACATATTTTGATAACTATTTTAATATTCTTGTCATCTAGTTTCTCTATGTTATTTCTTATCTGTTTTCTCCCAGTTATGACTTATACTTTGCCTACTTGGGTCATATTTAACTGAGTGATATATTTAATTAAATATTGCTTGCTAGATATAGTTTTATTTTTCATGTACTAATGAATTTTACTCTATTATGAGTTTAAGAGAGTAGAATCAGTGGCATTCCTTCAATTAGTAATTTTAGGTTTGATGTAGAGTAGTGATCAGTGACCAGAAGAGTTTTTGGCAGCCTTTAGTCACGGGGTTATTTATTGCCATTAATAAGGCAGTACATTTTCTACCCAATATTCTACCTGATAAAAACCAATTACTCCCACCTTTGTGAACTTTGTGAATTGTCCCGAATACTGGTTAGAGATGATATTTATCTCGTCATTAGATAGTTGCTATTCACACATGGACAACTCAGTACTCAACTAATGACTTACAATGAATATTCTTCTAATCATTAGCACTCCCTTCTAGTCCATCTCCACCTCCCTTCACAAATTCTAGCCATGTTGGCCTCCTCAAACTCCAACTCAATCTCTTTAACTTAGGAAGCTTGTTAGACTTTCTATTGGTTCTCCTACTTGTGTTGTGAAAGTGTCTCCAGGCAGTATATTGATGCAATCCTAGTTCACCTTGTTTATCATTCTTCTTTCAGGGATGACAATTATTCACTTCCTGTTGCCCAGTGAATGTAAATCATTATTGTTTTCTAAGTTATTTAAGAAAGAAGGTTTAATTCTATCCCTGTTATTCTATCTTTGTATTAAGATTCCCTTAAATTTAAAGTAAAGCAGTGTAGTAGAAAAAATAAATTCCACTACTATGAAAAATACATTTTAAAGGGGTAATGAAATCTCATGTTGATAATAAACCTATTTTATAATTTTTAGATACAAATGAATGTTAATCTTCAATATATGACCACTAATTAATTAATTACATTTTAAAACATTTATAACAGTATCAATAGAAAAGACTTCTAAATAGTTGTAATAGGCCACTTTACAACATACTAATTTTTTCTCTTTGTGTACATAGAAAAAGTTAATTACATATATTTTGTGTCAAATAATATTTTTATTTCTAGATATTTGGGAAAATAGTTAAATGACATTTTTTCTCAGAACATTTTTATACTTAATAATATTCTCTTTAATTCTTTCAGATATGATTCCAAATTTTCAGTCACTTTTCCTTAATTTCTAGTTATTCCATCATTCCTTTAGAGACTTTTTTTCACATGTTATATTTCAGTCATATTACATTAAGGCTGCTTGGGCTTGATTTAAAATAAACTCGTTCTGCAAAGTGACAGTAAAAATCAGCAAAATAAAATGTCATTGCAAACTGCCAAACTGCCTTATGTTTTGTGGCCAAAGATGATAAAAATTGACTATATGATCTTTAACGATCAGGTTGACAGATCTGTGGCCAAATTTCTGTCAATTCCTAGTTTCAAATTACTGAAGCAATAAATATAAGACAATAAGAAACAGATGAAATAATACATTCTGTTAGGTATTTAGAAGTGGGAAAATATATAATAAAAACAGAAAATGTAAAACAGTTATTAAGTAAATGAATATACTATGTCTTGTATTATTTTTGAAACACAAATATATAAACATTTGTACTTCTCTTTATGTCAAAAGTAAGTGGGTAAGCAAAGACAGGAACTCTTACCTAACTCAAAATTAATCTATTTGAGGCTTAAACTTTATTGCACTTCAGTCTAGTATCCATTTCCATGTGTTGCACTTATGTTAGGAGAGTTAATAGAATAAATACAGTGTTAGATACAAAACAGGTGCTTAATAAATCAACGTTAAATTGAATTTAGAATCCTTTATTCCAAAATCTCTTACCTGGAGTCAGAGATCTACCGACAATAGATTGAGTAAGCAGCATCCACCAAGCTAAAAGACAGTATTCACATAACAACACCTTAACAAAGATTGCTATAATGGTATAGATGTATAGATATTTTTGGCAAGAACACAGACACAGTTAAATGCTGAAGTAACATAATATGCAAACAGAGTAATGTACTCTTTGATTTTGCTAGTGTGAAGTTTGCTTCACTAGTGGAAAATTGGACCCAGTGGGCCTTGTTTATAAATGCAGAAAGGTTTATAGGGTCTGGGTTAAGGAGTGACCAGTGCAGTTTTAAAATGACTTTCCCAAAATAACATATAGAAAGCCCTTAATTAGTGATTGTCATTCCATTTGAAAAATTAACTGGTTAATGCTGCAAATTGCTTCTTTCTATTTTGAAAATTTAGGTTCTGTCCCGGTCAAAGAAACTAGTACCCCCCTTAAGGTTATTGCTATCAAATTAACATAAGTTTGGCTTTTTTTGTTGGTCCTAAATTTCACACATTTTGCACCCTAAGCAAATGTTAGGTTAACATGTTCCAGATAGCTACATGTGATGCTGAAAGACTTAATTAGCTTGGCTTCGGAATTTGTGGCAGAGGGAAATCTTTACCCCTCCTCTGCCTTAAAGATGTTCCTGTTCTAATCCCTGGGACCTGTGAATGTTATCTCATCTAGTCAAAGGGCATCTGCAAATGTAATTAAATTAGGCATGTTGAAATGAGGAGATAATCCCAGATTATCCAGAGAGGCATGATGTAATTACAAGGGTCCTTGTGTCAGGGAAGCAGGAGGTTCAAAATAAAGAGAATGCAATGTGAGAATGGAAGCTGATTGGAAGGATCCAGCTAGGAGCTAACGAATGCCTGTAACCTTCTTGAAGTTGGAAGAAACAAGAAATGGAGGTTCTCCTGAATCTTCTAGAAGAAACCAGCCTTGTGAACATCGTAATTTTAGCATAAGAATCATGTCAGACTTCTGAGCTCCAGACTTGAAAGAGAAATTTATGTTTCTTACAACACTTAGTTTGAAGTAACCTGTACAGTAATAATAGGAATCTAATAAGGAGAAGGAGACAATATTTTAAAAATTAGCATTTTCCTTGGTTGTCTACATATGGTCATCTTCTTTACCCTTATTGTGATTTCTGAAATTTGTCATTATTTGGCTTTAATTTACAAGTTTCCTTATTTATTTTTATACCTTTTCTCACCCTCAGTAAAATATAATGTCCACAAGAGCCTGTATTTTGTTTTGTTCTCTGCTGTATGATAACAAGACCTGGCATATGATGGGCACTTAGTGAATTTCTATCAAACAATGAGTGAAAACAAGAATGGACACGATTACCATATTGGGGTTTAGAACTCTGTAATAAGAATAATGATTATTTAGCAATGGAGTAAAAAGTCCTTTAGAAAATTAGTAAAGATTTATAATAATAATACACTACATTGAATATTTCTTTATGATTGACATACATTATCATGTAATTTTTTGAATTATAATTTAAAGTTTGAGAAACCAAAGGTCATTTTTCTTTTATCTTTCTAGTCAAAATGTCTAATACAATTTCTTTATAAACAAACAACATTAACTATGACATACTCATAATCTGTCATATACACTGCTAAGAATTTCTCATTCATCATTTTTCCATGCTAAGGATAAGGAAAAAAAATTGAATTTCAGTTGTTTATCCAACATTTCATAGATGTTACATGGCAATAATGTGATTCAGCATCATTTATTGTTGAGCTTGTAGCCCAGGATCTCAATATGAAAAAAGCAAGAAGCCAAGTTGTCAGGTAATAAAGGGGCTATATTTGAGCAAAATTTAAGTCTTGATGATTGTGTGCATATAGGCGAGAAGGAGAGATATCAGTAAAGAAGAATTCAAATGCATCCATAGAAAAAGTAATATACATTGAACAGTAACCATAGGTATGGAATTAAACACAAAGTTTCTTTCCTTAAGATCGTAATAATCTATTTTTGTAGACAACCATTAGAAAAATACTACGAATGATGATGTGTGGCTGTGATAGCAACATGTGCATGGACTTCTCCTACCTCCCTTCCACAGACTTTTATATGCCTCTAAATTAAGGCAGACTGGTCTTTTCAAATGCAACCACTTGCTGAAAACATTCTATAACCTTTCATATTACTCTTGGAAAAATTATTATTCAGCAATATTAATGACCTAATCCTTGTTGCCATCTCAAGCTTTTTTCCATGACCATTTGCTATGAGTCCCACTTTCTTTCTAATATATATGTTTACCCATAGGACTAACTACTGCAGAAGACCATAACTCTTTCTAGAATGTTGTATGCAAACAACATGAACTTCATCACTTGTCAAATATTATTTTTTAGTAAAGCCTACCTTAACGACCCATACGTAGTCACCATTTTACAGCCTATCTCATGACAGCCCCATGTTTAACAGCTGACGAGATAAACTCTCAGAAAAGTATTGTCATGGAAGAAATAAAAATTATAACCAAATTTTTACTATAATTTTTAAAACTGAATAGCAAATGATTTTACTTTCTAAAGGAAAACCACAAAGTAGAAATGCAATGATTAAAATTAAAATAGGAAGAAACAGATAAAATAAACCTATTGCCAAGGAAATATTAAAAAATAACTGGATGAAAAAGATTGTGAAAACCAAAATGGAAAGAGCACAAGCAAGAATAGATACCTCAGAACCTAAAAGGAAAGTAATAATAAATAGCCAACAAAAAATGGCCATTGAAAGTTTTATAAAAAATTAGAAAAATAATGATAGATATAGAAAATAGACAATGAAGACCATTATAGGCCTACTACTAAACCCCAAATAAAAAATAAAATTATAGAAGAGAATATTATTTAAAGATTCAGTTGAGAAGACTTTTCTAAATAAAAGAAGATTTTACATCTGCAAGTACAGTGTAGTGATTAAAAGCGCATGGGTTTATACCAGGCTTTCTATGTGCAAATCATGGCTTCAATGATTACCTGCTTATTTAGCCTCTTGTTGCCCTACTTTAGCCTTCCAAAAAATGGTGACTTTTACTCCATAGAGTAAGAAGCTAATTGAATTAAATAATTTAGTCTACATGAACTGTTTAAACAATATCTACACAATGTACATGCTCAGTATGTTAGTCTTAAAATTACATATTTTGAGGACACACCAGGTTCAGGGTAAGTTGACCCAAAATGGAAAGTCTCAAATATTTTGTAGTAAATGAATGTCATAGAAATGAAAAATCCACTGGGCAACTATGAAAACACATCATGTCACATATAATGATAAGAACGACTCAGACAGACTTACATTTTTCCACTGCAACACTGAACTACAAATAGAAAAATATCTAAAAGATCTTGCAAACATATTGTAACGAAAAATTGTATATCTATAAAAGTTATAACTTTCACATGAAGTCTATAGAAAACAGTTTTAAAAGTCAAGATTTTCAGAAATAATTTTAACATGAATCTTATAAAAAATAAATACTTCCCTTATGGCTCTCAGAACAGCAAGCACTATGGCAATTGGCAAGAACAAGCGCCTTACAAAAGGCAGCAAAAAGGGAGCCACAAATAAAGTGGTTGATTCATTTTCTAAGAAATATTGGTATGATACGATGGCACCAGCCATATTCAATATTAGATATATTAGAAAAACACTCATTACAATAACTAAAGAACCAAAATTGTATTTGGTAGCTTCAAGGACTGTGTTTTTTGAAGTAAGCCTTGTATAATGATAAAATTGCTTTTAGAAATTTCAGGTTAATTATTGAGGAAGTTCATGGCAAAAAACTGCCTGAGTAGGGTATGTATCTTACCCTGACCAAATGGGATCCATGTTCAAAAAATGGCAGACTATGACTGAAACTCACATTGGTGTCACCACTGTTGACATTTAGGTGGTTCACATGTTTTGTGATATTTTTACTACAAAAGGAAACAGATGTGGAAAACTTCTGATGGTCAATACCAATAGGTCCTTTATATCCAGAAGAAAATGTTGGAAATCATAACCCAAAAGGTGCAAACAAATGCCTTGAAAGAAAAGGCCAACAAATTGACTGCTGACAATACTGGGAAAGACATAAAAAGCTTGAAAATCTAGTTATCCTCTCCATAATATTTCCCTTAGAAGATTAAAAATGCTATGAAGCTCATATTTGAATTGGAAAGCTCATGGAACTTTATGATGAAAGTAGGAGTTCTAGAAAAGATTGTGGGGATGGGCTGGGCGTTGTGGCTCACGCTTATAATCCCAGCACTTTGGGAGGCTGAGGCGGGTGGATCACAACGTCAGGAGTTCGAGACCAGCATGGCCAAAGAACCAGCCTGGACAACATGGTGAAACCCCGTCTCTACTAAAAATACAAAAATTAGCCAGGCATGGTGACAGATGCCTGTAACCTCAGCTACTCGGGAGGCTGAGGCAGGAGAATTGCTTGAACCTGAGAGGGGGAGGTTGCAGTGAGGCGAGATTGCACCATTGCACTCCAGCCTGGGCGACAGAGTGTGACTCTGTCTCAGAAAAAAAAAAAAGAAAAGAAAAAAAAAAAAAGATTGTGGGGATGATACAGGTGTGAACATTGAAAGAGCTTATAGATATAATCCACTAGTTCAATAATCTGTTTACAATACAAACTTTTAATGGTGACATAGAAAGTTTTACTTGTTATGAAAGTAAATATTTGAAAACGAATTATAGCTGAGCAAAAAATGAGTGGATAAAGTAGGACTTATTATGAGCATTCGATACAGTTAATTATAAAAACTAAAATTAAAAACAAATAGGTGAAAATATATACAACTGTGATAGATCAATAAAAGCCAAATGAGTGAATTACAGAAAACACAAGTAGAATATTGTTCTTTCTGAAAATGTACAAATAAGACGACTAAAAATTAGAGAGAAATGAAAAAATAAGCCTAGAAATAAAGCGAATTTTTGGACAGTTTCATTTGACCATCACAGGACATAATGTGACTATAACTATGTATATGATATAAGCATATTTACCAAAAGTGTTATCTCTGTAGTTTTTACTCTATAAATGTTGGTACCGTTATTTGGTGTGTTAATATTCCTAACTCATATCTTTAACAGGAAGAATGCTTCTTTGTCTTCCATCATGCTTTTCTGTTTGAATACTACCTTAACTTGTCATTGAAATGTAATTTTTTAATTACTTTTATCAAGGAAGTTAGGTTTATTTCGTCACCCTTTGTGTATATGCTGGTATTGTGACTTGCTTTTTGCAATAAAAAAATGTCAAGAGTGACAATGTGTCAATTCTAAACCTCAGTCTCGAGAGACCTCATACACTTCTGCTCCCTGCCTTTGATCACTGTTTCAGCTCTGCAATCAAGCCTGAGCTAATAGTCTGAAGGATAAGAAAACAGGGAGAACAGAGCTGAGCAAACCTTGTTGTCCATAACAGACAACCACCAGATAAAGGAGACCTCTGAGCCATGATAGCAAAGCTGTAAGACTGACCCAAGCAAACTGAAGACACATGAATAAGCCAAACTGAGCCAAGTCAGATTGGCAGAATTTTGCACCCAGTAAGTATAGTCATAAGCAATTATAGGTTTTTTTTTTTTTTTTTTTTTTTTTTTTTTTTGAGACGGAGTCCCGCTCTGTTGCCCAGTCCGGAATGCAGTGGTGCGATCTTGGTTCACTGCAAGCTCCTCCTCCCGGGTTCACGCCGTTCTCCTGCCTCAGCCTCCCAAGTAGCTGGGACTACAGGCGCCTGCCACCGCGCCTGGCTAATTTTTTATATTTTCAGTAGAGACAGGGTTTCACTGTGTTAGCCAGGATGGTCTTGATCTCCTGACCTCATGATCCGCCCACCTTGGCCTCCCAAAGTGCTGAGATTACAGGCGTGAGCCACCGCGCCCAGCCAGGTGTTTTTTAATGTATGCCTCTGTGGCATTATTGTCAGAAAATTAACTGATAAAGAACAGATAATAAATTCATTTCGTTAAGTCCAATATTATTTACAGAAATGGCATAAATTTGGGGGTTTAGTTTAAGCATTTCAACTTATGTTGCCAGATTTAGAGGTGTTTTTTTGTTTTTTTTTTAATGCCTTTACTATGTGGCCAAGATGATTTCACAGCAGAATTATATCATATTCCTGAGACAAAAATCATTCAATTCTATTTAAACTATCTGAAAGAAAATATATAAATCATCAATAAATGCATACAAAAACTTGAAAGGTTGAAAATAAACATAAAACTATTGAGTTGTTTTATCAATAACAGTGCAAACATTTTAAATAAAATATTAGAAACTGGAATCAAGAATCAATCAAAAATACATAGTAATTAAATAAGGCTAACTGAAGGAATATGCTGGTATTTTAATATTAGAAAATTACTATTGATACACTTCATCAGGTTATTAGATATTAATGGTAAAAATATGATCATTAACATAGGTGCTGAAAACAGCACTTTTAAAATTCAAATTACTAAGGAAATAAAATAAAAATTTCAGTGTAAAGCCAGAATTATTTTTAATGGAACAATAATAGAAATTCTCCACTAAAATTATAGGGAGAAACATGATAAATATCTACTGTAATTTCTATTATTTTACATTTTAGTGGGCACCCTAGTCAATGTGATTGAAGAAGAGAAATAAATTAGAGGGCAGAAATTGGAAAGCATGAGGTAAAATTGTTGATATTTTCAGATGCTATGATTTTATACCTTGATAACCTGAATGAATACATTTAAAATTCACTACAAATACTAACAGATTGCAGCTATATAGTAAGAAAATGAAATCAATATACCCAAGCCCATCATTTTGTATGTAAAAACAAAATGAAGCAAAAACAACCAGTTAGAAGAGATAATTGGAGTGAAGACCTTATTTATAGTAACAACCAAAAAAGCTGAAATGCTTTAAACAACTGAAATATGTTGCATCCATGTATAAAAGACATAGACTCTGGAAAAAACAAGGAAATAGTTGTACACAATGAAACAAAGATTATGGTTCTGTATAGTACCATTGAACATCATCAATGTACCTTAAATTAATATGCATATCTATAATCTCATTAATTCCCATTAATATAATACCTTTAAAATATTTCCATTTTAACTGGACAAGTCAATTTTTACTATGGATTAAATGAGAGTTATAGAAGCTATTATTTATTTGAGTGATATTTGCTAGATATTATTTAAACCCCTTAAATGTATACATAATAATCCTCTCATGTAAGTAATATTAATATTTCCAAAGATGAAACTGATTAAGGAAATTGCTGAAGATCTCAGGACTATAGAAACAGGACTTTGAATTCATACAGTGTGTGTACAGAGTCAGCACCTTAAAAAATAGGCTACATAAACGGTGAGGAAACGCTGAACAACAAGAACAATGAACGGTGACTTGCTCTGCCAAGTGCAAAACATATGTTAAATCTTTAATAATTAAAATAATGAAATAGTCATATATGCCAGGTAAATGGACAAGTGACATCCAGATATAGAAACAAGTATAAACAAATATTAAGTAATATATATGCTAATAATCCCATCTTAATTTAGCGAGAGAAACATGACCATTCAATATTTGGGTTTTTTAATAGTTGGATTATATTCTGAAATTAAATGTTAATTGGATTCATAATCAGACATCTCATTAATGTATTTTTTTCAAATTATTTAGATTGAGGAGGTCCCAGTGCAGGTTTGTTTTAAGGGTCTAATGTATGGGGTATGGTTGAACCTTTCACCAAGGTGATGAGTATAGTACCCAAGTACTAAGTAGTTTTCAACCCTTGTCCTCATTTCTCCCTCACTCTTCTTGTAGTTGCCAGTGTCTATTATATCTATCTTTATGTCTAGGTGTACTCATTCTATTTAGCTTCCACTTATAAGTTAGAATATGCAGTATTTGATTTTTCTGTTTCTGTGGTAGTTCTTTTAGGATAATGTCTCACAGCTGCATCCATGTTGTTGCAAAGAACAAGATTTCTTTGTTTTTTATGGCTGCATAGTATTCAATGCTATTAATGTATATTTACCATATTTTCTTTATTTAATCCACCTTTGATGGACACCTAGGTTGACTCCATGTCTTTACTATTGTGAATAGGACTGCAGTGAATATATGGGTGCACGTGTCTTTTCAGTAGAATTATTTATATTCCTTTGGGTATATACCCAGTAATGGGATTGCTGGACAGAATGGTAATTCTACTTTTAGTTCTTTGAGAATTCTCCAAAATACTTTCCATGGTGGCTGAACTACTTTGCATTGCCACTAACAGTGTATAAGCATTATTTTTTTCTCCGCAGCCATGCCAACATGTTATTTTCTGATTTTTAAATAATGGCTATTCTGACTAGTGTAAGACTTGGTACAAAACTCAAATTCTAAAATAATAGCTACAAAAATTTCCTAAAATAGTATAAATTGTTATTATTTTAAAATTTTACAATGTTGAAGTTTTTTCTAACTTTGTTTCAAAATCCCTGAAATGATTGGGAAGCTTGATATATTCAACTACTCACAATGTAAGGAAAATGGGTGTGGCATAAAAAAACTGAAAGCAGAGTGTAAAGGTAAAATGACAAACTGAGAAACATTTTACAATTCATATCATAGACAAAAAGGTAAACCTTCAAGTATATAAATAGTTTCTACAAATTAGGTTAAAGCACAATTCAATTGAAAAATTATCAAAAGATACAAATGTTCACAGAAACTCTCAAATATATAAATAATGTTTACCATGTCTTGTAAATAAAGAAAAGAAATTAAAATGGCATTATTTTTAAATTACTGAATTGTTAAGAGATAAACATTGGATTAAATTATGTTTTAACAGATGTATTCATTCATTATTGATGAGGTTGTGCATTGTTTAAAACTATATGGAGATCAACTTGGCCATATCTATTAAAATAAAATTACATATGCCCTTGTGTGTCTAGCATTTCAAGTTCTGAACAATTTATAACACATATAAACATATTAAAAATAATGTATATGTCATTTTTTCAATGCATCACTGTCAGTAATATCTGAAAATGCTGGGAAGCAAGACATTTGTCCCTCAATAAAAATATGAATATTATAAAAAGTAAGATGCTCCTATGTGCCTATATGGCAAGTTTGACAAGATGAATTGCTAAACGCAAAATCAGGGTTTAGAACAATGTGTATAGCATCCTATTGCTGTTAAAAGCAAGGAGTTGGAAGAGAAATATATATTTGTATTTGATTGTGTACACTTTAGAACGTCTTCTGAAGGATCATTAAAATTTAATAAAAATTGTACACCTTTATTTTTTAAAGTGTTTATTCTTTGCTACTGCAAGGCAAGAGGTGAATTGTTTGAATGGGATCCGCTATAGGAGACAAGTAATTTTCGCAAATAAACTGGTTATATAGGACAGAGTGAAAATGTTCTATCTTCATACTAGTTTATATAACTGAAAGTAAATGTGGATAAAATTATGATCCTTAACCTTTTGTAAAAGAAGAGTACAAGGTCTGATGAAAAGTAGGATTATAAATTATTGAACAGAAGACAATAACAGTTTTTCTAGGACTACTTGGCTGAACAATCTTTTTAAAATCTTACCTATGATAAATAAAGCAGATGTTAATTCCTTTTGGCTAGCTTTCATCAGCATATAGTTTCTTCCCCTTAATGAGATAAAGCAATGATGATTTGTTATAGCATATTTACCCTGTAAATTGGTGTTTTGTTAAGGGTAAATTTTTCACTGTATAGTTTAGGAAAACAGAAAAGGGGGTGAAAAGAAACAAACTTACACATCATATCAGAATAAGATGAGTAAAAAGCAAAGGAGAAGGTAGAACTTAAAATCACAATAAATGCAGATTTCTTTTTCCTTTTCATCTGGCAAGAGGACTAAAATAGATAGTAAAATAAAGAAGACACATTGTAAACTGTATACTGAGAACTAGTGTTGGACTAACTAAATTAGGCACAGTGAAATTCAGATGAATTCTCTTTTCTGAAATGTAAAATAATGAGGTAGTTAAATAAGTATCAAGATTTGTTGATTCTTCAAGAAAGTATTTAATTTTCTATTTTCAAGTGACAATCCATGTCAAAATAAGAGGCATAAGGAACTTATACTTTAAAGGTTTTGAAAAGGAGTATGTTTATTTACAAGCAGTATACATTATATTACAAATTGTATGGACTAAATAGGCAAACGTTTCCACATGATTTATATGGCAAATTTACAATCTATTCTCCTATCACAGTCTCAATTGTAAACATTCTCTCCCACTGTCCCCAGAAATCACCAAATGTTCCAAAAATACTGGCTTTCAAGATTTTTTTCTTTGTCAGAATAATTGTCTCTAATTTCATTTGGTTTTAGGATGTTTTAAAAAAGTAGTTGTGTGTATGTGTTATGCTCAACTGAAAAATAAAGTGTCTTTAATTATTTTATTAATGATTTATAAATGCAGAAGAATTGTCAATTAACGGTATTATGTATAACCTTAAGTGTGTATGTGTATGCATATGCATATGTATATACACATATATATTATATAAATATATACACATAAATTTTAATTCTCACATGTATATGTATACAGATATATATATAAATAATATGTATGTGTATATAAAGATATAGATTTTTTAGAGAAATGAGGTCTTGCTATGTTGTTTCTGGGCTCAAGTTATCCTCACTTTAGCCTCAGGCATCTTTTAAAAGGGAGCTATAAAGTTTAGATGATAAGTTTGTGGGGCAAACAGTCAATGACTTTTTTTCTCTCATCCAAGGGGACACAGGACTTTGGCAAGTGTCACCTGTTTCCCACGGTTAGGTATCAAGAGAGGCTGGAAACTGGTTCCATTTCAGGAACTAGGAATCAGTAGTAGGAGTATCATATGCAGGACTAAGAGCCAAGTGGTTTTAATGGTGACTTTATTCCTGCAACAGCCTTACAGGAAGCAGCGTGCATACATTACAATAAATTTTTCGCAAAGAGCCTATGTGAAGAAGCTGTGAGCGATAGTCACCATGTTCAACAGTAGGTGTGAGATTGCCAGAAAACAAAACCAAAGCCAAGGAAAACAGCTGAAGGAGGGAGGGAGATGGGTTCCTGATGACATGTTTAAGCACCTGAATCCTGCTGTACCTGAAGCCATGCCATCTCAGAACATCCTGGCAACAAGTTTCCTTTTGTCTTTTTCTTTTTTCTTTTCTTTTCTTTCTTTCTTTTCTTTCTTTTTTTTTTTTTTTTTTTTTTTTTTTTTTGAGGTAGGCTCTCACTCTGTTGCCCAGGCTGGAGTGCAGTGGCCCAGTCACTACTCACTGCAGTCCCAACTTCATGGGCACAGGTGATTCTCCCACCTCAGCTTCCTAAGTAGCTGGGACTACAGGTGCCTGCCACCATGCCTGGCTAAATTTCTGTACAGACGAGGTTTCTCCGTGTTGCCCTGGCTGCTCTTGAACTCTTAGAGTCAAGCGATCCTCCCTTGGTGAGCTTATTAAGCTGTATAGATATATAAATTGATTATCTCATAACAAAGCACAAAAAGAAATATATGATATATAATAATGTAATTTTATTGTTAGAATTAAATATCTGTACATTAAATACTGAGATTTTAAAAAAATGTATATTAAATTGAAATACTCTCAGGTTTAAGAAGGGGTCTGGCAAATGCCATGTTGGATAAGTCAGATATGGAATCAGGGCAACAAGAGATTAGCTTGGAGGTCAGATTAGAAAAAATGAAATTACCCCAAACTTTCTTATCTGAAGCCTTCAGCCTAGCATTTCTAAAAGAAAGATGCTCAGTATTACTTATATGGATTTATTTGCTAATACAAGCACACCTCATTTTATTGTTTCATTTTGTTCCTCTTCACAGAGCCTGTTTTTTCACAAATTGAAAATTTGTGACAACCCTGCATGAAAGAAGTCTGTAGCGCCATTTTCCCAACATGTGCTCGCTCCCTGTCTCTATAAGCATTTTTAGCAATAAATTATTTTTAATTTAGATATGTACCTTGTTTTTAAGGCATAATTATATTGTACACTTATATAACTGTTACATGCACTGGGAAACCAAAAAATTTGTTTTACTCACTTCATCATGATAATTTTATTGCAGAGGCCTGGAACTGAACCTGCAGTATTTCCTAGGGATGCCTGTACCCCAGAAACTTATGTTTGCTTAAGGCAATTTTTAGTAAATTAAATATGGTTCACTTTCAGAAAAGCTGTTTTTAATTTTCAACTATTATTTTATTTGTTAATTCATTAGATATTTTTTAGAATACCAAAAAGTTAAAAGCACAGTGTTTAGCATTAGAATATGCAAGAATGAATAAGAAATCATACATGCTTTTAAGTAGCCCATCCACAATTTTTTTAATGAGCTCTAGAATTCAAACAACTGTCCCACGTGTTGTTAGGTTGTAGTATTTGAACTGATTTACTGATTTAATAGGCCTGGTAAAATTCTCATGTGCTATCTGAATTCTATGCTACAGCATTTCAAGATAAAATAGGAGTGCATCTTTAATCAATTTTCAGAACTGGAATGTGCATTATGGCAAACATTCCTCTAATACTCTTAGGGAAGTAGGACATTTTAACTCATGGTGACTCTAGCCTAATGCCCTGCATAAATAAGAAGTAATAAATGGAACCAATAAGTAATATTCATTTCATTTTGACTAATTTTATTCTTTTAAAGACTGTAACAGTATTTATACTACATGCTGTAACTAATTTTTAAAAACCAATGTAATGCCAACTATATGCAATAGTTATTCTGATACTCTATAGATACAATTTTTTAAAGTAAAATATAAGTAATGACTTTGGGAACTTTGATATGTTAGATGAGATGAAACAGAATTGTTCTGACGGTGCCAAATGTGAGTTCTCAAACAAGGTCCCTTAGCTGGACTTGAGTATTACCTGTTTTCCTTAGATAACTTTCCAGTTTGACACTGTGACAATCACTAACCAAAGCTGGCTTTATTATTTATATCAGTTTTTTATTCTCTGTGGGCATTGAGATTGCAATACCTGAAAGAAAATATGTTTGTAACCATTGAAAATGCAAGGGAGAATGATGTTCACTAAAAGAAGTATATGCAAAAGATGGTGAGAGTTTTCAAAAGAAGATTACTTCCGGTTGAAATATCAGGATAGGTTTCATTGATAATGTGCTACATGAGCAGAGTGAATTGCCTTGCAGTTGCATTAAAAATACAGCCTTCACATCTTCACACTTTCTGCGAGGCCTTTCTTAAATTATCAAGTAAGTATTGCCCAATTTTTGAGCAATAGCTCTGCCAGTCACTATAAGAACTCGGAAGTAAGACCAAATATTTTCCTGCCCTCATGGAGTTTACATGTTTGTCTTAGAAGCTGTATATTAAATTAATAATTCAACATGGGGGAGATATAACAGAGGAGAAATACAGGGGGCTATAATATTGTCATGCTATCTTTGAAAATGGCATTTCCTCAATATTTCATTTACATTTGATAGTAACTGGAAATAGGGAATTCAAGAATATGCTCAAAAGGGTTGAAAACATGATCTCAAATGCAACATGGCACAGCTAGAATAAGCATCTTGAGACAATATCCTTCTCAATTGTTCAAAAACTGAGAGTCTGATGAATGTATTATAATGAGATAATGGAGCATATAGTGATGATTTTTCCTAGACCTTTTCTCATAAAATGAGACACTTCAAGGTCATTATTTCTATGTTCCTTTTTGGTTATGGTGTTTATCTCTCTAGGATCTCTCACTTCTAATCTATTACTGCTTAGCTTTCCTCTTCTAAGCAGATACTCCTCAAGGTAGCTACAATTTTACTACTGTTCAGACACTGTGTCCCTCTTGCAGCAATCTTCCAAGACATAAAATTTCTAGCAAGAAAGTTTCAGTAACTATGAATGTTTCACAGGCTGATATATGAGGTTCTAGAAAACAGTTGAAAATATCATGATTAAACTGATGAGTAGTAAGTATGAAGAGAAATATAGTTTACTACTATATCATAGTTCTGAAAATAACGAATATTTTATTCCTAATATTTTATCAAAGATAGATTTTATCAACTTTCATTTATCATCTCCTCTTTAGATTTGGGCTCTAGGGATAACATAAAGAGGCCAAGATAAATTTGTTTAGCATTAGGCAAGATGTGCAAATGATTATAAATTAGATAAGCATTAACAACAGCCATGATTTCTTGTCGACATATTTGTGTCTCAAAAATATATATCTGCATCTAATGAGTATATGTGAAACACAAGCCATAATTCTGCCCCTTCCAGAGGTCACAGTCATTGTATGGTTCTTCCATGGCTTTGATTACAGTAGTACAGTAAAATGTGTTGTTTGTCCCTCTCCTCTCTCTCTCACACACACATGCATCTGCAAACGCATATACTTGTATCCATAGCATCAACTATCACAAAATATATTAATGTGAATACTGTTCAAATATCCATCTAATAACTCCATGTATTTCAACAATATTAAGTAAGAGGTAAATTCAGCCCATAGTTGAAGGAGGCTGCTTGGTAACATCCAGTGACCTCCCAGACTCATCTCACATTCTCGTCCTGTTTATCAGACTTCAAATCAGGCATTCCCATTTATCAGAGTCTCATATTTAGCAGCATTCAGGTAAACTAGGTTTCTATCATAAAACATAAAATAGGCCGGGTACCATGGCTGACGCCTATAATCCCAGCACTTTGGGAGGCCGAGGTGGGCGGATTACCTGAGGTTAAGTGTTCGAGATCAGCCTGGCCAACATGGCGAAATCTCATGTCTACTAAAAATACAAAAATTAGCTGGGTGTGGTGGCTCATGCCTGTAGTCCCAGCTACTCGGGAGGCTGAGACAGGAGAATCGCTTGAACCCGGGAGGCAGAGGTTTCGGTGAGTCGAGGTTGCTCCATTGCACTCCAGCCTAGTCGACAGAGCAAGACTCTGTCTCAAAAAAAAAAAAAAAAAAAAAAAAGACATAGACAAAAAGATCAAGCCACAGTTAAAATTCATTAAATATCAGAACCATCACCTCTGTTCAATAAACTAGATATTACAGCTACCACATTCTCATCCATGATGTTTAGATGAGCATTACTGATATTTGCATTTACGTTTCTTTGCTCTTTATTTTTTTTTAAATTTTCACCCCCAACTCTTCCTACTGACCTCGTCTTTCTTTAGCATTTTCATTACTTATAAAGGTTACAAGCAATTCCACTGTCCTGGTAATCATTTGGTCTTTTTGAGGTGACTTTGCACATTTGGTCTCACATCCATGATTACTTATTTCATGCAACAATTATATGACAATCTTATTTCTCTCATTTTATGAATCCACATAATGGGCTGACTTTTCCTAGTGAATAACCTATAATCATTATATTGTTTGAAGTTGAGCCTTTCCTTTTTGTCAGTAAGGATTACTTGCCTTTATCCTATAACATACTTGAGGCATATATTGAGATAAAATTTCCCCAAGATTTTAAATAAACTGATCAATAAATAATCATCAAAACAGCAATATCCAGTAGAATATATTGTGGGTATTAACATTTTTAGAAGCCACATTAAGAAAAGTAAATTATATTTTGATAATATATATTTGATAAAATATTTCATTTAACCAATATTTCTAAAAGCATACCATTTCAACACCTAGTCAATAAAACATTATTGATAATATATTTTAACTCTTTCATACAAGTATTGAAAATCCTGTGTATATTTTATGCTTAAAGCATATATCAATTTAGACTAGCCACTTTTCAAGTGTTCAGTATTCACAGATGGCTAGTGGCTACATTAGTGAGAATAGCCTCAGAAATGACCCCAATTTGCAAACTGGAAAATTTTCATAAATGATTACCTTAGTTATTTTGTAATGGTATGTATATTCCTTTTTATATTTGAAGATTAACTAACTTTGACATATGATAATTGATTGTGTGACAGCTTCTCCATAAAAGATCATCTTCAAATACATGGGAAATAATTTGGATTTATTTATCACTATTATCACTCTTATTAAAGAATTTTTATATTATAGCAGTTGCTCTAATGTATCAAAAATATACATTTATTTGATTGAATACATGCATTAAATACTATTTTTCACATCTTATTTAATGTAATCTTTAAATATTTGTAATAGCATTAACTGGTCCAAGTTTTTCACTTGTAGATTTTAAAGTATTTCAAAAGGATTCCAAATGAAAATTTTTAGCTCTTCATTTCAATATTCAACCTTTTTAAAAATTAAGTGATTATGTGAACAAAAGACTTTTTTTGTATCATGAAATCACAGCTTAGTGTCATTTTGAAATTAGAATTTTAGGAAGTGTGTATTACTTGAATTTATGTTAAAGACACTGTATAATTTTTGTGAAGACCTTTAATCTGTCCTCAGATAACAAAAATAGATATTTAAATTACTTTCTTTTATTTTAGGTAGTAATCAACATCATGAAATTCTGAAAGACTGGTATGTGGCATGCAGGCAAAGATTTTCAATTCAAATACCTTGTGTGTTTTGGTGGAATTACACTTAATTGGAATAGTAGATTTTTGAAAGATATTCAATATCTCATATCAGAAGACAAATCTTATTCACTATGAACAAATTCTAAAGATAATAAAAAACTCTTTTGCTAACCCATGATGTAACATTATTTGATATTTTATCATGATTAGCACTCTTTGAACATTTTATAGTTTAAGGACCCATGATTTATGTATCTTTAAATTACTCATAAATATACTTAATAAAGTGTTTTTACATAACACACTCTCTTTAAGTGATAAATGAAACATGATACATTAGCTAACAAAATTATTAATTTTTAAAACAATCACTTCATAAGAGAATGATCCACATGAACAACATCCTTGGCCAGCAACTCAATGCTCTTCCTCTTCTGTAAATTGATCTATAAGGAGACAATATTTTCTTATTTATTTGTTTATTTATTTATTTTGAGATGGAGTCTGGCTCTGTCGCCCAGGCTGGAGTGCAGTGGCGCAATCTCGGCTCACTGCAAGCTCCACCTCCCAGGTTCATGCCATTCTCCTGCCTCAGCCTCCCCAGCAGCTGAGACTACAGGGGCACACCACCACACCTGGCTAATTTTTTGTATTTTTAGTAGAGATGGGGTTTCACCGTGTTAGCCAGGATGGTCTCGATCTCCTGACCTTGTGATCCGCCCACCTCGGCCTTCCACAGTGCTGGGATTACAGGCGTGGGCTACCGTGCCCAGCCAGACAATATTTTCTATGATAACTTTTTACCAGGACATTTTCTGTTCTTAAAATATTTGTTTGTATATTTTAATAAAATGCTCTTCAAATGATTGCTAAAATATTCATTTTAAATAAAACCTTTATTATATCATCAGACAACCTTTTACTTATTATATTTAACCTTAGTTGAAAAATAATATACTTACTGAAAATGTACATTGTACTTTTAGAAACGTTAATACAAAACAATGAAGTGTATATAAAGAATAATTTTTGAAGTAATTTTTATTTCTGATTTTTATAGGTACACAGTAAGTGTATATAATTATGAGTTACACGAGATATTTCGATACAGGTATCCAATGTGTAATAATCACATCAGGGTAAATGTGGTATCCATCACCTCAATCACTTATCCTTTGTGTTACAAACAATCCAATTAAACACTTTCCGTTATTTTAAAAGGTACAATTAATTTGTTTTTCACTGTGGTCACGTTGTTGTGCTAGCAAATAGTAGGTTTCATTTATTCTTTTTTTTTGTACTAAAAATACTTGTAATTACAGAATAATTTTAGAAATAATGTGGATAGAATGAATAAAATGTTGCCTTTCAGTAGCTTGACTGTAATCTTTATACAGGTAACTACCACATTTGACAATACTTAATTCCCAAGAAAGCAAACATTCTTATTAAATTAAATTAACATTTTATAGTGCAAAATTTATTTTGTTTCAAAAGTATGGTGCATCTACAGTACAGTTTCTACAAAGTTATTTATTTTTATTTATTTATTTGTTTAATAAAAAGAGACAGGGTCTCATTTGATTGCCCAGGCTTGTCTCAAACTTCTGGGCTCAAGACATCCTCCTGGCTTGTCCTCCTAAAGTGCTAGGATTGCAGGTGTGAGTCACCATGCCCAGGCTATAAAGTTTGAATACCTTTATCTACTAAATAAATATCAGACACAAAAAAAGAAAAAAATGAATCACTATGGCTTATTTAGAGCAGAGAGTAAATAAGGTGTTTATTGAATGAATGTATGATTAACATAAGTAAATGTCTTTATGATGTTAATGAGTTGGTTTTAAATACTCAAATGAATAAAGTTGTTATTTATCTCTAAGTGAATGTGGGGCTTTGCAGACATAATGGTGTATTTGTTATCATGGGCCTAGTGGAAAGGTGAAGAACAAAATCCTGTTAATGTCTATCTACATAGCCTCATTTTGGGTGTTTTCTTTTAACAATCCATCCTCAGAAGAAGAGATTGCATTTGTTTGTAGATGTCTAGGAGATTGTGACATGCTGAGGGTGAGGATTTGCAAAGCAGGGAAGAAAGAGTAACCGCAGGCTTGGAAAGGAAGAGTTTGCAGAGTTAAGTGTGAATGTGTTAGGAAAGCCACAGGAATGGGGTGAAAAAGCTATTATCTTATATCAGTTGCTTTCTCACAAGGAACGTAAGAGAGCAACACTAACCTGTTGAATGGTCAATTCTCAACCAGTAAATACAACACTATGCAATTTGCAAAATATCTAGGTTTTTGTGTTATTAGTCTGCTCTCACACTGCTATAGAGATACTAATTTATAAAGAGAAGAGGTTTAATTGACTCACAGTTATGCATGGCTGGGGAGGCTTTAGGAAACTTACAATCATGGTGGAAGGTGAAGGGGAAGCAAGGCACATCTTACAAGGCTATGGGCAAGAGAGAGAAAACATAGGGGAAACTGCCACTTTTAAACCATCAGATCTCCCGAGAACTCCCTCATTATCAGGAGAACACCATGGAAGAAATTGTCACCTGTTCCAATCACCTCCCACCAGTTCCCTTCCTCCACACATGGGTATTACAATTTCGGATGAAATTCGGGTGGGGACACGAAGACAAACCACACCAGCTTTCAATCACATTTTGTAACCTTTGGTCATTTGCTATTTTAATGATATTTTAGTTGATCTGTGATTGCTAAAGGAATTATTTGATTACTGAAAGGAGAAGATAAATACAACACATTTGCCATATAGATTTAAATAATTACTTTTCAGCTACTTTTAAACCGGTTACATATTTTTGTATTTTAGTGTCATGTGTGACTTTTAGAATTCATGGTTTCTAAATCAATCCAGGTAAATCTTAATTATATCCTATGATCACTGACAGCCACTATAAAACAATCATAAGTAGTAAATAATAGAATTCCAGTGCTCAATTAACACAATTAATAATGATTGCATAAAAAATACTGACAAAATTAATGAACATTGTTAGCTATTACATAAACTTTAACATGTTTATGTCATTTTATTCTAATTATGACATGAGCAATGTGAATGTGTTAGAATAATGAAAGGGCAGACCTAGGATATAAAAACTATTTTTAAAAACCCTGAAAAGTATGAGGGATAAGTATGTAATGTCTGTTTTTACTTTTTACTTTTCATTTTAATTCTTAATATATGTTTGTATAATATATGGAATTAACTGAGAAAACAAACACACTGATATTCACACACAAAGTCACATGTTAAAAATGTCTAGTTCTATACTATGGGGTATTAAGACATTATTATTTTAAATATATTTCTGTTAAATGCTGTGACTGTGATGCAGTTTAAGGGACAGAGTTTTACTACTGAAAGTATTTCAATACTTTCAATATTTTAAAAATATTTTGAAATATACTTGAAAAATTTCTATATTTATATAGAAATTTCTGTGTATATATATATATATTTAGAGATAAGGCCTCTGTCTGTTGCTCAGGGTGGAGTACAGTGCAGTAACTGTCACAGCTCATTGCAGCCTCAAACTCCTGAGCTAAAGCTATCCTCCTACCTCAGCCTCCCAAGTAGTAAGTAGCTAGAAAGAAAGGCATGCACCACCATGCCGGGAAAATTTTAAATTTTCTTTTGTGGAGATAGGCTCTTGCTATGTTGCTCAGGCTGGTCTCAACTCCTAGTCTCAA